>NC_000010.11:36704212-37008495 GCF_000001405.40 Homo sapiens | reverse complement strand
CCTCTTTAGGGTTAAGGCATACTCCCTTCTGAGAATTTCTGGTCTAACCGGTTGTCTAGCTTCATGTGCTGTTTCTATGGATTGTTTGTAACCAGCTTTTGCTGCAACTGTTACTGCTGATTAATATCTTGCTAATCATAGGTTGTGGAAAGACTGTGTTTCTGTTTTAAGGCTCTGTTAGAAATTACTGATGCACACACTATATTATAAATTCTTATCTCTGTATACTGTACTTCTGCATAAAGATGTTATGTTAAAGAATTACTTCATCCCCGTGTGACCATCTCACCCCATAATCAAATGACCCTAAATCCCTCACTAACCCACCCCGCCCTCACTAAACTTAATAATAAATGCTGGTATATCCAGTGCATTGTTGGCATCGTGGAACCAGAAGGCAGTGACCCCCCTGGACCCAGCTTTCACTATCTTGTGTGTGTCTATTATTTCTCAACCTGCCGACCCACCTGGGAACAAGGAGACAGCCCCGTTGCATTGCAGGCTGCCGGCCAGATCCCGCAATACACTAGACTATAGTCAATGCATATTTGTTGAATTGAGTTGAACTCATTAATCCACATCCACTCTGTCTTCCAATCATCTGTTGGATTTTAGGCTATCTGATATTTCTTATTTTGATTTGGCTCCTGATTCGTCTCCTCCCAAACCTGGTATTACTCTGTGTAATATAGTTTGACACACCTCCTATATTTTTCCCTATGTCTGACCTTGGATTGGTCCTATTTACAGTTTTGCTACTTCAGTGTTAGGGCCAGCAGGTAGAAGAAATTCCTGACCAATCTGTCATTTGAGGGACAGAACTTTCATTTGTCTATTCCCCTAATAACACACAAAGTACAAAACTAGTATGTAATGAATAATTACAGCTCTGAAGGATTACATTGACTAAACTTCAATGACGTATTCATTCAAACCCTTTATTCTCATCATGTGGGTAGCTAACACCAGGAATGGCAATGCAGTGAAATTCTCTCTGGAAATTGCTTGGTATGTCCCACCTGTCCGAATTATTCATTGGCTCCTAGAATAGTTGCATTGCATTCAAAGAGACCATGAAGATTATCACTCTAAAAGCCCAGCAAGTGCAAAAATTGCTTTGATAGCACCACTATCATATAGTCCCTCAGCTTCAACTTTAATGCTTCCAAAACCACAGAGCTGAGTATGTCAAAGATCATCCATATCATTATTGAATGGTTCAGAAAAAAAAATGAAGCCTTGCAAGTTGGATTTTTGTTTGAATCCCTGTTACATGAATGAACTTAGCCAAGCCTCTTGAAATCTCAGTCTTAGTTTTCTCATCTATAAATTAATTTAACATACCCACCCAAGAACTTGCCTTATACAGACTGTGTCCTTAATGAGTGTTAGTCTATTTTGCCTTCCATTTCTTTTTCCAAATGAAAGCTATGCAGATGTGTAATAGCTTTTGTGAGTCTTCCCTTTCATAGGCTAAACAGTCTTTTATTCTCTCTCTCTGTTCCTCAAATTGCAGGGTGCTCTCTCACAGTGATGCCCCAAATCATACTTTCATTCTTTAAAAAATAATGACATTGGGCCGGGCGTGGTGGCTCATGTCTGTAATCCCAGCACGTTGGGAGGCCAAGGTGGGTGGACCATGAGTTCAGGAGATCCAGACCATCCTGGCCAATATGGTGAAACCCCTTCTCTACTAAAAATTAGCTGGGCATGGTGGCACGCACCTATAATCCTAGCTACTCTGGAGGCTGAGGCAGGACAATCACTTGAACCAGGGAGGCGGAGGTTGCAGTGAGCCAAGATCGTGCCACTGCACTCCAGCCTGGCAACAGAGTGAGACTCCGTCTCAATAATAATAATAATGACATTGAACATACTGTAATCACTTTTATCCACTACCTCTTCTCTCTTTCTTTTCTTTTCTTTTCTTTTTTTTTTTTTTTTTGAGACAGAGTCTTGCTCTGTCGCCCAGGCTGGAGTGCAGTGGCGCGATCTCGGCTTACTGCAAGCTCCGCCTCCCGGGTTCACACCATTCTCTTACCTCAGCCTCCTGAGTAGCTGGGACTACAGGCACCCGCCACCACGCCTGGCTAATTTTTTGTATTTTTAGTAGAGACGGGGTTTCACTATCTTGGCCAGGATGGTCTCCATCTCCTGACCTCATGATCCACCTGCCTCATCCTCCCAAAGTGCTGGGATTACAGGCATGAGCCACTGCACCCAGCCTCTTCCCTCTTTCTTATTCCCTCTACCTAATAATTAGTAGTGTTATAAGAGGTCATTCTAGCTACAACACCTCTACTACCTAACCTAGGATAGAAGCCTCCTCTATCACAGGAATCCAGAAAAGAAAAGCAGGAGGACGCCATGCAATGAGATATGCAGCACATGGGAATGAAAACTAGGAAACAGTTTAAAATCCACAATGTGTCTCTTGTCGGCTATGTGTCCTCCAGCAAGTCTCCCCTGAGCCTCACTTTCTTCATCTGCACTAACAGAGTTAAAAATACCTGCATAGGGTGTCTATTCTGAGGATTAAATGAGAAAAATTTATCCTATAGTGCTTAGAAGTCTTCTAGCCACCTTGCAGAGACTCAGGAGATGGTAGCTATTATTATTTTTTACACTGACTCTGTGTCCTCATCTGTGTATTACCGATGTGATAACATCAATACCTCAGAGTACAAATATATAAGCTAATATTTATTCTGATTATTGAAATTAGTTACTCAAGCTACCATCTACCCAGAGGACCACCCCTCCCCTGCATTCACACGTTAGTTAAATTGTCCATGAAACCTGGGACTTTGTGAACTCCAATGGGGGCGGCTTTATTTTTACACAAATTGTGGAGAGGTCACTGGAGAACCTGAACAGTTTGTGATGGGGATGCCACTTCTGCTGTGAGTGTTTTTTTTTTTTTCCTGCTTCATGATGGCATTGGAATCTTCTAATGAAGTAAAGTACGGCCTCCCTGTCAGATTGGCTCTTTTTCACTACTGAGGAGATGTGGAATTCACTTCTTAGGATGTTGTCAGGGAGAAAACAATGCCACTGCCTTTAGGAATATGCTCAACTGGGGCTATCCCTTGTCACCACTCTCTTGGACAACAGTTCCTGCACCTTAGATTATAATCTCCTAGAGAACTGGGATTGATTTTTAGTCCCTCAGCATCTGGTATCCCAGATACCATGAACAAAATTGCTACTTATTAAACTATATTAATTGATAATGACTAATTATGAATATTAAAATCATATCAACCTAGTTTCACTTGAATATAAAAAAAGTAGAATTTATATCAACAAAAGATGGTTAGGAAAATCATTTTATAGTAGCCATGAATTTTTTAAAAACTAAGTAATTAATAGAGAGTATATCATTGAAATTCTTAAAGTGGTTATGGGTCTAGAATATGAGCTACAATAACAATAATTCCTTTTACATATATGTGCATGTCTATGTATACCTACATGTATGCATTATATTTGTGTAATACATGTATATATATGTATATGTGTATTTACATATGTGTATTTATATTAAGGCTATTTAATCCTCATTGAGAACATAGGTATCTATGTTTTACAAATAACCAAGTGAGGATCTGAGAGGTTAAGGGCCTTGGCCAGGTTTACACAATAAATTAGTGACCTAGTTTAGACATCAAAATCCAGCTTCTCAGTCTGGCGCTTTTATTCTAACATGATTTTCCTATTATGTTCTTTTCTGTGATCTCATGAGTTAAACCATAATTTTCTCTAATATAAAAGATGAATTCTTATTCATCCTTAATTTCCTACTTGTTTTGTATTCAAATATACATTCTATTGCCAAGCTTTGCATGTTTTCCTTTCATAAGCTTTTTTTATCTTCCTCTTTTTTGTTAGCCCACTCCTAGTGTCTCACTCATTTAACTACATTCAAAAATATTTATTTAGTACCAAACACATGCCAGAGGCTAACCATAAATTGTCTTAAACCTCTTGCTTATCAAACAAAACAAAACAAAATAAAGCCTTTCTTCTAGAAATTTCAAGTATTGGAAACACCAAAAGTGGTTTCTTTGCCAATTTCTACAAATTCCAATGCTATCATGAAAACATTAAGTGTTTTCTTACTGGCTTCCTGGTGCTAGAATAGTGCTAGAATAGTGTTTCCTAAATTTAGCCTGGCTAAATATTGGCTCTGGAAGATTCTCCTTCAAAACGAAGTACTTCACAGATGCTGTGGTTTGAATATTTGTCCTGTCTAAAATGCAGGTTGAAATTTAGCCCCCAGTGTGTCAGTATTGAGAGGTAGGGCTTTTAAGAGGTTTTAATATGTAACTTCATCAGGAAAATACTTTGGGAACACTAAAATAGATTATGACTTTAGGAATGATGCTTTATGTTTTTACTTCCACTGCCTTTATAGGTCTCTGGTGTGTATAAAGCACTTGATATTTTTAATCTCTTTTTTCTTTTTGATGAATTAAGGAATAGAATATGTGTCATTTATGTTTCCCTGTTTATGTTGTTGTCCTTCCTCTAACATCTTGCTCCTCGTTTCCTGTTCATACACACCTCTCACCTCCAACACCAACATTCTTATTTTATAGTCCTGCTAAGTCCTCCACTTACTCTTCTAGATTTTATCACCTGATGGGAAAATTATTTTGTTGACTCTGATCCGTAAATGCTTTTTCCCCATTAATCAAGCTCCTCCTGGAATTCCAATTGCTTTATTTCTACCTGACTTAATCCCAAAGCCTAAATCCAGCTCTTTCACAAAAATCTCAGATTCAGAGCCAGGGTATCATCCCATTTCCAAACCTGCACTCTCACAGAAGTAGACCTGATACTTTTAATACTTAGTATTTTTATGTCTGCATCTATGTCTGTAACATTTGGGGCCAGAGAATTATTTAATTTATTGTTATGAGAGATTGTTCTGTATATTGAGGAATGTTTAGCAGTATTCCTGTCACTAAATGCCAGTGACACACCCCCAGTCGTGATAACCAAAAATGACTCCAGAAACTGCCAGATGTCATCTGGAGAACAAAATCTCTCCCCACCCATCCCTGTTGAAAGTCTTTGATTTAAGGCTATCTCCATATCCATATTCATATTCATATCTGCATTTGGACTGAGAAATAACATTGATTTATCTTCATCTACATTAGGCACCAGGTTCAACAGCATATGTTATCTGCTTCAGTTTTCACGATGATCCTCAGGGGTATTAATAGAACCAATTTACACATGAGGAAGACATAGCTCAGAGGCAGAAATAACTCAAAACAAAATCAACTATGGTATGCACACATTTCCCTGCACCATATTAGTTACCTGAAAGCTTCATATATTTATATTAGGTATGTAAATTGGATATAATTGTATTACTTATGTGCATTATTTAATAATATAATTGCATTAATCTTTCTGTCTGTCTTCAAGTTTTGACATCATAGTATAATGAAAAATGCGTGAGCTTTCCGATTCAAAAGGATGTTAATTTTAAATTCTGATTCCATGCCTAACTGGCTCTGCGGCACTTACTTCAAAAACTAAACATTTCTGTGATCAGTGCAAAGAATACAGAGATAAAAACAAAACCCCGACTATCTAGAGACTTATACTCTAGTAAGGGAGAACAAAACTTGAAAAGAAATTAATTTAAATACCAAGATATAACATTGGAAGCACATGCAAAGTACAAAGTACAGAGATGGCACAGAGGAGGGACAACATACCTTTATCAGGTGAAGATATGGAGCACTTTCAGGAGAGATGGTGCTTATCATGGGTGATAAGGAATAGACAGAGCCAGAAGATAAGCATCTTCTACTTCCTGTGTCTCAATTTCAGTATTTATAAAATAGGGATAATTATATATCTGATTCATAGGGTGGTTTTGAGTATTAAATATGATGGGACTACAACATGTTTCGCATAGTGTTGAACAGATAGTAGACACATAATAACTATTATCTCCTTTCCATTTCGTTTAAAGGACAACAGTTGTGTCATTTATAATTGTTAATAGTTAACCTACTACAAAGCAGTAAGAGAGCTAGTGAATGACAAATTTTCATAGATTGCAAAGTCAGTATATTTCTTCTCTTGCTCAGATACTATAAGAAAATCTTCAAATTCATTGTACATTATCAATTCCCCAAGGAAGACAAGCAGGTTCTCCATTCCGTCTCAAAATGTTGTAAGGCATTTTTATCAGAAAAAGGCATCCTTCTCACAAGCCTTCCACAACTTTCTTCTTCTTGTTTAAAACACACACAAACTATACAACTTGAACATTGTAACAGGTCTGCTTTCTGTTCCATTCAGTGACAGTAAGTATAAGAACAGAATAGAAAACCCTGAAAAGTAAAATCAAATCCCAAGCGCTTTACACATCTTTCTAAGCCTCTGTGGAGGATTCTAAAGATTGACTCTTCTGTTATTCAAGCTGCTTCACCAACTGCCCTGTCAGAGCTCCAGACTCAGACCCTATTCGGGATCCTTATCCCTGAATGTCCCTTGCTATCAAGATAAGTCTTTATTTCTCTTTGTAAGTGACAGCAGAGATCTGGGAAGATGAAGAATCTTTTCCCACTGAGCTTCAAATAACTCACTTCTAAAGCAGTTCCATAACTTTCACTGTAGCTATGAGGTTGTGAAGTCTCATTATCTCTGACCTTGGTCTTTCTCAGCTGCCATGACCCATGAAGGAAAAAACGTCAGTGGCTAACATTCTTTCATTCAACCAACATTTACTGAGAGCTTGCCTGGTGCCAGGTATGGTGCTGGGCTGCAGGGATATATCAAAGTTTTATTCACTAAAGGTATAATAAGATGAGGCCAGGAGCGGTGGCTCACGCCTGTAATCCCAGCACTTGGGGAGGCCGAGGTGGGTGGATCGTGAGGTCAGGAGTTCAAGACCAGCCTGGCCAAGATGGTGAAATCCCATCTCTACTAAAAATACAAAAATTAGCTGGGCGTGGTGGCGGGCACCTGTAATCCCAGCTACTCAGGAGGCTGAGACAGAGAATTGCTTGAACCCAGGAGGCGGAGGTTGCAGTAAGCAGAGTTGGTGCCACTGAATTCCAGCCTGGGCAACAGAGCAAGACTCCGTCTCAAAAAAAAAAATTAGATGAGTATAGTCTGGCTTTATTCATTTCAATAGCCTTATTCCCTTCTTTTTGGAAAGTGGGGTCAGTAAAAAATAGTGAAAATATATTTAGAAAAATTTATATTTTATTAAGCATCTTTATGACTTCAATCTTTTTTTTTTTTTTTTTTTTTTTTGAGACGGAGTCACTCTGTTGCCCAGGCTGGAGTGCAGTGGCATGATGTAAGCTCACTGCAACCTCCATCTCTTGGGTTCAAGCAATTCTCCTACCTCAGCCTCCCGAGTAGCTGGGATTACAGGTACCCATCACCACACCCGGATAATTTTTGTATTTTTAGTAGAGACAGGGTTTCACCATGTTGGTCAGGCTGGTCTCGAACTCCTGACCTCAGGTGATCCACCCACCTTGGCCTCCCAAAGTGCTAGGATGACAAACGTGAGCCACCATGCCCGGCCACTACTTCAACCCTTAAGGTCACTCTGGGCTTCATAATATAGAATCCAGAGCAGCTTTATAATGTGGCTTCCGTCTTCATTTGTAGGAATATCTTGAGCTAAAGTTCAGCATGAGGCAATTTCTATCATTAGTGGAAGGATGTGTCTACAGTTTTAGCTTACCCTAGAAGCATAAACTACCCACTTGAGGTGTGAATGCACCTTGTATTTAATGATTAGTGGAGATTGTTTGCAACTGATCTTGCAAATTACACTCTTCACATCTCAAAGGGACTTTATTTTGCAAGGGTATTCAATGACTCCTGTTAGATCTGTTCTAAATACACATAAACACAAACAAGATGCTACACAGTTTATAACCATCTTTCCCCTTTTCATAGTACTGAAACAGTAGTGAGTACAGTATGGTAACTGAGGGAAATTCACCAGACTAGTAGTGATAAAGGAGGATCAACCTTAAGTTTTTTTCACAACTCTCCTGAATCTGTCAGCTATTCAACTTGGGAGATTCAGAAGTGTTGTAGAAAAACTTAAGCTTGGCTTGAAATGTCAGCATTTAAGGTATCAAATGTAAGGAGTTAGGGCATCTGGAGTTTGGCCAACCTATAGAACTTGGAGATACTAAAGTAATACCTGGAAAAACAAGTGCAGCGCCTGGACTCCAGGAAAGGGGTTTGCAGACTTACTATGTGCCAGGTCCACAGCAGACCAGAGTCTGAGGACCAGGGTCTTCTTTCTGTGGAGACTGGAGGGAGAACCAAGGGCCCAGACAGCAGCCAGTCTAGCCCCACAATCACACCTGATAGTGGACAGATCCCTGTCACGTCCTGGGGCTCCTGAAAGTGCCCAATTTTGCTTGTAAACATGCAAAGGAAGCATCTGGTGTGCTATCTGCAGGCTGTGTCTAGATGCTGTGTTTTAGTAGGAGAAAATCAGCTACTTTCTACCAGGCCAGATTCTCAGTGGTCCAGGCATAAGTCAGGGCAGAAGCAACAGAGTACATGCTGTTGCTGGGGCAGGCTGAAGCCAGCATAGATTAGCATTTTATAGATGTGATAAGAGAGGCTTAGAAAAGCTGTGGAGCTTTCCGAGTTCATGGAACAAGGAAGAGGTCCAACCACTATTTGAAGCTTACTACCTCACTTGTTATGCAAATTTGCCTATTATTTGTGCATACCTGTGTGCATGTATTATGTGAATATACCTACTTCAGCACACAACATACATTCTTTAAATGATTCAGTGAATGAATATATGATATAAGGTAGAATTTGTCCTGTTTGAATATAAGGGTATTTATTCACTCATTCAGTAAATACAGGAAAGGTACCTGCTAAATGGAACTTACATTCTTATGAGGGGAAGGATTAATACTCAAGATTTTAAATAGTTGAACAGGACTGTTTCAAATAATATGAGTGTTCTGAAGACATAAGATAGAATACTGAGATAAGAATTGTGCCTTTATCTTTATACAAAGGCAACAATGACTAAATGCAGCTTAATGAAGCATGAAGGGAACTAATTCTGCCTTCTCCATGCAACAGTGTACCTACCGTTTATTCTCCTTCCCCTAATCACATTTTCTGGTTTGGTGGCCACATCATGTACACTTTCTGTTATTTTCCTAAAATGTATCAATATGTTTAATTTGGAGAGATTCCGAACCAAACATGTGGGGGAAGAACAGCAGGGTGAGCTTTGGGGTCCAGGCCGAACCTTCCTCTTCAGAGAACCAGGTTATCCAGTGGCTGACCTATGAACTGTGCAGAGTCAGTACTTAGTAAAAATTCCTTTTCTCAGCATCAAGAGAACCAGGAAAAATAGAATATTCTCCTCTTGGATATTTCCATAGCTCTTGACCGACCTTGCACCAAGCACAGACGAGGTTTTGAAATATGTCAGAAGTTTAAATTCAGTTATCTTTATCAACTCCTTGCCCACATCAGCTTAAGCCCAACATGTCCCAGGAATAACTGGAAGGTTGTTATGTATAAAGTTAAAAGGAATATTGAAAGCAGAAATATGATTTACAGAAAAGGGAATCTTTTCTACAATATTCAGTTTCTTTTCTAATGAATGAAAGAACAGAGAAATTCAACCTTTAATTCTAGCTTGAGCATCCACATTGATGAGCTACTAATCTCACTGTGCCTCAGGCTTCCTGTTTGTAAATAAAGAGATGCCTGATTGTTTTCAGGCTTTAAAGTAATTTCATGCTTATGTACATTCACATATATAAAATATATAACACAGTGTTTGGCACATAGTATACACTAAATAAATTTTTTTTCTTCTCTGTAAGGAGTTCTGGCTTTAATTTCAAACAAGTCACAAACTGAAACCATAAAGATGAAAATAAAGAATATAAAATTTGAAAATGTGTAAATTACTGAAAGCCCAAGAAACATTAATTGTCAGTGATGGTTCTCATTCAACTAGCAGCATATGTTGCTATTACAAGGATGTTTGTCATGAGCTCCTGAGAGGTCTATTAACAATAAAATCCTATTATTCCAGATGTTTCACATCCATGTAATACACCCACAATAATTAATTTCATATGGGCTAAATTCATAAATCTAGAAAACTGTAAAGATAATGTTATTCACCACAGAAGGCATCTTATATCCTATTTATAATCGGACTGAAATGCTAAAAAGTGCCATTAATTACAGGGAAACCCACTACCATTTTTCTTTATCTCTAGAATGAACTTTGAATTTGAAAATACTCCATTACCATTATAAAGGCAGCATATGAGCAAACAAAGAGAAGAAGAAAGTTGCTGCCACATCTGCTGCTGCAGCTAAGGCCACTCCTTCTAGTGGCGTTATGGCTCGGGATTGCTGCTGCCACCCCTGGCTGGCCTTAGCTGGGCCCTGCTTTATGCCAGAGCTGTGCTAGGTGCGTTGTGTGTATCATGACTTTTCTTCGCAATATCCTCATTAGATAGTCTTCCCTTTATGAAGGTAGAGGCTCAAAGAAGTGAAATAACCGATCCAAGATCACAACTCTTAAATGATAAAGCTAGGATTTGAACTCAGATCTCTAGCACCAACATCTGACCTCTCCCCATATCACTAAGCTGCCTCTTTAAGGTAATAAAAAAAAAAGCTTTCATTTATTGTGTATCTGATCCAGCCTGCCAGATAGCCTTAGAAAAAAAAAAAAAAAAAAACCAGAAAGGGGACTCTCCAATATAGAGTCCCAAGGTCAACTACTGCAACTGCCACTCAGCGTCAGAATACCCTTCACAGAGGCTTGACAAATAACCAAATGGTCACCCAGCATTCATTAAACGCTGTACCTCTTGAAGGCTGAGATTCACCTTCTTTTATATTCTAGCACCTGTTGTTCACTCTGGTATGTAGAGTTAATGTTAATTTTTTTTATTTTTTTTTTAAGATTCCAACTTTTTTATTTTTTCCTCTTTTACACAAAACAAAGTATAAGAAATAATAAAGGATTAAAACTGCAAAAGTAGTTAATTATGTAGAACATGTATACACAAAAAATGTGTATACGTGTAGTAGAACATGTATACAAAAAAAATCCAGATAGGAAGACAGGCTTATTTACAATAAAAGTAAGGTAAAATTAAGGTAGTTTTCTTATGAAATATTTTTTTAAAAATCAAACATATGCTACAATAGGCACCACTGTTTACAGCAATATTAAAAAGGAGAAAACAACACTTATTTAATAGGCACAGCTATACCACAAGGTACAATATCGGTGCAATAAATTCACAAAACTATATTACAGCCAGTTAATCAGTTTAAGAATTGTTCCCAAGTTAGTCACATTTGTGCCTCTCATTCCTACAGATTTCATTCCTACAGATTTCAACTACTCTAAATTTCTAGCTACTGAGAAGTTAAGAATGATTATAAGAACCTTTCCAAGGAGTTACAAAATCTTTGTAGACCAGAGGTCAACTATCATCACTTCAAGTCTGCTCTCACCAACAGTCCTTGTATTTTTCAGGGAGAAACCTCTAGGAAAAAGTCAGACACCAGTGTAGTCACTATCTCCCATGCCAAACCCAGGGGACTAAAATGCCCAGTATTACCATAAAATGAGAATTCTGAAGTTTACCTTAAAAGGCTTATTCCGGTCTCAAAAATTAGTCAGATAAGATTATCTTCTGAAATGAATCTTGCCTAAACATAGAAGACTGCTGTCCTTTACCGCTGGTCTTAAAGTCATAGACATGAGTCTTAGCCTACTGTATACTATAGCTAAAGTCGGCTGAAAATCTGAAATTAAAAGTATGTTAGAAATCCTAAATGCAATCTTTTGGAGGTCTGCTATTAAAAAGCCTTTAAGGATTTACTAACTTCCAGTCTAAGTGCAAAGGGACAAGAGCTTAAGCCTGCCAGACATTCCTTTTTTTGGACAAAAAGATCAAAGTTTCCTACAAATTGCTAAGCTTTCACAAGGGAGAAACCTACAAATGCTTTTATTCCATGGGGACTCTTCTCCCACGGGAAAGAAACAGAATGAGGACTGAATCTTAATTGGTCTCTTCATCAGAAATGGTAAACTTGGTATCTATATTTACAAAGTCAGACAGCTTTTTTTTGTTTTGTTTTCTTTTTTGAGATGGAGTCTTGCCCTCTCGCCCAGGCTGGAGTGCAGCGGCGCGATCTCGGCTCACTGCAAGCTCCGCCTCTTGGGTTCACGCCATTCTCCCGCCTCAACCTCCCGAGTAGCTGGGACTACAGGCGCCCGCCACTGCGTCCGGCTAATTTTTTGTATTTTTACTAGAGACGGGATTTCACCGTGTTAGCTAGGATGGTCTCTATCTCCTGACCTCGTGATCCACCTGCCTGGGCCTCCCAAAGTGCTGGGAATACAGGCGTGAGCCACCGCGCCCGGCCAGTCAGACAGGTTTTTAAGCAGACTGTAGAAGCAGACGGTAGAACCAGCTTCCTGTAGCCACAGACACCTACCTTGCATCTAGCTAAAGACGAACTTGAGCAATTATCCAGAGTCACTTGAACTGTACTAAAGGGCAAGGTTCACCACTATAAAAAGGAAGTTGTCTAAAAGCAATTCGATTAACCCTGGGTAAGAAAAATCAAAACAAGTCATACACATTAATGAGTTGTCCACGAGGCCAACTGCCAAGAACACACTCAACCATACGCAAGATGAAGACACTATACACAAAGCATTACTTGGCGAGCCTGAATTTCTATTAACTAAGAGCAGAGTGAGGGAGAGCAAACAGCTGCTTCTGTAACATTCTAGTATCCAGATAGTACAGCAGAAACCATTTCCAGGGGCAATGGGTGCTCCATTAATCACACTGAATAAAGCAGATGAATTATTCATTTTTCTATTCTTTTTGTTTGAGAAGTTTGGTTAGCTCCCTTTTGGCCATTCCAATGTACTTTGAAATGATTCCATGTTGGCTTAGTCCAGGAAGCAATAGTAAGGAAGTCACTATCAGGCAGGTGAGAAGCAGGTTGTGGACCTGCTGTCCCACCTAAGCAACCTCAGCAAGGGAAACGATCATGGTCATGAAGAACATCTTAGGTTTTTCTTCCTTTAGTGTGAAGAGGCGTTTCCATCAACCCACAGCTCTGCGTCGAGTTTTTACTAGATTGCTGCAAATTTCATGGAATCTTTGCTGTTGTTCAGTGGTGCATTTATTGGAGCCAAAAATTCTACACCAGAATGGGAACAAGGTAGTCAGCCAAAGGATCTAGATAGTAGATAATCAGAAATATCAAAGAAACCACACCCATGACGGCAGGTGGAAACCAGGCTGTTTCCCATCAGAGGGCTTTATCAGCATCAGCATCACTTCTCCCCATCCTTGCAGCTGTTTCTTCCAGACTTGCAGTCTCTGTAGCCAGCAGGTTGGTGCTGCGATTATCTCCCTCTGCCATCATCTCTGAGATGCCATCTCCATGAGCGCAGGCCGCCTTCCTAGTGAACCCTCCTACTGAGACCCGCACGGCGACCACAGCACCAGAGTCAATGTTCATCGAACGACAATTTATCACATGGCTGAAGAACACACGAATTTGAGCTATAGAAGAATAGTCATTCAGCAGGTGAGATTCCAAGTTTATGATGTTGAGGATTAAATGTAAGTAAATATAATATCTAGAAGAAATTATTTACTGCTTTCAAACTTGAGACTAGAATCCAGTGAAACAGCAATGGTATCACATAAATAATAGCTATTTTAATAATTGACGTTTATTGAGCACCAGCTATGTGTCAATCACTATACCAAGAACTTTGAATTATAAACACAGCTAATCCTCATAACAATTCTATGAGATATGCAGTATTATCTCTGAACTCAGGGAAGGTAAATAAAAAAGGTCATATAGCTAGTAAGCTATAGAGCCAGGATGCAAACAAAGGCTGTCTGGCCCCAGACCCTGCTGGCCACCATCATACTAAACACTCCTTGGGAATTCAAGCTAAGCTAATGGGATACCATGGAATTGTGAGTTTTCTTATCGACTTATAGTTTGCCTATTAAATGTTTTTACACCATGGGAAAATTAGCTAGAAAGCTAAACTGTTTTTGTTTGTTTATTTACCTGCCTATAGAAATCAGGAAAAGTCAGGATGAAAAAGACATGCTCTAACAAGCTGGAGGGGCTAAATGCCAAACTGCTAGAACATGTGACATGTGCTATCACTTTTCATCTTCTCTTGTACTGTGATTGGTGGCAGTGTGATGTAGTGGTTCAGAGCTTTGGCTTTCAAGTCAAATAGAGCCAAGTTCAAGTCCAGCTCTGATGCTTACTAGCTGAGTGACCTGGACAGGCCAAAGACCTTCAAATCCCTCACATATAAAATGTGCCTAGTTAATGTCTATTTACATCAGGGGACACTAGAAAATTTAAACAAGATAACACAGGCAAATTTTTAGTACAATGCATGGAATATATTGAAATGTGCATATAAATATTATTGTTATTAGTTCCTTTTTTTTACAGATGTGAAATAAGAAGGTCTAAGATATCAACTAGATGCTCAATAAAGTTTGTGCGCCTATAATCCCAGCACTTTGGGAGGCCAAGGCGGGCGGATCACCCGAGGTTAGGAGTTTGAGACCTGCCTGACCAAATAGAGAAACCCCGTCTCTACTAAAAAAAAAACAAGATTAGCTGGGTGTAGTGGTACATGCCTGTAACCCCAGCTACTCAGGAGGCTGAGGCAGGAGAAGTGCTTGAACCCAGGAGGCAGAGGTTGCAGTGAGCCAAGATCACACCCTTGCACTCCAGCCTGGACAACAAGAATGAAATGCCACCTAAAAAAAAAAAGAAAAGAAAAGAAAAGAAAAAGTTTCTGGAATAAACAAAGGCACACATAAATAAATAAATAAATAAATAAATAAATAAATAAATAAATAAATGAAAGACACAAGCTCTCCTATGTCTTGTTTCCAAGCAATAGTAGCAAAGAGGGAATTCCTATTCTTCTAGCAGTTTCAGAAAAACAGCCCATTTGTGATGTTACAAAGCATAAGCCATCCCTCCCCCGTGGTCCTATGTTCAGTGCTAGCACTGACCATTTGTATGCTCTGGGTGGGGTTGCCTTCTGCTCCACCTCCAGCCAGAATTAAAGAGTGTCACAAGTAGCAGGAATCTATTCCTCCAAACTTCGTGTGATATAACAGAAAGTCAACTGAATAAAATAAAGTAAGCAAATAATCAACGAGCCCATATTGTTCTTTCAGGTTGATAACATTTTGCCAAAACATGGCTTCTAGTAGCTATCATTATTAAGACTTTCACTTATATGACTTTACACATACTGGTAAGGCTTTTCGTGTGTATTACACGACGTGATTTTCACTATCATCCTGTTGGTTGAGTTGCTGGGATGTCAGCATCTCTCTTTTGTGATGTGGAAACTAGGGCTTGAATCATTTGCATGAATTGATCCAAATCCCATAACCATAAGGCCAGAGAAAGAATTTTGTCAAATCTTGTTTCTCACTTAAAACTCTGCCACGGTGTCTTACTGCTCTCAGAGTGAAATCCGATCTCCTTTCCATGAATACCTGTATGGCCTGGCTCCTGCAAACTTGTCTAATCTCATTTCAGGCAGTTTTTTTCTTTCTTTCTTTCCTTTTTTTTTTTTTTTTTTTGAGACCCAGTCTCACTCTGTCACCCAGGCTAGAGTGCAATGGCACCATCTTGGCTCATTGCAACCTCCACCTCCTGGGTTCAAGCGATTCTCGTCCCTCAGCCTCCCAAGTAGTTGGGATTACAGTCATGTGACACTGTGACCAGCTAATTTTTGTATTTTTAGTAGAGATGGGGTTTCACCATGTTGGCCAGGCTGGTCTCAAACTCCTCACCTCAAGTGATCCACCTGCCTCGGCCTCCCAAAGTGCTGGGATTACAGGTATGAGCTACCATGCTCTGCCCTCTGTCTCTTACTCATTATGTTCCCACAACATGGCCTTTCCATTAAAGGAAGGCTCTCAGCTCTTTCCTGCATCAGGCCCTGCACATGGTCTAAGGACACAGAGGCGTCCAGTCAGCAGAGCACTGGGCAGAACACAGCTGGGAGGTACATCTGCAGGTAGTGGGGCACAGGCTCCATGCCTATCGGGAGACTTCTGCTCCAGAATTCCATGAGGCTTCTTTAGATTCAAAACTTGGTGACATTGGGGAATACTAAGCTGATCATCATCTAAGAAGTAACCACGGAACAATAAAATTTGATGATGATTTTATTTGATAATTATGATGCAAATATTTAGGGAGGGCAACTAACATTATTTAGCACTTGCTACGTGATACCTTCTTAACTTTATATAAGGAATATCATAGAGGAAAATAGATTTGATGCAACAAAAATAATTCATCCAAGGATACACAGTTTTTAAGTGCAAGTTGGTATTGAAACCTAAGTTTATTTGGTTCTACTACACATGACATTTCCCCTCTCAAAGGATGACTTTATACAATGTCAAAAGAATTACTCAACTAGGGCTGTTTTAATTTCCATACAAAGGACAAGATTGGTTCAAGATACAGGAATAGTGCCAATTTCAAAAGGAGAGTCAGCAGGCTCTGTGTCTGGAGAACAAAGCTGAGAGGACTGGAAGCTAGAGAGGCCCTGTCAGGAAATTATTTTAGAGAATACATTACTTGTAAGATAAAATCATGGGAAAATGGTGTTTGAGTCCAATTGCATAACTCTACTGGTTCTAACTTATTATACATTAACAAGAGACATTTAATAAAAGCTTTACCTCTCTTTAATTCAACTGTTTCAATCATTGAAAACAAACAGCACAATTAAATTACATCTTAAAGACTTGTCATCCCAAGATAATTCATGATGGATTTTCAAAGGTTTTATGCTAAGAGAATCTTCCCAAGAAATGTATATGGATAAACTATTCTGAAAAACAATGTGGAATAGATAATGTCTGGGCTTCAGAATCAAGAGGTCTGGTAAAGACTCATCTCATACACTTGCTAAGTAATCATAGTACATTTCACAATCTAATTTTTATTGTACCAACTGGCAAACTGGCAAATGGGTGAAATCTTAATATATATTTACAGGGCTACTGTTAAATACATTTAAATATTTTATATCAAAATGCTGAAATTTGGCCTGCTTATGCATATTATAAAATGAATAAATGAATGATTGAGCCTATGAGTACTTTGAGATTATTTAAAAGAATCTTACCAATGTATACTTATTGGTGGTGGTATTATTATTATTATTATTATTATTATTATTATTATTATTATTTGCTGGAGTGCAGTGGTGTGATCTCAGCTCACTGCAACCTCTGGCTCCCAGGTTCAAGTGATTTTCCTGCCTCAGGCTCCCGAGTGGCTGGGACTACAGTCGTGCACCACCATGCCTGGCTATTTTTTGTATTGTTAGTAGAGACAGTGTTTTGCCATGTTGGCTAGGCTGGTCTCAAACTTCTGACGTCAGGTAATCCGCCTGCCCCGGACTCCAAAAGTGCTGGGATTACAAGCATGAGTCACTGAGTCCTGCAGTGTTTTTACTTCAGAACTAATTAATTTATTACTCACATTAATTCTAATTGTACTTCAATTCGCTAGAGCATAGGATCACTATTTTTCAGTGCTAATTGTCTTTTAAAATTACTAGGAAACAACAACATAATAATAAACCTATGCTCACAAAATCTGTCACCTGTGCTTATTTCATCTCTTTTAGTAGACTCTAGTATGGTTAAAATCACCAAACCTTTTATTTTATACTTTTATCATACCAAACAAATTCTCTTTTGCCTCATTTTTTTTTTCTTTTGGAACCAACTCAAGTTTCTATTATCTTCATGATGTCTTTGGAAATGTAAAACTTTATTCATATGCTAACTGATTTTTAAGATATCATAAAATTGCATTTCTCACTTATGCCCACATCAAATGAGATATTTTGCTTGATTGACTCAATTTTTTTAATGGCGTTTTGAGTTGAAAAGCAGTCAAAGACTGAACGTGATTTTCTCAGTGTGACTCAGTTTCCCAAACTGAATCTGCTGATACCCAGTAACAACAAAGTCTTATGCTGTAGAGTAAATATCTATAATGTGAGTGTGTTGTGGGTTTGTTTGTGAATGGGATCACAAGAATCTAGAATATGAGCCAATGTTTCCCATCTCTTGCACACAGAACAGACATTGCTGGTCAATTGCCAATATTCCCCTAAACCTACTTTTCAACTTCTTGACACAAAACTTGGATTATAAATTGCTCATCACTACCTTATGAAATAAAACGTATCTTGATCTACTCACACAGGCTCATAGATAAATAGTTTATACTAGAGGAAAAGAGAAAGAATTATAAGTGGATGATGCAATTATTCTGGAACTACTGGATACCTAGATTGATGATAAGAGAATTAGCCAATGTTACTGACATAAAAGCCCATTATTATTTAAACAGAGAGCTTAATTTTGTATGATGACCTGGTGGTAGTTTTAGAATGAATGCCTAGAACCCTTGCCTTCCAGGCAGCCCATCTTAAACTATGTCCACATGAACACACATACCTTGAATATATATTATGAAAAAAAAAATGGTGCTATTGAGAGGTGACAACGTGCTAGCAGCCCTTGCTCGCTCTAGGCATCTCCTCAGCCTCTGCGCCCACTCTGGCCATGCTTGAGGAGCCCTTCAGCCCGCCACTGCACTGTGGGAGCCCCTCTCTGGGCTGGCCGAGGCTGGAGCCAGCTCCCTGTGCTTGCGGGGAGGTGTAGACCGGAAGGCACAGGTGGGAACCGGGTCTGCTCGCAGCGCTCGCAGGCCAGTGCAAGTTCCAGGTGGGCATGGGCTTGGCAGGCCCCACACTTGGAGTGGTCAGCCAGCACCAGCCCTGGGCAGTGAGGGGCTTAGCACCTGGGCCAGCAGCTGCGGAGGGTGCCCTGGATCCCCCAGCACTGCCAGCCCACGCGCACTGTGCTGGAATTCTTGCCGGGCCTCAGCTGCCTCCCTGCAGGGCAGGGCTGAGGACCTGCAGCCCGCCATGCCCAAGCCCCACCCCCGCTCTTGTGCAGCCTGAGCTTCCCCAATGGGCATTGCCCCCTGCTCCACAGCACCAGGTCCCATTGACCGCCCAAGGGCTGAGGGGTGCTGGTGTGCGGTGCGGGACTGGTGGGCAGCTCCATCTGCGGCCCCCGCCACGGGATCCACTTGGCAAAGCCAGCTGGGCTCCGGAGTCTAGTGGGGACTTGGAGAACTTTTATGTCTAGCTGGAGGATTGTATATGCACCAATCAGCACTCTGTGTCTAGCTAATCTGGTAGGGACTTGGAGAACTTTCATGTCTAGCTGTAGTATTGTAATGCACCAATCCACACTTTGTGTCTAACTCAAAGTTTGTAAATGCACCAATCAGCACTCTGTTTCTAGCTAAAGGATTGTAAATGCACCAATCAGCACTCTGTGTCTAGCTTAAGGTTTGTAAACACACCAATCAGCACCGTGTCAAAATGGACCAATCAGCTCTCTGTAAAATGGACCAATCAGCTCTTCATAAAATGGACCAATCAGCTCTCTGTAAAATGGACTAATCAGCAGGATGTGGGTGGAGTCAGATAAAGGAATAAAAGCAGGCTGCCCCAGCCAGCAGCGCAGGTTGCCTTCCCACTGTGGGAGCTTTGTTCTTTCGCTTCTTGCAATAAATCTTGCTGCTGCTCACTCTTTAGGTCCACGCAGCGTTTAAGAGCTGTAACACTCACCACGAAAGTCTGCAACTTCACTCCTGAAACTGGTGAGACCACGGACCCACTGGAAGGGATGAGCAACTCCAGAGACACCGTCTTTAAGAGCTGTAACACTCACTGCGAATGTCTGCAACTTCACTCTTGAAGTCAGCGAGACCACGAACCCACCAGAAGGAAGAAACTCCAGACACATCTGAACATTTGAAGGAACAAACCCTGGACACACCATCTTTAAGAACTGTAACGCTCACTGTGAGGGTCTGTGGTTTCATTTTGAAGTCACCAAGACCAAGAACCCACCAATTCTGGACACACTATGATTATGGGGATTGTTCTACTGAGACCTTTCTTTTGAAATCTTAATTGGCTCTGGGTATTAATCAGTACATTCTATACAATAAAATACTTTCTCTTACCCTGTGATATACTGGAAAAAAGTCTTAATACTCACGTAAAGCTAATAGTGTTCATTTTTTCACTAGATGCCATTCCAGGGATGCCTTGAACTCCAGAATTACCTGAATGTAAGATTTTCATATCAATTAGCTATGGCCAATTTAATATTCATCTCTGTATTAGAAGATGCTGTATGGAGGGGACAGTAGCATCCCAAACCTAGTTGAGAAAGAAGATGAAAAAAATGTGCAATAAAAACTTAGGGAAACTTAGAAATACGGATGACATACTTTCCATTTAATGACCTGGATAGCTCCTGTTCTCAATTTTTTTTTTTTTTTTCACTTTCTGAGGCCATTTGACTATGCCCAGAATCTGGAACAATCCTTCACAGTATAGATCATGTTTGCAAAGAGTTAGTTGGGGTAGGACAGTTAAAATTCACATCCAAATATTATTAAATCTTATTTGATGGATATCTTAATAAAAGGCTGAGATCATAACTGGCTCTATCCTGTCTGAAAACACTATCCAATGCCCCAATTTTCCCAAGATTGGTACTAAATCAGACCTTCTGTGACTTAATTCCTGCTGTGATGTTATGCCCTAGTTTTGATAATTGCATACTTCTTCCTAGTTTCTGTTCATTCACTTAATTATTTGTTGAATACCTAATGTATTTCCAGAATAATTATTAGATATTTTGATACAGAGATAAATAAAAATAGCCATGGTGCTTGTGACCTAGTTGGGAGAAACCTATATTTACACTTTATGTTTAAATAGAGTACTGTTGGAGCACAGAGAAGGAGCCAGTTAAGGCTGGCTCAAGGAGTCAGGAATGGTTTCTCAAGCAAGAGAAACCTGAGTTATGTCTTGAAATGAGAAGCCATGGTTTGATGTGCTTAGAAAGATAAGAGAGGAGGCCGGGCGTGGTGGTGCATGCCTGCAATCCCAGCACTTTGGGAGGCTGAGGGGGATGGATCACAAGGTCAGGAGAGTGAGACCATCCTGACCAACATGGTGAAACTCTGTCCCTACCAAAATCCAAAAAAATTAGCTGGGCGTGGTGGCGGGTGTCTGTAGTCCCAGCTATTTTGGAGGCTGAAGCAGGAAAATCATTTGAACTTGGGAGGCAGAGGTTTCAGTGAACTGAGATCTCGCCACTGTATTCCAGCCTGGCAACAGAGCGAGACTCCATCTCAAAAAAAAAAAAAAAAGAAAAGAAAGAAAGGTAAGAGAGGAAATGGCATGTGTGTAAGCATTGGAAAGCAAAAGTTAGTCTGGAGTGCATGTTGTTTATGATTGCTGGGGCCGGATTGTGGCCTGGTAATGACAAGCAATCTGTCTCTAGAGATAGGCTGGGGCCAGATTGTGAAGGGTCTTTAATGACATGTCGGAGTTCAGTGTTAGAACTGAAGGTTGGTAATACCAAGCAAGCAGTATATCGGAATTACCTTGGGAAATGTGTGAAATGTGTTCAAATACAGATTCCTGATCTCACCACAGACACTGAGTTAGTATTTCTGGGGATGCACCCAGAAACACTATTTTTAAGGAGCTCCCCGGTGATACTATTCTGCAGCTGGGTTTTGGAACCACTTGGGGAGGCAATGTTGTATCCATAACCTAGCTCTGTAAAGGTTGAGGTCTTGGCTTGCTGTCAGGATTCCCTCCAGAGAATGATGTTCTCTTCTCGGAAGTCATCATTCCCCCCAGAGAATGATGTTCTGCTTCTGAACACCAGCCCTAAAGGCACTAAAGTGCTGTCTATCCAAATTGCCCTCCAAGGTCACACAGGTATTTAGAAAACAAGTGGAAAGCAGAATCCAGCACTCCTGGAAGCCAGTCTGTATTTTTCTCTTTTCCTTTTCCTTGTGTAGATGGTGTGAGCAACATATAGTTTGCCAGAGAGGACACTAAACAGATCATTTTAATGTGTATAGGCAATTTATTGCCCCAGAGATAAGATGGATCCAGAGACAAGATGGATCTGTCAGTAACAGACATCCTAGAACATGAAACATTCATTCCTTCCTAATATGTTTCTTTTTGTAATCTCATTGTTTATCTCAGCAGTTTTTCCACTGAGAGCTGAAAGTCCCTTGAGAGCACAAATGTTACATTTATTATTTTTGTATATCAGTTTTCAACACATAACCAAACACCTAGTATATACTGAGAAAATAATTATTGATTTAATGAATGAAACAGTTCCAATAATTGTAGTCATTTATTAATGCTGCTAATAGTTTGTTTTCTGTCACTTGCCTGCCTACCCTATCCCCACTTGGCTTGTGAGATCCTCAAGGGAAGGAGCTAGTTTCCAGCCCAGAGTCTGGGTTGGAGTAGGCACATGGTAGATGCATGTTAAACAAATCAATAACATAATGCGAAGAGTCCTTTCATCTTTGTTTAAATTAGAAGTCAAATTAAGCCAGGGATTCTTCCTTGTTCAATTCTTCCCTCCTTGCCTAGAGAGACTGTGTGCAGAAACACGGTTTAAACACCAGAAGACTGACTTTTTCTTCTCAACCTTTCCTCTAATTGAGAAGTTGAAGTTTTTATAAGCTGTGCTTGCCCTATGGGAATCCTGAAAAGGTCTAGATGGAGTGCCAAGTGAATAGGTAGGTGTCTTCCTTGAGAGATGTGTGGAACAAGAAGAGGTAGGGAGTGACGCAGAAGTCATGATGAACATAGACTTTTCCTGGGCTAAAGCGGGCATTCATCTCCAGCATCTTCAGTATAGATTATTTTAAATAACATTGACAGCCTCAGCCATCTGGGAATAATTTGGTCATGCCTTACTTCTCTGACCTTTTTAAGCTCCAGGTACTCCTTTGACTGTAACTGTCAAATTTTGACAGCTTGACTCAGGGTGAGCAAATGGCTCCTCTCAAAGAATGTAACAGCATCCATTTGACAACAGCCTCATCTATTCACATGCACTACCCCAGCTTCAGAGGCCTTTATTCTTACAGATGTGCAGAGACTCTATGAGTGGTATTAGGGTTGTTGGATGGTGTCTCAGTCAGCTCAGGCTGCTGTAACAAAATACCAAAGACTGAGTGGCTTAAACAGTAGATATTTACTTCTCATAGTTCTGGAGGCTGGACGCTCAAGATCAAGGTGCCATAACCTTGGTTATTGGTGAGGGCCCTCTTTCTGGCTTGCTGTACCCTCACATAGTGGACAGGACACGACAGAGAGCTCTCGTCTTTCCTCCCCCTTATAAAAAACTAATCCTGTCTTGGAACCCCATTCTCATAATCTCATCTAAACCTAATTATGTTCCCAGAGCCTCACCTCCAAATACCATCACACTGGGGGGTTAGGGTTTCAACATATAAAGTGGGGGATTGAATGACATCAGTACTGAACAGATGGAATTGAGAAGGAGGAGAAAATAAAGAATAGCTAGGGAGATCTAGTTAAAAGAATATAAGTGTATGGGATATCTTTGTCCAAAGTACAGAATTATATTCATATTAAGGTGTATGTCTTTGGTATATTTCTAACATCAAACATTATTTGCCTGAGAAATGCTACTTATCTATTCATTCATTCACACATCCATGAAATATTTATTCAGTAGCTTTTAGATGCTACAATGAAAAAGACAACAAACCATATCTCTAAAATGTTGACTATTATATTCTAAGTTAGGGGCCCCAAGCCCCCTGTTAGAAACCAGGCAGGCCAGCCCGAAGTGAGTGGTAGGCAAGTGAGCATTACCACCTGAGTTCTGCCTGCTGTCAGATCAACAGCAGCATTAGATTCTCATAGGAGCATGAACCCTATTGTGAACTGAGCATGCGAGGGATCTAGGTTGTGTGCTCCTTATGAGAATCTTATGCCTGATCATCTGAAATGGAACAGTTTCATCCCAAAACCATCTCCACTCCAGTCCACAGAAAAATTGTCTTCCACAAACCTGGTTCCTGGTGCCAAAAAGTTTGGGGACCGCTGATCTAAATGACAGGTGATTGTTGCAAGGACCAACCAACCAGGTAGTAACTAAGATTGTATGGAACAGCATAGGAGGACACTCAGATAATGAAATGCTTCAAGATGTAGCAAGAGCCATGGCTGGGGTCAGTACTCAGAGAATCTTCATAGATGAAATGACCCCTCTGCTAAAACATGAAGAACAGGTGCAACTTTCACAGCTGGACAATTTTTTTTTTTTTTTTTTGAGATGGAGTCTCACTCTGTCACCCAGGCTGGAGTGCAGTGGCGTGATCTCAGCTCACTGCAATCTCTGCTTCCCGGGTTCAAGCGATTCTCTGTCTCAGCCTCCCGAGTAGCTGGGATTACAGGTGCCTGCCACCATGCCCAGCTAATTTTTGTATTTTTAGTAGAGACGGGGTTTCACCATCTTGGCCAGGCTGGTCTAGAACTCCTGACTTCATGATCCACCTGCCTCAGCCTCCCAAAGTGCTGGGATTACAGGCATGAGCCACCGCACCTGGCCCACAAATATTTTATGAATCATTATATATGAAAGTCTAGAGATTTGGGAGCCCATAGTCTTCCTTGAATTGAAAATAGCTCAGTATTGCTACCGCAATGAGTGGTAGAATATGTATATGACAGGGAGGCATGGAAAGAAGATAGGATAGAAAGGATGGAGAAAGGGGAGTTAGTACTAGAGCCAGAACACGAAGGGACCTTCATATAGTATGGAGTATGGACTTTAGCTTGAGAGCACTTGGGCTCTATTGAATGATTTTAGTCAACTGAGTGATGTGATCATGTTTGAGCTTTATAGGCATTCTGATAGCACTGTGGAGGGTGGATGACAAATAGGAGGTCTAGAGATAAGTTTCATTGGCCCAAATGAGAAACAGTGGCTTGAATGGCATTGGTTCAGAGTGATGGGCAGAACTGGTGCACTTGACTTATATTCAGGCAGTAGAATCCATAGGACTGAATGATTGGTGTTAGAAGGCAAATGAAAGAAATCTAGGATGCTTCTGAGAATAACAGCTTCTTTTGTACTCAGGAAATTTGTTGAATCAGCACGGAAAGTCTCCCATTCACTTCTAGGTAAGGCCTTCATGTACCGTAGGTAGGGATCAATAGCTAGTGTCCAAACCACACTTCAAGTATACCTACATCTTGATTTTTGAAATTGTTTTACATATCAAGATGAGGGGTACAAAAAGATGTCAATTTTACAATTATTTTACTGACTTTAAAAACTACCCCCCAAAATAATTATTTCTTCTAGTATTATTCAGGAATTAATAATATTAAAGAGAGTTATTTAAACGAAGGGAACAAAACTTATTCTTGCAAACATCATTATCCTGAATGAACTGGTGAGAAGTCTATCACTCCTTCAAGAAGATAAACTTTTTAAGAATCTATTCTTTTTGGGATGTGTTTTGTCTTAAAAGAGCTCTACATACCTAGAATACATCTCAGAAACACCAAAGGGGGATAAAAAACACAATTTGCAGACTCCATAGTTTTACCAAGTTTTTGTTTTATTTTGTTTTGCATAGAAACAACCAATGTAAATGTTAAACTTATTTTGGTTAAAACCAAGGAGTTTTTTTTTTTTTTTTAAGGTCTGAAATAGCCTTACAACACTGTGAATTCAATCCTGACTCTTATCACATGTGATTTTGCACAATGTCACTTTCATTGTGGGATGCTCTTCCTTCTCTGAAACATGAGTATTACACATTGTACTGGGCATTGAATAAAACAAAATACATGAAGATACTTTAAACTACAATCAAAATGTATAGTGTTCCTATTTTCCATTGTGAATAGAGGTCAGAATTGGAACATTTGAAAAGCAATGAAAATGAGCAAAAATTTATCTGTGGACACGGAGGAATAGATAAGAAGCCACAGTATTTCTTTTCTCTTCCAGGTTAGGAAGGCTGCCCATTGCCTCCATGGTCCTGAGCACATCAAGGTCATCTGCTTGGGAAGAGCAGTGGTATAAAATTTTAGAAAGCATCTGTTTTGGTGCAGAGTATTTCACTGTAAAAAGCAGCATGAGCTATTTTAAGAAAACCTTTCTTGAATGTGTTTAAAGTCTCCTAAATTTCCTGCATATAAATGTTGAATACCTCCAACATGTCAATCAATCTTGTTTTCCAGTTAACTTAGAATAAAACGATAATGAACATGCATTTAGCCAGAGCCTTTCAGAGAGTGAGATGATTAGATTTGGAAAAGATCTATTAGGATATCCAATTTCATCTCTGCCCAGAGAGAACTATTCCTCCTGAGAGTTCCCTATTACTGTGTTCTGACTTGTTTTAAAAGTCTCAAGGGAAGAAATATTTACTACATTCTTGGGTTATTTAATTATAGGCTTAAGGGGGAAGTAACACCAGTCTAAGAATCAGGAAACATGGATTTGATTCTTGATTTTGTCGTTTATTTGTGTGTGACTTTTACCCAGACACTTGTCTCTCTAAGTCTTCATGTACAAAATGGTGTCAAGGCTCTGAGTGTGTGAACATTCCAATCTATATCACAGGGTTGTGATAAAATCAAGAGAGAAAATACATGTAAAAGGACAGATACAGAGCTTGGAACGTTAGAGTCACCTGATAAATATGATTTCTCCCTTTGGCAATTTCGTCTACTAACCATTCCCACACCTATTCCTCCCATATCCCCTCCTCCCTCCTACACTTTTCCTGAGTTAAGTATACTTTCTGAATTTGGTGAAGGATCTTGTTGCTTTTCTTCTTTCTAGTTTCCACGTATTTTCTAGGGCTGCGGTAACAAAGTACCACAAACTGGGTGGCTTAAAACAAGAGCTATTCAATCCATCACAGTTCTGAAGGCTGGAAGTCTGAAATTAAGGTTTCAGTAGGGCAGTGCTCCTTCTGAAGGCTCTAGTGGGAAATCTGCCCTTGGCACTTCCTAGCTTCTGATGGCTCTCAGAAATCTTTTGCATCCCTTGTCTTGTGTCTTGTTCCCTCCCATCTCCAGCTCCATCTTCACATGGCCTTCTTCCGTGTGTGTGTGTGTGTGTGTGTGTGTGTGTGTGTGTGTATGTGTGTGTGTGTGTGTGTCTCCATGTGTTCTCCCCTCTCCTTACAAGGACACTAGTCAATAGACTTCATCCTCATCCAAAACCGGTATGACCTCATCTTACCTAATTACATCTGCAAACATCCTATTTTCAAATAAGGCCCTGTTATGACATTCTGGGTGGACATGAGCTTCGGGAGCAACACCATCTATCCTGTGTATCCTCAGCAGAACTCCCAATATCCTTGTCCACTGTAAGATGTAAAGCAGACTCTGAAAAGACCTACCTCTGCTGCTGCGGATATGATCAATAATCAAACTTCCTCCTTTTTCTCAACTTGCATTGTTTTCCCAAATATTTTTGCATTAGTTTCATCAGTGAAAAAAAAAATTACCACTCTGCCCCAGCTGTCTTTATGTTTCTCTGAAGATTCTGAAGACCCTGCACGCTTGGAGAGAGAAGAAAGGAAAGACGAGAGATTTCAAAGATAGAGGGAAGGCTCTGAATGTGTGAACATTCCAAATATGTTAAATTCCTCTATGCCATTTAAAACCTTTGGAATGCAAAGAGGGGAAAAGTCTCTGTTCCGTCCTGTGGTTCTGCTGAGTGACCTAAGCCCCTCATGTAACATCTCTCAAGATTCCCATCCCTTTCTTATATGTAAACTGGGGGAAAAATATAGCTAGCATCGTGCCTGTCACTCATGGTTTTTGATAGGGCAGCATCACATGGCAAGATAATTTTAAAAGTTTAAGTGATACATATGTTTGAATTATTGAGAAGAGTATTATTGTTCCCCTGCTAGATTATAAATGACTTGGGAATTAGTATCCTTTCTTTCTCATGCTTGTTCTTCCTCCTTTACTCCTTTTTCCCTTTCCCCAGAGCAACCTATTAATGCCAATATTAAAGGTTTACCTATTTGGGGAATTCGACTTATGTAAAGTTAAATTAAATTCCTACTGACCCAAATTTTGTACTTTAACTCTGTCAATACATATGTATAGAAATATTTTTCTACAAGTTTTAGAATTTGTTCTCATTCTTTTTTTAAAAAATTCTTTTTTTATGTGCCAAATGTCCTTTTACCCTTTTTCAACATGAATAGCCAAAATCATCATTTATTTGCAATGAAAACTGCCCTAAATAAATTGCTTTCTGTGAGTTTCTTATGAAACAACTATGAGAAATAACTATTGTATATAAAGCTCTTGTTTTGTAAAGATAGATAAATATAAAATACCCCACTGATCCCAAAGAAAAGTTGCATTTTTTCTTTTTTCTTTTTTGCTTTTTTTTTTGAGACAGAGTCTTGCTGTTGTTGACCCAGGCTGGAAGGCAATGGTGCAATCTCAGCTCACTGCAACCTCCACCTCCAAGGTGGAGCAAGCCTCCTGCCTCAGCCTCCAAAGTAACTGAGATTACAGGCACCCGACAGGGTTTCACCATGTTGGCCAGGCTGGTCTTGAACTCCTGACCTCAGGCATCCACATGCCTCAGCCTCCCAAAGTGCTGTGATTACAGGCTTGAGCTACCCCGCTCGGCCGTTAGCATTTCAATCCAGTCATTTGGTGGGATCCACAAGGTCTGAAGTCAGTGCAAATAAAAACACAAAAAGGTAATGTAAAAACCAGAAAAAAGAAAAACACACTGATTTTCTTATTATTTGTTAGCATGAAATATTGTGATAAGCTTAATATTTTCAATAATTCATATGGATCAATACATTCAAGAGCATGTGATTTTATTATTCTCACATAAGTAGTCAAGGTGATATGGTCATTTACTTTAGACAACATGGGGAATCAACCTCATTTTGTCATTGTTTGATTTGACAACATTTGGACTTATCCCCTCTTTTGTTTTTCCTTTTTCTTTGAGTAAACTAAACAATTCATTTATTTGTGATAATCCAAACTTTCTCCCCTGCTGCGTTCGTTCTTTCAACCGTTCATTAAATTTGATATAATCCTGGGCCCCTGCATGGGATAGAGTTCTTTGAAAATTTTCATATACATTGAATTATTTTTTAAATTTGAAACACACATGGACATTTTCCTTCAGGTATACTTTAATAAAGGTTACTAACACTTATCGTTTAAAAAAAATTTGTAGGGGGGTGCTTCATGGGGTTACTGGCATGTAACTCCATCTCTCTACCACTAGTTTTCCAGTCTGTAAATGGGGCTTAATACCGAGTTCATATGGACTTTAGGAGGATTAAAGAGAGGCACTTGGGTACTGCAGAGACAGAAAGATGTCCACTGAAATGCTTTCTTCACTTAATAGTTGTTTGCTGCCGGAAAAGTTCATTCACTTTCCTGAGCCTCAGTTTCCTTATATATAAAGTGAAAATAACAACACACACTTTATAGATGAGAAGATTCAATAGGATGACAAATAATACACTTAAATGTTTTCTGAGAATGAAGAATTATTTAGATACTAGGTAAAGAACAGTGTTTAAAAACATAAATTCAATTTCTTCAATAAGGTATACTTATCTTTGGAGGTGTCTGTTGGTGGGTGTGGAATTGTGTTTCCTCTCTCAACAATTTCTACTACAATGAACATTTTAAATTTCTTGATGCAACTGCTATGATGCTGTCTAAATAAAACTATCTTTAGAAAGAATAGTACTTTTAAAATACATTCGTTAAAGCAAGGAACACAGAAATTTTATCTCAAGGAAATGTTAAATTTGAAACAATATTCTATTATCTCTATGGCCCCTGTTAGTTTCTGTAGCAGGGGGAGGCAACAGAAGAGTAGAACCATAAAAAACAAAAAAGATGAATACACAAAAGACAGTAGAGAAAGCCAGAGTTATAATTTGATATAAAGTCATAAAATGAAAGGAATAAGTTGCTGGTAGTATTAACTCAGCTAATACATACCAGGCTGACTCCTAAGGTTCGTGGCTATTACCGTGTAACTACAGATTAAAACACATTTTACCCAAAACTCATTTCCTGCAGACTCCCTCAAAACATCTATGAAGATCCTATCTATTGAGCGAAACTCTTTCTATCACAGTTGTGAATATATAAGCCCAGAATATTTATGCTTATCATGAACAAATTTGATGTATTAAGTAATCTCAGATCATTCAATTTGTGATCCACACAGAGGTTTGAAAAGTAACAGAGTACAAAATTGCTAAATACATTTCAATTTAGACTAAGTTAAGAGCTTGTAAAAAGAAAAATAATGGCTTAAAAATTATGTAATTAGTGCAGCTCTCCTAAGGAGAGATATAATTATAATAATCATAAATCATTTTTCCCTCATAAGTGTAAATAGAGAACAAAGGGAAACCGACAGACTCTCTTTATCAGTTTTCGTTCTGGTGATAAAAGGTTTTTTGACATGGGATACTGTCACCCATGACTGTCAGTTTGGAGAAAGTGGGGGAAGAAAAAACATCTTGTTTTAATTTCTGAGGGAAAAAATGATTTTTTAGTAATTGTAACTAGTGTTCTTTGATAAGAGTGAACTTTTCAAACTTCTGATCACTCCCAGTCTGCTGTTGAAGATGGGGGAATGAAGAAGAAGAAATGTTTTTGAACTTTTGTGCAGCCCATATTCTAATCCTAAGAATGAACTGTTTTAGGAACAGACTTTGACAAAGTTAGGTTTGATCGATTGACTGATTGATTGATTGATTGATTGGTTGATTGATTTTCCCCTTCTACTGTAGGGATCTGCAAGGAAAAGAAGCCATTAGTATAACTGATCCTACATCATGTTGAGTTGCTTTTTTATTTCATTGTAAAACAAGAAACGTTTTAGAACTTTATTTGGCCTATAAATATGTCTGTGTATAGGCACAGTTACTTGAAGACAGATGCTTCATATTTGGGGAAAATTTTGTCCTTTGGAACCATCTACAAAATTGTCATTTTTGATATTTTTCTTCCAAATATTGTCAGGTTGCTTACATTGATGATACAATTTTTGTTTAGTAGAGGAGCTGCAGATCCAAGCTACAGTTCTGTCAAGCCAAGGAAGAAACTAAACAATGAGATGCCCTGGTTTTAGTGGTAAAGGCGGCTAAGCAAGCAACAGATGGACCACGGACACTGTGCCAGGGACTAGGGTGCCTTGCCTAGGAACCCTGAGGCTCCCCTCCACCATGATTTCACAGAAGCCCCACAGTTTTTCCCTCATGTTGTTTGCACCCGCCCCTACTTCTTTTTTTCAGATAGAAATGGATCCAGCTTTAGGTAATAAACCGTGATGCTATGCTCTAGACAATCTTTCGCTTTTCCTAATACAAGAGACAGATGCTTCTGGTTCTATCTTACTGCATTCCTATTCTTCTTCCTGTTTTGAATATGTGCCCAGCCTTCCTGTAACCATGAACCCAGGGCCAAAAGAAATTCAGAAGCACTGACCATGACATTATTTGAGGACTTACAAAATGCCAAAAGGTGCCAACCTCCTAACTTCATGCTTAATATTTATTTAATTTCATGATAATTGAACACTTGGAGCTGAAGGCTTTCTAAACTGAACATATGAATATTGTATTAGGGAGAAAACAGGGGAAAAGGAAATCAATCGGAGATTTTTTTTTTCCAAGAGACAATTTCTTAGAATTACATGAAATCATTGTTCAACTTACCATATTGAATTAAGTTTAATCTGAATTAGAATTTTCTTAGTTGCTTTTTTTCTTAAATGTTTTTTCTGACAAAATATTTGGTGGAGACTTGTGAAGAAACCAGACCAGACATTCCTTTATTTTTAATTTTTGAGATCCATAATAGTTGTAAATATTTAGGGGTAAATGTGACATTTTGATACAAGTATATAATGTGTAATGATCAAATCTGGGTAATTGGGATATCCATCAGCTCAACCATTTATCATTTCTTTATGCTGGAAACATTCAGATCTATTCTTCAAGTTATTTTGAAATATACAATAAATTATTACTAACTATGGTTACCCTGTTGTGCTACTTAACATTAGATCTTGTTCCTTCTATCTAACCGTATTTTTGTACCCATTAACCAATCCCTCTTTGTCCTCCCTTCCCCATTACCCTTCTCAGCCTCTGGTAGCCACCATTCTATTCACTACCTTCATGAGATCAATTTTTTATTTCCCACATGAGTGAGAGTATGCAACACTTGTCTTTCTGTGCCTGACTTATTTCACTTAAAGTAATGTCCTCTAGTTCCATCCATGTTGTTGCAAATGACAGGATTTCATTCATTTGTATGGCAGAATAGCATTCCATTGTGTATATGTACCACATTTTCTTTTCATTTATCTGTTGATGGACTCTTAGGTTGATTCCATATCTTAACTATTGTGAATAGTGCTGTGATAAACATGGGTGTGCAGATACCTTTTTGGCATGCTGATTTCCTATTTTTTTTCTTTCCTTTGGAGATATATCCAGCAGTGGAATGGATGAATCATATGGTGGTTCTACTGTTACTTTGAGAAATCGCCACACAGTTTTCCATAGTGGCTGTTTTAATTTACAGCCACCAACAGTATATGAGCATTTCCCTTTCTCTGCATCTATACCAGCATTTATTTTCTGTCTTTTTAATAATAGCCATTTAACTGGGGTGAGGTGATATATCATTGTGCTTTATATTTGCATTTCCCTGATGATGATGTTAGAATGTTTTCATATACATGTTTGCCATTTGCATATCTTCTTCTTAAAAATATCTATTCAGATCTTTTGCCCATTCTTTAATTGAATTATTGTTTTATTGCTATTGAGTTGTTTTAGTTCCTTATATATTCTAGTTATTAAGCCCTTGTCAGAAGGATAGTTTGCAAATATTATATCCCATTTTGTGGGTTGTCTCTTCACTTTGTTGATTGTTTCCTTTGCTGTACAGAAGCTATTTAGCTTGATGAAACCCTATTTGTCAATTTTTGCTTTGTTTGCCTGTGCATTTTAGGTATTAATCAAGAAATTTCCTTGCTGAGACTAATGTCCTAAAGCATTTCCCCAGTGTCTTCTACTAGAAGTGTCATAGTTTCAGGTCTTACATTTAAGCCTTTAATCCATTTTGATTTGCTTTTTGTATATGGTGAGAGATAAGGGTCTAGTTTCATTCTACTATATGTGGATATTGAGTTTTCCCAGAACTATTTATTGAAGAGACTGTTCATTTCCCAATACATATTTCTGGTATCTTTGTCCCAGATGAGTTGACTGTAAATGCATGGGTTAATTTCTGGGTTTCCTATTCTGTTCCATTGGTCTATGTGTTAGTTTTTCTGCCAGTACTGTGCTGTTTTGGCTACTATAGCTTCGTAGTATAATTTGAAATCAGGTAGTGAAATGCCTACAGCTCTTCTGTTTGTTTTGTTTTGTTTTGCTAAGGGTTGTTTTGGCTATTCTGGGTCTTTTGTGGTTCCATATAAATTTTAGATTTTTTTTTTGAGAATGTCATTGGCTTTTTGGTAGGGATTGCATTGAATCTGTAGATTGATTTGGGTAGTATGAACATTTTAACAATATTGATTCTTCTAATTTGTGAACATGGAATATCTTTCTATTTTTTGTGTGTCTTCAATTTCTTTCATCATTGGTATATAATTTTGATTATAGATATCTTTCACTTATTTGATTAAATTTATTCCCAGGTATTTTTTTCTTTCATAGCTATTATGAATGGGATTGCTTTCTTGATTTCTTTTCCAGATTGTTCACTATTGGCATGTAGAAATGCTTCTAATTTTTGCATATTGTTTTTATAGCCTGTAAACTTACTGAATTTGTTTATCAATTCTAATAGTTTTTTGATGAATTATTTAGGTTTTTCATAATATAAGATCAATTGTCTATGAACAAGGACAATTTGACCTCTGCATTTCCAATTTGGATGGACTTTATTTCTATCTCTTTTCTTACTGCTCTGGCTAGAACTTCCAGTACTGTATTAAATGAAAGTGGTAAAAGTGAACATCATTGTCATATGATGAAATACCAATGACATTCTTCACAAATTTATTATTGTACAGTTCTGAAGGCCAGGAGTCTGAAATGGTTATTATGGGGTAAAAATAAAGGTGTTGGCTGCATTCCTTCTGAAGCCTCTAGAGAATACATTTCCTAGCCTTTTCCAGCTTCTGGAATTTGCCTGCATTCTTTGGCTCATGGCCACTTCTTCTATCTCCAAAGCCAGCAGTGTAGCACCTTCAAATCTCCTTCTTTTTCTCTGAATCTGGGTCTGTCATTATATCTTCTCCCCTTCCTCTGAGTTTCCTGCCTCCCTATTTTATTCATTTAGACCTTTGTCCTTGTAATCTCCTCTTCTCAGATTTTTAACTTAAGCAGATATGATTTTTTTTTTTTTTTTTTTTTTTTTTTTTTTTTTTTTTTGCCATGGAAAGTAACACATTCACAGGTTCTGGGGATTAGAATGTGGACATCTTTTGGAGCCATTATTCTGTGTACCACAGTATAAATAGCACTTAAAGGTATACATATTTTCGCTACAGTAGAAAGCAGAAGTAGCTTTAGTTGAACAACATACAGGGTTCCACCACATATGTATTATATATTTTCAAGCAATTTAATGGACTTTTTATATCTTAAAGATAAATATTCGTATTTTTATAGGTTTGTCCTAAAGTCTGAAGAATTTTTAATGTAATGAAATCATATTACATGAAGGTTAAGTTCTAAATTCATACATAATGTCAAATCATTGCATAATCAAAATTATTTTTTGAAAGACTGAAATATTCCTGAAAATGTAGTATTTTTATTTTTATTGCATTTTGGCTGCAGTTTCTTCCCCTCTCTCCACCACACACAGTAAGAGCCAAAGCCTGGAAGAATAATAGAATAAATCAAGAAATTCTAACATTTCATGTTTGTTTTATTTGTATGTTTATTGGGTTTTCTGAGCATTTGACATGAATTTGCATAAGTTAAAGATGCCTATAATGGATTCCACTTTTATTTACAGAACCTGGAATTTGAATCCAGCACACTAAATGTGAGTCCTTGTCCTGTCACTGATTATCTGCAAAATCTAGACTATTAAAATATATGTATATATACACACATATACATATAAAGTTTATTGAGAAATAATTTATATTCTATAATATTTACCCATTTTTAACTGAATTCTGCAATTCAATTATCTTTTGATATTAAATACAGTTTTGCCACCATTAACATAATGTAATTTTAAATATTTTTATTAACGTCCAAAATTCTCTCTTGCAATTTGCAGCCACTTCTTTTCTCATTCCCAGTCTCAGGAAATCACTACTTACTTTGAATCATTATAGATTTGATCCTTTTATATAAATGTAGTCTTGTAGTATGTGGTCTTGTATGTCTAGCTTCTATCACTTAGCACAGATATATTTTAGATGCAGTCCTGTTTTAGTGTGTATCACTAATTTCTTTTAATTGAATAGTATTAGATTTTATGATGTAACAGATTTTGTTTAGCTAATTACTAAGAAACTGAAATTTGAGTTGGTTTCAATTTTTGGCTATTATGAATAATGCTTCTACAGACATTTACATGCAAGCCTTTGTCTGGACATGTTTTCACTTTCTTAGGTAGATTTCTAGGAGTGGAAATATAGGGTCATGATACATTTATATTTCACTTTTTAAAGACATTGCCAAAATATTTTTTAAAACACTTGTACTATTTTATATTTCTACCAGCAATGTTATAAGGGTATCAATTTATCCACATCATTGCCAACACTTGTTATTGTCTTTTTTTATTATAGTAATTCTAGTGGATGTTAAATGGTATATTGTTGTGGTCTTGATTTGCATTTCCTAGATGACTAATAATGTTGAGATCTTTTCATGTGTTTATGAACCATTCCTATATCTTTTTAGTGAAGTATCTATTCCAATATTTTGCCCATTTTTAAATTGGGTACTTTTTAATAATAATTGTAAATTATTGCATCATCTTAGCAAGTGGTAGGATCTAACATTAATCTTACTAATAAGATGTAGCGCCTAACTTTTAACTTGAGACTTGGTACCTGACCCGCAGTTAAGCTGATTTTTCCCATTATATTTCAGTCTTTTTGTTTTGTTTTGTTTTTTGAAATGGAGTCTCACTCTGTCACCCAGGCTAGAGTGCAGTGGTGCCATTTTGGCTCACTGAAATCCTGCCTCCCAGGTTCAAGTGATTCCCCTGCCTCAGCCTCCTGAGTAGCTGAAATTACAGGTGCATGCCACCATGCCTGGCTAATTTTTGTAGTTTTAGTAGAGATGGAGTTTCACCATGTTGGCCAGGCTAGTCTTGAACTCCTGACTTCACGTGATCCTCCTGCCTCAGTCTCCCAGAGTGCTGGGATTACAGGCGTGAGCCACCATGCCTGGCTAGCGTTATATTCCAGTCTTGTCCAGTTCTTGTTTCCTAAATGTTAATTTGCTGGTTCTCTTATGTTATTGGAGCACTACTCACACTTGTTTAACTGGGACCCTGAAAACTTCCATGGCATTTTAATGACATGCTTAGTGACATTCTTAGTGACAGACAGATACATGATCCAGAACCAGAGCACCCTACCTACCTAACTCCAGTTACCTTGGGTTGGCAAGACTATATCTGTTTCTAACCACTTGAGAAGTGAGAAGCATCCTCCTGGTTCTCACACCTCCGTGTATCATGTTTGTGTAATCCTCCCCTCTCTAGCCACTGTGCTCTGGGCTGTCATGCTTCTTTCAGTTTCTTTTTTCTTCTCCACAAAGGAATGTTATACTTTGGCCATAAGAACTATATGAAAGTGCAAAGGGTGTTCAAAGGAAGAAAAATTTGTATTTTGTTTAGGGGATCAAGCACAGCTTCATGGATTTAATAAAGTTTGAAAACAAGACTGAAGACTGAATACTGTGCATTCTACAGGGCCCCTTAAGCTCTCAGACTCTCCTCTAGAGTTTATACAAAACCAGCCCTCCATTTTTTCACCTCCATCACAGAGTAAGTAATGAACCATGTTCCATGATGCAGTTCACATTTTGTAATCCCAAATGTTCCCGCTTGCCCAGCACTCGACCTTTCTTATGCTTCTCTGTTCAAGCTAACTTAAATAGGAGGCAATATACAATAGTGATCATGAGTGTGAATTCTGGGTCCAGATTGCCTGGCATCAAACACTGGGAAAATTACTACATCTTTCTTTGTCTATGAATCTTTATCTATAAAACGAGAATAATAATAGCACGCATTTCATAAGTTAGTTTTGAGGATTATGAATTAATACATGCAAAGTATTAGAACAGCTCCTGGCACATAATGAGACCTGTAAAGATGATAAGCCAGTTTTTCTTCTTATGGATCCTCACATCTAATATCTGGTACTGTTTGCCTGGTAATAAATTTTGCTTCATTCTCTGTTGCTGAGAATTTCTATCATTAACTGAGCTGCCTCTGGCCATGCTGAATAGATAGCCTATGTAATACCACCTGGCTCCTGGGGTTACAAAGGGAAGCATCCTACAGTTGTTAACTGAACTGAAGCAATGAAATAAACAGACTTGAACCTCTGCAAAATACTACTGCTTTTTTTTTGTTAAACTTGAGCAACTAACTCAACCTCTCTAGGTTCATGCCTTATGGAGTGATTATAGATATAAGCAGGTGTCTCATATAAAATATGAACATAGTAATGCACTCAACACTAGTTATCTGTGGCTACTATTACCATCACCGCTATTACCAAACCACCGCTTTGATGCCACTTCCAATATAAGCACCAATCAGATGGTGTGCCCTAGTCTCTTAGGGGTCCAGACATGTAGAACAACAAAACACAGAAGTTCATTTATACAGGAGGAAGAAACTAAATGAGAAAAAGAATAAGGTTGGTAAAAAGACCAAAAGGTAACTGTTGATCCAATTTGATAAGCCCAATTTAACTAGACATAGGGACCTCTGGGAGAAATCAAATAAATCTTAACACATTTTTTAATCTGAAAACTAAAATGACAGAACTTATGCTTTAGGAATGTAAACTTGGCAGTAAAGAAAAAAATGTCATTTTGAGGGAAGGCAAGGGAATAAGATGTAGACAGCAGTTAGAAGCTATCGGAGTGGGGAGGCAAGATGAAACTGGAGCATTCATTACGTGCTTGACTGTCAAGATAGAAAGTAGGGAGATACATGTACCTGTAGAAGCAATATTGCAGAGGAAACATGACTGGTCTGAGAAATGAATATTTGTGTCATAGAGAAAAAAAGAAGCAAACATGACCATGAGTTTTTGAGCTAAATACTAGAAAGACAGAAACAGGACAGTTAAACTGAGGAGTAATTGTGAATAGATATTTATGCCTAGATTCCTAGGCATAAATAAAAGAACATAGACTTTGAATATATTTTGGTGGGATGTTGCCTAAAATATCTCAACTTCAAGATTCCTTGGATGTCAAATGGGACCAATGACAATTACCTTGCCAGATAATATAGGAAACTAAATTAAGGAGGAAAATACATATTTAGGTACAGCACCTACTACAGAATTTGAAACAAAGTAGAGATACCATAAATGGTAACCATTTCAAGCTTCATTCTTGTCATGATAACTTCTGTGCAATTTTAATTAAAAGGGATATCTAAAGGCAAATGTTGAGCATACATAGTAGTAGAATGGGAGACAGGTTGGAACTAGATCTGTGGATCTTCAGTTGATGGCATAAAGCCATGATAGTTGAGGAGCTATCCATTCACACAAGAAGGAAGTATGGCACAGCATTCTGGAGCCCAAGTTCTATAATCAAACTCCTGGATTAGAACTTGGTATTTCCAGTTATTAACTCTGACTTTGGGCAAGCTACGCAATCTCTCTGCCTCTGTTTTTTTCACCAGGTAAACGAAATTAGTGACAGAACCCTATATAATATAAAATTATTGTATGTATGAAATATTATTATGAATGTAAAACATTCAGAAAATAGTGCCTGACCCTCATTAGATGTTTAATAAATTAGTTACTATTGTGATCTTAGTTGTCAAATATCTATTATAACTCTCCTTTTTATAAGTCATTGATAGACAAAATTTTATGAAGATAAACTTTTACTATAGTAGAGGAAGGAAAGAAAATTGCAAAGGAATGTGAAGAAACAATCTGCTAAGTGGATCCAGGCTGTGTCACAAAGTCCAGAGGAAGAGTGACTCTAACAAAGGAGGGAGTGATGTTTTCTGACTAAACATTTCAGTGAAATTAAAGCCTGATGATACACTGTGAGGCATATGTGGCAGACAGAATAATGGCTCTTCAAAGATGTCCACATTCTAATCCCTAGCGTCTGGAAGTATTTTACCTTACATGGTTAAAGGGACTTCGTAGATATGAATTAACTAAGTATCTTGAGATGGGGAAATTATCCTGGATTATCTGGGTGGAAGCAGGGGTCTTGTAAAAGAGATGTAAGAGGGTCAAAGACAGGGGAGATGATATGACAAGAAAAACAAAGGGAGAAAAGTTGATGTGATATAGGGCCATGAGCCAAGGAATGCAGGTAGCCCTTAGAAACTGGAAAAGACGAGAAAATGGATTCTCCCCTAGAGTCTCCAAAAGGAATCAATCCTGCTAACTCCATTTTAACTTTGTAAGACTCATTGTGGACTTCTCTTTTCCCAAGCTGTAAGATAGTAAATTTATGTGTTTGAAGTCACTAAGTTCATGATAATTTGTTATAGCAGCAACAGGAAACTAGTACAAAATACGTATTATGAGATCTGTAGTGATTTTAAAAGTAGTATATTTGGAAAAGCCATGACTACAAAACCCAAGAGATAAAAGGTTAAGAACACAAGAGTATGTGAGAGAATGGTGCAAAGGAATCATTTGGAGACAGTCAATGACACTTTCTTTCTTTTGAGCACCAAGTTTAATTCACTGCATAACTCTCATGTTCTACTGTATGCAAAGCTCTACATTGCAAAGATGTAGGATATAATTTTGTCCTTAAGAAGTTCACACTCCCAAGTAGAAGTGATTAAAATGTAGTGAAACCATTCTTTTTGTCATAGCAAAGGAGAAAAGAAAAACACACTGGTTCTTTCTGACTAGGGAAAGGAGAGGTTTGGAAAGACTTCACAATAGAAATATCCTACAATTTGTGACTTAAAAGTAGAAGTATCCAAGAAAAAGCTCTGGAAGCAGGGTACTGGAGGCTTTACAAACAAACGAGTTGTGAAAGGCACAATAACATTGTGGAGCTGGCAAATTACTTGGCATAAGTGTAAATTAGAGTGCATGAAGGGTAAACACTAAAATTAGGATAACAAACTTTGACTCTAATAAAGAATCTCCAAAGTCTATTCTTGATATATCTACTTCTCTTCATCTATACTGCTTCCCCCACCCCCATTTCAAGCATCATTATCAGTCATAACACTTGTTCAGTAGAAACTAGTGCCCGTTCTGTGCTAATTCCACCCTTCTATTTTATATCCTTTTTACCTTTTTTACTTAAACATTCCCAACTTTTTTTCCTTATAGCCATTGTACTTACTACCCCTTGTGCATAGAACATCTAGGCCCCTGATGCCTACATAGTTTGGCCTACTTGTCAATTATGTCTTAGTTTAGTAGAGGGATCTTCCTTGGCTACGGTATCCAAAGTAGCCTCCTCAGACACACCATATCTATAACATCTTATTTTATTTACATCTTGACATTTATGATGATCTGAAATTATCTCATTCATTTACTTAGTAGATTGTCTCTATCATCTCACTTCCAACTCCTGCTAAAATCTAAGCTTCTTGAATATGTCTGTCCTTAACCTGGTTCACTGATCTACCTCTAGGGCCTGGGTTGGTGCCTGAGACATATTGTCAACTCAGAGTATATTTTACTGAATGTGTCTTGAAGGCTCTTGAATGCCATGGAATGTGGTATACAAGTTGCAGGTTCAAATATTACCAGTCATTTACTTTATGAACATCCTTTGGAAAGTTAATGTCCTTGAGTCTTGTTTTCTTGATACATAAAATGAAAATTCTAATACCTTCTTTGTAGGGCTCTAGTGAGGATCAGTAAGGATGCAGCCAAAGCACCTAACATAGTCATTGATCCATACTAAACACTTGATAATGCATGCTATTATTACTATTTTTTCCATTAGATAATGGGAGATGTTCATTGGAGACGGCCATGAAGTAGCTAAATTTTCAAATATCAAAGAGTCAGTAAATGATAAGATGAATCAAATAGAGGTGTAGCTCAGAAAGAAAGATGATTCTCTAGGTGTACTTTTGTGTGACCCTAGAAATACCTTGACCTATTACATATAATGGAAATTTCGACTAAAGAGAGGCATTAAGTTCTTATGGCTTGGGATTATTTGTAGATTTCCGATGGCCATTTTTATGAACAAGGAACAGAATTTATGCCACTTGTCTTAGTCTGTTCTGTGCTACAATAACATAATACCTGAGACTGGGTAATTTAAAATAAACAGAAAATTACTTGGCTCATGATTCTGGAAGCTGGGAAGTCCAAGATTGTAGGGACAGCATCCAGTGAGGGCCTTGATGCTGCATCATCCCATAGTGGATGGTAGAAGGGCAAGAGATGGTACAAGGAACAAAAAATTGAACTCATAGCCTAAGCATTAATTCATTCATGAAGGTGGAGCCCTTATGACATAAACACCTCCAATTAGGCCCCATGTCAAAACACAGTTGCATTGGGGATTAAGTTTTTGACACGTGCTTTTCGGGAGACAAATTCAAACCATAGCACCACCACCCCTAACCAAATCTTGAAATAATATTTGTCATAATATAGGATTCTTGGGAAATAATACACAGTGAAGTAGACTTGCCAATATAGAACAAATAAGTACAGTAGAATAAGCAGCTGCTAAAGTTGATGGTTTCTTAAATTTTTAAAGTAAATACAAAGTTAGTGAATGCCATTCCAAATAAAATTATAAATGATATCAATAATACTTTGCTTACATTTATATAATTAAAACACTTCGGCATTACAAAAACTGGTGGACTGAACATAGCATATCAACAAAAGTCTCATTTTCTTCATACTGATTTCACTCTGTGCCTGCCATGGAGAAAGTGTGGCACACAATAATTAATATTTAAAATGAAAGCAAGACAGGTTTTCTTCAATCTAAGTAAAATTAATATATCAAATAATATTAATTTACGAAACTTATATATTTGAGGGGCTTCCAAAGAAACCTTTGGCTTTACTAAATGACTCACTGCCATATTTCTGTTTATTTAGAATCTGACTCTAAAACACAATGTTCAGATTAAGGGAGTTGTTACTCTTACTTCACTTGATATTGATTAGAACCCAATTTAATAATTGTATTCAGTTTGGGGAGTCATATTTAACCTGGTCCCATATTATTATAGGTTATTAATATCCTGAAAAGCATTCAAAGAAAGACAAAGAGCATAGTAATAGAAATCTTGAAACTATGTTGTAATAACTAAATCAAGAAACTATGAATTTTTAATATAAAGGAAGAAAAATGCAGATGTGGTGGAAATTACTAGGATTAGGGGGCTAAGATGGTTGGTTGGTTTGTGAGATGGCAGCAGTTTCCAAATGGTTGTACTGTGAAAGGAATTATGTGTCATGCATGCAGTTCTAGAGGACAGAATTAGGATGAGAAGCAAAAGCTACAGGGCACATATGTGGGTCAACATATGTATAGACATTGCAAAAACTAAGACCAAACACTTCTTAAACAATGACCTCCATCTTAAATTGATATTGAGGTGGCAATGGAATTGCTTATATCATCTACAGAGTTCTTTCAGTATAAGGAGATAAGAAAAAGATGAATAGAGAAAAAAAAGATAAAGTAACTTCCATTCAGTATATATGAGGGACATAAGTTTGTCAACAAAAATAACAAGCCAAATGTTTTGATTATAAAATCCCTTGCAAATTTCTGTGTTTTCCTGGTAAGTTCCTGGTAAGTTAATATTATTCATTTATACTGATGTCATTATCAACAAGTTGTTGAGTTAAAACTTAAATCTTGCTTTCATTGCATCCTGTGTTTATTGCTGTCATATCTTACTTTCTGCTGTAGAAAAATTAGCTGATTTATTCTCTCTTTTATCCACTATACTCTAAAATCTGTGTGGATTGAGAAAGTGTTTTCTTTGTCTCTGAATCTCCTCTCCCAAGCACAGTGACTGTAACATAGACAATGCTTAATAGATGCTTGTTGGTCTTAATCAAATCCTCATATTCTCCCTATGTCATTATTCAGATGCCTGAAACTATGCTATAGAAATGTATGCTTCATATTTTAGTTGCTGTCTGCAGATGTTGATATCTGAAAAAATGCAAATTCTGATGATAATTTGTACATTTTTTATTGTGATAAGAGTCATTGTTTATTGAATGTCTACTATGTGTCAGGTAATCTATTTATATATTTATTACACTGAATTCCCACAAAAAAATCATCAAAGTACATACTAACTGGCAGATAAGAGAAATGGAAATGCTGAGAAGTTAAGTGACTTATCTAAAGTCACCCATCTGAAAGTGGCAACTGACCCAAGTTATTTCCGATTCCAAAAACATGAGCATTTGAATATAACACAATTTTAAAAAGTTTTAAGAATTTATTATGAAAGAATTCAAATGCACAGAGAAGTTGCGAGTATAGTATAGTGACCTCCAATATCCTTGAATCCAGTTTCCCTATTAACATCTCAATGCATTGGCTCTGTGGTATTCCTTCTTTTCCTCCCCTTTTCTTCCCTCCCCTCCCTTCCTTTCTATACTTCTCTCTTCTTCACACACATATATACATTCACACACATATATTCGTACACACACGTGTGTGTATGTTATTTATATACATATAAATGTGTATATAATTTATATAAAATATGAGTGATGAATGAAAATTTTCTCATATTTCATCCCACCTAGAATAAAATCTAATATCCTCACCATGGAGATGGAATAAGAACAGGATGGTGCTCATGAAATTTTACAACAATCACCCACAAATTACTGTTCTAATCACTTTTTCCTTTGTTAAATCTATTCTGGCCATCCTTGCTGTTCCTCCCACCTCCAGGCCTCTATATTTGTTCTGCCTGACTGTAATATTTTCCCCTAAATATCCTTGGGATTCACTTGAGGATTTTATTCAGGTTTCTTTCTTGTCCACCTTATTTAAAACAGCAACCCACTATATTTCTTCATATTACTTTGTCACTTTCTGACCTTAGGATATGTATCTATTGATTCTTTTTTTTAATTTTATTTTACTTTAAGTTCTGGGATACATGTGCAGAATGTGCAGGTTTGTTACATAGGTATACATGTGCCATGGTGGTTTGCTGCACCTATCAACCCGTCATCTAGGTTTTAAGCCCTGCATGCATTAGGTATTTGTCCTAATGCTCTCCCTCCCCTTGTCCCCTACCCCCTGACAGGCCCTGGTGTGTTATGTTCCCCTCCCTGTGTCCATGTGTTCTCAGTGTTCAACTCCCACTTATGAGTGAAAACATGTGGTGTTTGGTTTTCTGTTCCTGTGTTAGTTTGCTGAGAATGATGGCTTCTAGCTTCATCCATGTCCCTGCAAAGGACATGAACTCATTCTTTTTTATGGCTGCATAGTATTCAATAATGTATATATGCCACATTTTCTTTATCCAGTCTATCATTGATGGGCATTTGGGTTGGTTCCAAGTCTTCGCTATTGTAAATAGTGCTGCAATAAACATGTGTGCATGTGTCTTCATAGTAGAATGATTTATAATCCTTTGGGTATATACCCAGCAAAATGTCAGAAACAACAGATGCTGGTGAGGCTATGGAGAAATAGGAACACTTTTACACTGTTGGTGGGAGTGTAAATTAGTTCAACCGTTGTGGAAGATAGTGTGGTGATTCTTCAAGGATTCTCTATTTATTTATTTATTTATTTATTGAAAATGTATGGCTGGGCGTGGTGGCTCACGCCTGTAATCCCAGCACTTTGGGAGGCCGAGGCAGGCAGATCATGAGGTCGAGAGATCGAGACTAACCCTGTCTCTACTAAAAACATAAAAATTAGCTGGGTGTGGTGGCGCATGCCTGTAGTCCCAGCTACTAGGGAAGCTGAGGCAGAAGTATCACTTGAACCCAGGAGGCGGAAGGTGCAGTGAGCCGAGATTGTGCCACTGCACTGCAGCCTGGTGACAGAGTGAGACTCCATCTCAAAAAAACAAAAACAAAAAAATTATGCTTAATGTGGGCAATGCGTTTTTTCTATTAGATACCATTGTATTCCCAGTGCCTAGAACAGTGTCTGAACCATAGTTGGTGCTCAATAAATATTTGTTCAATTAAAAAAGGAATGAAGTGATACATAGATTAATTATTTCAGTGTATTGATGGCCTTATAGCCCATATTAGATTATAAAACCTTGTAGATTGTCTGTGTCTTTTATCTTTTTATTATTGCAGAACTTGCTACAGTGCCTAGCATATGAAAGGTACTGAAGAAGTAAGATGATGAATAAACAAATGAGTAAGAACAAAATAGGAGCTTAGACAGTCCTACAGCTCTAAGTTACTGACTCTCATTCCAGTGCTCTTTCTGGTAACCCACACGATTTTCCTTGCCTGTGTAATTATGTAACTTCATTTTTCTAAAGCTAGCCAAAATTGGTTTGCAAAATTGATTTGCTACTGAAATGATCACTAAGTCAAACTTTTCTTTTCTGCAAGTCTACCACATTTCATCTATGTAGGCTAAAAAAAAAAAGTTTTTGGTTTGAAAACAGTTTGAAACAACAGTAATAGTACCTTGAAACACTTATAAAGACTTAATAGTACCTTAATTTTTGTATTTAATAAGGAACAAAAATAATAAGTATTAAGTATTAAATAATAAGTATTATAATAAGTGTTAAGTATTAATAAAAAATAATAAGTATTAAATACGCAACAAAAATAACCTCTGCAGCATTTGTTTTACAGTGATGACAATGAGGAATAAAATCCAAATACCTGTGAGATCTGATACCACTAACATTTTAGTTTGTTGCCAATGAGTATTTAAAAGGTCATACAAGGGGAGAGGATAGTCACAGGGAGCCTAGAAATCAGTTTGGGATTCTTGATCTGATGCTTTTTTTACTCTTGGGCAAATTGTCTTGATGTCTTTCTATGTGATACCACAAATGCTTCCTCTCCTTCTACCTGACCTATATTCAAGTCTCAGTCATATCTCTTCTTTTGGTACATAGAACAAGATTTTCTCTGGTCTTCTGTTTCCTCATTTCTAAAATAATGACATATCACCACTTTAGAAGTTCCTAATGAGGACAAAATGAGAGGTCATTTGCCAAGTGTATCAAGCACACAGTAAGTAGTGTATTATGGTTGTTTCAGTTCCCTCTTCTCCTCTAGGACACAGCACAATGAAAGAAGTAGTATTGAAATCAACTGGAAATAATATTTAAATAAAAATATGTTCTGGTTTGCAGCTGTAATATTCTCAAGAATTCTCATCCTCTATGTAAAATAGATAAGAAAACGATAAAAGTAGAATATCGGAATAGCCAAATACAACCTTTTCCAATGCACTCCGAACCTGCCCCCTTCTTATTCCTTATACTACCTATCCAGTGAGTAAGAACACGAGTTGCTTAAACTAGAAATCTAAGAGGCATTTGACTTCTGAGCCTTCTTCATCAATGAGATTGTTAGTTGACAAATTCTTCTATTTTACTCCAGAAATATCTCTGTATTTCATCTCCCTTCCTAAGTCCACACTGCTCCTTCCTCAGTTGAGCAAGTCAGCATGCTTACTTACCAGCTTGGCCTTCCTCCTTCTAATCGTAACTCCTCCAATTCATTTGTTTCAACTGTAAATGCTTTTCAAGATCTAATTGTGTTTTTGCCTGCAGTGATGAATTCTTGTTGAATAGTGGATAAATTTTAAAATAAAATAAAATGCAAACTTTTAACCTATCATTTTCAATCCTTAAAGATCTGGTCTATGTATGCGGTCCTGTTTTCCACCACCCCTCTCTACATTCCATGTACCATATTCCAGTTACAACTGATTTCTCTGAACCCACTGCATGCCCTCACCTGCCCTTCACCTCTGTCTTTACACTTTATTTCCTGACTGACCAGTCTCAAGTAGCATTTCAGACATTATCACATCACTCTATTTCCTTCATCTCACGTATCTCTAACTGATGTTTTCTTATTTGTTTGACTTATCCCCTTCTGCCATAGTATAAACCCCATAAAAGCCAGATCTTGTCTTGTTCAGTCATTTAATCCTAGTGTACTATTATGAAATATATATTTGACTTTCATCCCCCATTTCCTGGCATACAGCTCCTAAAACCCTTGGAATCTCCTGAATGGTGAGTGTCCTTTATATGCTAATGAGATGACTTTTGGCTGGCAGTCTCTAGACAGCCTCAAGACAGGGGCTGGTAACCAGAAATACCAAGGCATGATTAGAGAGTTGGGTTGTTCAACCCAAACCCCCACCTTCCAGGAGCAGAGAGGGCCTGAAGGTTGAGTTAGATCGCCAGTGGCCCATAATTTAAGTAATCTCGTCTATGTAAGGAAGCCTCCATAAAAACATACCAGGACAGAGCTTCTGGATTTCTGAACCTGTAGAGGTGCCTGGATTGTGGCATGCCCAGAGAGGGTATGAAAGTTCCTTGTCCCTTCCCACATGCCTTACTCTATGCATCTCTTCTATCTGGCAGTTCATCTGCATCCTTGGTAACATTCTTTATAACAAGTGGGTAAACATAAGTGTTTTCCTGAGTTCTGGGGCCTCTCTAGCAAATTAATTGAATTATGGGAACCCTCGATTTATAGCAGTTGGTCAAAGTATAGGTGACAACCAACTATTTGCAATTGGCATCTGAAGTGGGTTTCAGTCTTATGAGACTGAGCCTTCAACCTGTGAGATCTGGTACTAGCTCAGGTAGACAGTGTCAGAATCGAATTAAATTAGAGGACATCCAGTTAGTATCTGCTGGAAAATTGCTCAGCGTGCGGGAAACACAGACACACACACATGAGTGAAAGTAAAAAAAAAAAAAATTTTGTGTCCTGTTTTTAGGCCAGCTGTCTACAAAATTACTGAAAAATTAAATGCTTTGAATTGTGTGTGTAATAAACGAATGAAGAACAGCCCCTCGGGCTAACTACCTTTTTTTCCTCATATTGGTCAACTAATATCCATCTTTTACTTCTCACTGTAATTGACTATAGAAGGGTGTGACAGAGATTACTGTTGCTCACCAATATTCATATCCTTTTTTTCTTGGACATATAGCTAGACTAATATTTCCCAGCCTCCCTTATGGTTAGAATGCTCATGTGACAATATGTAACTGGAGAACAATCATGAGGATCTGTGTAGGGTGGATTCATAAGATAAAAGAAGTCTGGGCCTCTGAATGACTAAAGCCTCTATTCCCTATCCAGCACTCATGTTAGACTGTGATTTGAGTGAGAAACTTTTATTTCATTAAGTTGTTGAGGTTGAGGAGTTATTTGTAATAGCAGTTAGCCTATCCTGACTAACACAAATAGTTTAGTGAAAGCACATGACACCCCTTACCCATCGCCCACCAAGCTATGAGCTCCTAAGGGCAAGGGTCATGGCTGTTTCAATTTTGCATCCTCAGTTTCTAGTATAATCCCTGATACATATGGTGTGCCATGAATTAATGATTAATTTCAATGATACACTTTTCCAAATTCTCTCTAAGGTATCATTTACTCTCAAATGACACCAAATATCCTCTATCTGCTAAACAGTTTTTTCTTAACCAAACTGAAATAAAAAGGAGATTTCTAGTATCTGTGTGATGTAATGGAAAAAATCCATAGCGTGGAGACCAGATAGTCCACTCTCAAAGGCTGGCTATAGGACTTTATCTGTCATCTTGAGCAATTAATTTTACCTCTGTGAATCTCAATTTCTTCCTCTGTAAATGGGGATAGTAATTATTATGAAGACTAGAAACAACATACGTAAATCATATACAAGTGCCTGACAAGCATGCTTATCACAAATGGTATGGATAAATTAATATTTTCATAATTACAAGGCAAACGTCTATATTTCTCCACAGAAATTGTGGAACAAAGTATGGCAGCCTTCTTTGGTAGAATACTTGAGAAGGTAGTTAGTACTGATAACATTTCTTGCGTGGGAGGGAAGCTGCACCAATTTTGAGGTTTTGGCCATGGTCTAATGCTTGTGGGGACTTGGGTGACATATGCCTTGATTGAAGGAACCTGACAGTGCTCGAAAACATCGCAGACACCCAAGGGCTTCGCCAAGAACTGAGACCATTTGCAAGCAGCAGAGATTGACCGAGCTACTGAGAATATAACAGACAGCAAACCAGAGACTTGAGAATCATAAGAACTGAGAAGTAACAGCAGCAATTCCCCAGTCATTCTTTAAAATTCTCTGGTATTGCATTTGTTATTTGTAAGTGGATATTTTGCAGGCAACTAACAGCAAATCCAGCCCATGGTGGTAAACAGCAAATCCAGCCCATGGTGGTAAGATTTTTAAGCTAGAGCTTTCTGTAGAGAGACTTATTTAGAGCAAGACTTTGAATCATTTAAAAGCAAACCAGGCAAATCCTCATGTATTTTCCCCCATTAAATTACCTCGTTTCTAAAGGGAAGATCGGATGATACTCCACAGCTAATATTGACTTACTGAAGATGGTATCAAATCCTCTGCCTTTTCTCATAATGATATGAGAAGATAAAGACATGCTCCGCTACTGAGTCTTCAAAGGAAGCAGAAAAAGTATAATACATAATTTTAACTCAAGGTAGGAAATCAGAAGCTGACCTAGAATTGACTGCAGTGTACTACTATAATCTATGTCCTAGCCCTCAGGAAAGTATGAAGATTGCTTCCTACCTGGAGTGTGAGCCCTTAAATTTTAAGACAGGCCCAGAAAAATTCTGGACGAAGAAATGACTGTAACAATGGTATTAATCGCTTGATCATCACTTGCTTATGGTAAATAACTTCCCAGTTTAAAAAGCACTTGCACAGACATTATTTACTTTAATCTTCTCAGAGGAACACTGCTGGACATCATGGGAATTCCACACAATGAGTGTCACATCCATCAGAAAACTGAGGGTATGAAGTCTAAAGAAATAGAAGATGGTGGTGAACAGGGACCACCTCTCTGCCTCATTTGTTTTCTGCCTAGGAGGTACCTTCATAATTGCATGTGTGAAATCCAGAGTCAAGAGAGATAAAGGGACATACTTCTAAGTCCCAGACAATGTCTGGTCTTTTGTGGATCTGAACTAAGTGAGAGGACTTGGATTTGGGAAGAGTACACTTAATTTGACACTCCTAGAATCTTAGGTTTTTAGATTCTGGGAAATACAACTTAGTATAGTATTAGTTTCATTTTATTATTAAGAAAACAGAAAACAAAGAAATTTAAAACTTGATTAAGAATTAAAAAGAAAAAGTTACAAAGGAGGCCTAAGTGATCTAATCAGGAGACCTGTAACACCTTGTTCCACAAGACAATCTTGTTAATCTTGGGAGACAGGGGTAGTATAAGTGTAACCAGTCCTTACCTTTCATAGCACAATTTAATAAAAATGTCTAAAATTTGGAACTGAAGAATTAACAGTATACTTATTTTGCATGGTGATGTGGAATTAATGACAACAAGAAGTAATAAGAGAAATTATTAATAGAGTTAAAGTGGTTCCTTCTAAGCAGTAGGACTGGGTATGGGGAGACCATTTTTAAAAATTATTTAAAATTTAAAAACTAAAAAAAATGAATTATAAAAATATAAAGTTAAATCCTAATGTATTAGAAAGAGCCTTGGGTGTGGTATCCTGTGCTTATCAAAATGACTTCAGGAACATAATGTATGCTCTCCAAAATTCACATTTAAAAATCTGTATAACATACTGAATATTTTTATCTGTATAATAGTTGTACCATTTTATTACCTTTTCTATTTCATAGGGTCGAACTTTACTGTAAAAATTTATACAGGGAACATGGACAATTTCTTTTGGCATTATAAGGCACTTGAGATATAATCATAGCCCTACTAATATACTTACCATGATTATTAGATCATGTAGTACAATATACAAGATAAATGTCTGCATCTATTGTATTAGCTAGAATTGAAAGGCATCTTGTCTGTCGACCTCAAACAGGCACTGGAATAGAAGGATAATATATTGCTGTGTCAGGTTACCCTGGCAATTGTGATCTATAGTTTTTCTACTGCTCTGAGGAGCAAAAGATACACATATTTCATCGTCTTTTTACCATAAGAACTTGTGATGAAAACTATGCCCTAAGCATATGGGTTAATGTGGGGAAAATCACATCCACATATAGCACCTTTGAATTTATATCCTAACATTAAAATATTGGCTGTGTGACCCTGTATAGAAGACTTGGGTGGAAAGAGGTGATCCATTTCTAGCAGAATGTCTATGTGACTTTAAAGAATAACAGCTTGACCTTTAGTGACATGCACAGTCTTCACATGAATATGCACAATATTCACTTCAGTTAAAAATAAAAATTTGTACATTTATAGGTAAAAGATTTCATCACGCTAATGGTCCTCAGGGAAGCCATGAGACTACTAAAACCTTTTTTCGTTCTTTTTTCTGTTTCAGGGTAACTGCTAAAAGAGATATTACTAGGGATAGGGACCTTACATGTTAAAATTTCTAACATTGTCTTTGCCATAAATTGGCATCCCTTATGTGGTAAGTTGGGGTTACAAGGAACTTGAACACATACACTAAATGTACTGCTGGGCCCATGTTCTTTCCTACATTTCTGCCTCTAGTTTGCTCACCTCCCACCCATTTTCAACTGAATTGGCAGAGTCCATCTTAAATAAATATCTGACCCTGTCTCTCTACTACTTCAATGTGTTAGCTGGAGTCATGCAGCTCTCAGGATGAATGTATAATCCTCAGCAAGTTACACAATATCTGCGACGACCCAGCTTTTCTCTAACTGTCCAGACCAACATCTTCTCATAACTACTTTTAATGTGCCAGACACTATGCTAAGCTCTTTATGTTGCTCTCTTCTCAACTACTACTTGTCCTTGAAGATAACTTAGATGTTACCCGAACTTCTCTCCTGCAACCTCACATGTTCTGGATCAGGTTTTCTTCCTCTAAGCTTTGATGGGACCTTGTACTTTTATCTATGATGGCATTTCCACATTGGCCAGAAATCGTCTGTGTTCCAGTGTGGGAAACCTGCCTTTTTTCCAGGAGAGTTAATGTGACATAAAGTAGGAATATTGACTCTGGAACTAGTCCAACTAGGTTCAAATCATGACTCCACATTTTGCCCTCTAAGAGGCCTTGTGCACGTTGCTCAACTTTTCTGTGCCTCAGTGTCCTTACCTGTAAAATAAGAATTGATTAAGTACCTACCTAAGTAGTGCAATTACTACTTAGTTGTGTTAATTTATGTTAAATAATTACAAAGACATCTGGGCACATACAAGTTTCTCACTGTGAGTTGGGCTAACCAATTTGACTGCCTATGATGGGGAAGCCTGATTGACCAGTATAAATTAATTCATTGAGATCTTATTTTCTTCACTGATAACAAAAAATGAGGGTAATGGATTCTAAAAGAGTTGTCAATATTTCTGCTTAAGGAATAAATGGACTTCACAGTACCTCATCTAGACCTGTCACAGCACTTACTACTTTCCACCTCATAGTTTTCTAGTGTTCCTGTTTTGCACCTTCCTAGTGCAAGTTCAGCTCACATCTTCATTTGCATCTTACCTTTCTTAGTAATTAATAGATGCCTGCTGTATAGCAGAAACTGAAGTATTTGCTAAATGAAAACACATAAACAAATCTGCAAGGAATCAAAAGCAGCAGCAAGTCTGATACTATACAAGGGTTAACTGGATTTGTTCTCCTTCAAATTGGGTTCTGTGACCATGAACCACTGTTAATATCTTCAGAAATAAGAAACCTTGTAATTGTAAAGTATAATTTCATAAACTTCTATTATAATTCTAGATACTATAAAAATCAAAATATATTCCCACTCTCTAAAATCTTAATTTAACAGAACAGTTAAGCACTCAGCGAGTATTTATAGACTTCATTGCCTTATGGTAGAGATTTGGTGATAAATATTCAGAATTAGACATTTGCTCTCAAGGAATTTACAAGTGTGTAATGTCATTCTTCTCCCTTAACCACACTTTAAATATATTTTTATGATCCATCAAAAGTTCCCTGTTCTAATATCAAATGATACATTCTGCTTGTCTGTATACAATATATTTTGTGCAATTCATCTCACAGAGAAGAGCTTACTTTTTAATTAAATTTTTGCAGTTTACTAAATATCAGAAACCTTATATTTAATCAGATATTTTAAAAGCATGTACTGACAAGCTTGTACATAAAATTAAAAAAATTAAACCAACGAAAATGTCGTTATATCTAATATGTTCTTACTTCATTTAGCAAATCAGAGAACTCATTGCTTGAAATAAAAGTTTATTCCTCTTTTAATTATAATGACCATTGATTTATGTAAGTTAGTGTTTAACCCTGTGACGCTCTTCTAGAGATCACTTAGACTCAGCCAGAACCCTGTTAAGTCCCTATTTCTAAGTGCAAGCCCTCTCTCTTCCTCTCAACTATGCTTTTCAGATACTTGCTTTCCTTACTCTTCCACAAATGACTTTGAAAAATAAAAGCCAAAATGGCAATATAATTTTATACTCAAGCCTCTAGACTCCTCAATGCCTTTACCAATACTCTTTCATCTCCTGCAAACAACTTCCTGGTTTGCTCCCTGGAAAACAAATTCTACTCACTTTTAAGATACAGTTCTAAAGGTCCATTCTGGAGAATGTCTCTAATGTCGCTACACCAAGGTCAAGTTACTTACTCCTCTGGACTTTGTATAATCCAACATAATTATGACATTCCAAGTATTGGCCCAAGCTTCTCATGGATTATCTTATCTGCACAGCAGTCCTGTGAATAATCCTTACTGTTTATAGTTCTTATTTTATGGTGAAATAAAAGGTAGCTAAGAAAGGTTAGTTAATGTGCTTGAATTTACTACGTGGAGGAGCTATGATTCAAATCTTGGTCTTCAGGACTGCAAACCCTGAGTTCATAGACACCAAGTTACACGACATGTTGTTAAAGCAAACTAACTCGTTTTCCTAGAATTATTTATCACATGGTCATTCTGTATCTAGGTAGTGAGTTCCTTGTAGAAATTAACCTATCATTGTATTCTTAGTGCCTGGAACCTAATAGGAGTTTAATAAGTATTTGATGGATGGGTTGATGGGTTGGTGAATAGAGTGAGATGACTGAATGAATGAACAAAATAAACAAAAAAACCTAATACCTGTAGATTGACTTGTGATCTATCATGGAGATAAGATTGAATGCTTATGTTGGCTTCACCATCCTCTGCCCTGCCTTGTTCAACCTTTGCTACCACTCAGGAATACAAATATATTCTGATTGCTTTTCACCCACTGTTATTAATATACCAATTTTCATCACTGGGAGTGCTTATATAATGCATCACTGACATCTGAGTAGTACTTTAATTTCTCATATATTATTCCAGATAATGCATGTGACATTGTGATGTTTGTATTTCCTAAAAAGTAGGTTTACTTCCCACAGAGTAGGAACCCAATAACTGTTAAATTAATTAATGAATCAATAAAAAATGAATGCATGAAGGACTTGGTCTTTCAATTAATCAACTAATCAATGCTGAAGTATAAAAACTGTAGTCATTAACTTACTAGCTTGTGTTTATTTCAGACTATGACTAACAGCATTAATACTTACTGCCCAAATATGACTCTGTGACAGGTACAGTGGTAGGCTTCTATTCACATCAAATTGTAAAATCCTTATAATAGTCCTAGAAGGTATGTGCTTTTAATGCCATCTCAGACATATGCAAACAAAGAATCAGAGAGCTTAATTTTGGTGGATTAAGAAACTATCATCTGTGAAACAGCATAGCTCAGATTCAAACCATGCCATTCTTATTCTTCATTGTCTGCTCTTTCCTTTGTATATGGATTGTAGAATGCCTGTGCAATATGTAAACCACTAATTCCTACTTTCCTAATGACACTGAGGTTTACTGATCAGACATATTACTGGAGTTACCAACCCTCATCTTGAGGAAAACATTTAAAAGTATGGAAAAAGCTGAATCCTCAATTACATATAACTTGCTTTATTAAACTGATTTCAGTTGATTTCTGAAGATCTGTGGTGAAATAGAGCCAAGTGATGCCCCTAAATAACTCAGTGCAATCTATCATCTGCTCCTTGCCTCCCACCTCCTTCTCCATATACAGAAAGATAATCATGTATTTATGTAGGGCCTTTTATAGCTCAACATATTTTTCAGTAGGTGATTCATTTTGGGGAGGCTTTCTTGTGTTTACCAAAGGCATATTCTCCAAAGGTAAAACTGCAGCTGGTATATGTACATTTTCCCCGGACAAACTCTGTACATCTGTTTTATCCCAAATTGAGAACTTACTGGTTTTAGATCCATGCTGGACTCAGGGTTAGAAAGATTGAAAGAAAAAAAAGGGACTTAATGGATTCTGCCTTTAAGGTAATCATTCATATATTTAAAGGAAATGTAATGGTTCTAAATTGTTTGTTTTCTTATGTAAAATATCTAATTCACTATTCATAAGAAAATCTTTTAGATCATTTATAATGTTAGACTATATATAAAATAAAATCTTGCAATGAATCAGTTCCTAAGGTGAGAAATCAGAAATCACTACAAGAAGGAAAATACAGATCCTAAATGTTTATTATATGTTAATTACTGTAAATGAATATTTACATTAGAATGAATTTTTCTGGCAGTGAAGTTAAAGAAGAAAGACCCATGGTGGCTCATAGCCTTCACTGATAAAAGAAAACAAGATGATCATCAGAAGAGGCAGTTTCTTCCTGTGTCCCACACTAGGAGAATTTCACCTTGGGCAGAGCCAAAAATGAAATGAAGGAGCATGGCCTCTGGATTATACAGTCCTGGATAGGGCCTTTTCCATGCATAAACTTGGATAGATTATTCTACCATTCTGAGGTTTACCTCAGTAAAATTAGTTTAACAACTAATTCAAAAGAACATATGTAATGTAATTGAAAGAAAAAATAATAATGCCAACATAATTCTAGATTTACCTACCTTTAGAAACAAAATGTGACCAATACCATTGGAGACCCTGGATGTCTCCTGCAGGTCCCAGCCCCTTCGCTCCTCCCAATCTCAGAAATAGTCAAGCTTCTGAATTTTTAGTGTAGCCATTCCCTTGCTGTGGAGTTTTCCCCTAAACTGTGTATCCTAAGGAAGATATGGTTTAAGTGTTCGTGTTTATGAAATTTACATGTATATAATCATACAAAATACGTTTTTCTACAAATTTCTTTTTACACTCAATTTTGAGTTTGAGATTTATCCCGTTAGTTACATTTAACTGTAGTTCAGTAATTTTCACGATTGCTTAGCATTCTGTGTATAACTACAATAAGACAATTTACTTCAACATTTGACTGTAATAATCATTTGGGTTTTTTCTCCAGTATTGTTTTGTTTTGCTATTTAAAACAAATGCTTCTATGAACATTCTTGTCTATGTCTCCTGGTGCACATGTATGAAAGCATCTACAGGGGTACATTCTTAGGAGCACTATTGCTGGGTCAAAAGTATATAAATCCCATCCCTGCCAATCAGGTCTGATGGACAACATGACAGGTACTCATATTGGATTAATCACAGTGAAGCACTCATAAAAAATTATCCCTGCAGGCATCCACAATTTTTTACTTTTCTAGATAATACCAAAATGTTTTCCAGAATGTTAATGCCAATTTATATTTTTACCAGCAGTCCCTACTGCTCCACATTCTAGACAACAGTTGGATGTTTTAATTTCTTTAAATCTGATGGATAAAATGTTACTTCATTGTCATTGTAATTTGAATTTACCTTATTTCTAATGAAGCTGAGCATTTTTATATGCTTATTGACTACTCATTTCTTAACTTAATCTCTAAAGCTCAAACAGTAAAATATTTCATACATGCTTGTTAAAAAAATGAAAATAAATATGAACCTAAAGTACCCAGGACAAGTCCTGATATAGAACCAGTATTTAATACTTATCAAAACTTACCATTAGTCCCCATTCTCCTTACAATTGAAAACTATTTGATAAAATGAGGAAGAACATCTACATCTAATGCTTTTTAACATAAAAGCACCAAAATATTTTCCAAATAAATGCTTCTTGAGTGCACCTATAGTATACACACATATACACACACCAAAACCCGTTTACCCAATATTTAAAGTCATTTTTGTAAGAAGCTAAAGTTAAATTTTTCTATTATATTCACGTTTTGCAATCCAATTTTACACAGGGAAAGAGCTTAAAAGTAAACAAGAATTTGACAAATGAAGAAAGTATTCCAAAAAGAAATGTCACTAACTCTAGGGGTTTTGTTTATTTTTTTTTTTTTTAACATTTTTAGTGGGGGGAGAGGCTCTGCGTCCAAATCACAATGGAGATACACTTTAAATGAGAGTAAGTGTAGTGAAGTCCAATTTTATGTAACTTTTAAAGTAAAAAATATTTATGGTAGCAGTAAACCGATAAGCTTTAGTTAAAAAATAATACTAATGCTGTACAACTTTCTAGATTCTGTGAGTCTAGCAAATACTTTTTCCTTTTCTTTCTTTTTTTTTTTTTTTTTATTGAGACGGAGTCTTGCTCTGTCACCCATGTTGGAGTGCAGTGGCGCAATCTCCAATCTCAGCTCACTGCAACTTCCGCTTCTCGTGTGCAAGCGATTCTCCTGCCTCAGCCTCCTGAGTAGCTGGGACTACAGGTGCATGCTACCATGCCCGGTGGCCTTTTGGTAGAGACGGGATTTCACCGTGTTAGCCAGGATGGCCTCAATCTCCTAACCTCATGATCTGCCCGACTCAGCCTCCCAAAGTGCTAGGATTACAGGCGTGAGCCACTGTGCTCGGCCTAGCAAGTACTTTTTATAACGGTTAATACACAAAACAATCTCCCAGGAAATCATCAGGAACTCTTTTTATCAGTTCCCCAAATTTTGGAGAAATTCCAAGTGCAATTTAGCCACTTAGAGTGATATAAAACTAAATCTTAAAAGGGCAGGTGGGGCTGCGGTCTACAGAGTAGCCACTCTTTTATTCCTTTACTTTCTTAATAAAATACTTCCACTTTGAAAAAAAAAAAAGTGTAGATGGGCCAGGCCCAGTGGCTCATGACTGTAATCCTAGCAATTTGGGAGGCCGAGGTGGGTGGATCACCTGAGGTCAGGAGTTCGAGACTAGCCTGGTCAACATGGCGAAACCCCATCTCTACTAAAAATACAAAAATTAGCCAGGCATGGTGGTGGGCACCTGCAATCCCAGCTACTCGGGAGGCTGAGGCAGGAGAATTGCTTGAACCCAGGGGGCGGAGGTTGCAGTGAGCCGAGATCGTGCCACTTCACTCCAGCCTGGGTGAAAGAGCAAAACTCTGTCTCTCAAAAAAAAAAAAAAAAGTGCAGATGATATTACCTTCTTTGAACAATTATTTTTAAGATTAGGGAGCAAATATATAAACTGGCTAAAGAACAGTAGACACTCAATAATAATTTATCCAGTAATGCTTTATTTATTCACGAAATATTTATAAAGGGCCTGATGTTGCATACTGTGCTAGGCACTGAAATATATGTATTCCAAAAGAAAAAAATAATAAAACCAACTATAGCAGAAGCCACTCATACTACTGATATATATGTCTATATATCAGCTTCCACACAAATCTTTTCAACAGATGCTGATTTGAATATTGGCATAATGCTCTAATTATCATAAAATATACATTAACAGAATAAAACTTTCTTTTACCTTTTCTTTCACTAACTATATATTTCAGACTGGCGAGTCTTTTTTGTGGAGGCTGTCCTGTGCATCATTTCATATTTGGCCCCACTCTTGGCTTCCATTGCTAAATTACTCAGTGCAAATGGCACCTCCACCCCACCCTGTGTTGTGATCGCAAGAATTTACCAGACATTGCCAAATGTGCCCTGGGGGGGCAAAATCACACCCAGTTAAGAGTCACTGGGCTAGAGTAAATAGTAGAGCTGAAAGAGCAGTAGATGGAGAAAGAAGACCTAGGATTGAAACTGGCTTTGTCCACTATTTCTGCATTCATTTAACTAGGGATAGAATTTAGAAACCAGAGCATGTAGCAGTAAACCCAAGCTACTGGGATTTTTCAGAAATTTTAGAAGTTCCATTATGCCCATAAAACAAGATATAAGCTTTCAAGCACCAGAGTAAAAGTAACTTCAAATGAGTAACAACCCCAAATTCCCAGCTTTAACATCTATAGAACTTATGGTCCAGTAACATAAATACCAGATATTTTATGTTGGTGTAGTCTCTGTGTCATTTGCTAAAACACAGTTTCCTCATCTGTAAAAGGAGGGGTGATTTCTCAGTTCCCAAGTTGGTGTTGAATACCCAGCTAAGGATTTCTATGAGTACACATATTTACTTCTTTGTCATCCTTCACCATATATTGCTATAATTAATGATTTGTTTGTATTTCCCTGTAGAGTATAAGCAGAGACAATGTCTTATTAATCCTTGTATCACAAGTTCCTAGCCCAGTTTTGACATGTCATAAACATTCATCAAGTGAATTATTTTATGAATCTCCGTTTTCAAGTTTATTGATTCAGCTTCCCCTCTTTCTCTCTTTCTTTCTTGCTTGGACATTTCCTTTCATTTTACTATCAATATTACCAGAATCCATAATGACAGACAGGTTATATAAACAGCCACAATTTCTTATGATTTTAAGGGCTCCTGCACTTAACCTAGACATTTCTACAGATGCCCACCAGTAAATGGAATTCACAGAGCAGGAGACAGGGACTTTCATCTGAATATTAGGAAGCTTATTTAAAATACAAATATCTCTGAGAATGGAAACTCTCAGTTTGCTCATTCAAAAATTGTACTCAATTATTCCTACTTCATAGAATTGCTGTGCCAATAAAATGAGTCCTTTCTAAACTAAAATCTCTATGAAAATGGAAGAGATTTATTTTGTTTTGGTTTATAATTAAGTGGAAATGACTGATATCATGTATTTTCTCAATAATCAAACTGGCCTAGGAAATCATAGAATCTGCTTCAGGCCACTTACTGAGAAAAAACACCCCCTGAAGAACATTCCTGATTGATGGTCATTTAAGTACTATTATCAACAATTCTTATGTCAGCTTCAAGAAAAATCCAAGCCCATGAGTACAGCAGCAGGAAGAAACTACGGATATCCCAAGACCAACTCTGACCTTTGTTATCTTCGTAGTAATATAAAAATGTAGAAGGATTAAAGCTTCTCAATGAAGCTTCTAAGTGAGATGATCTTAAAACAGACACAGAAAACTAGGAGAGAGCTAGAGACTAGAAATCAGAGGAATTAGTTTGGAAACCTAGCGCTACCACTTACTAGCTATGCAATTCTGAACACATGGTACAACTCTCTGAATCTCACTTTCCTCAAATGTAAAATGGGCATAATAAAAAATACCTTAAAGAGATGGGGTGAAGCTAATATAAATGAAAATTCAAAGTGACTAGAATGTTAAGAGAAATGCCATCACAGAAAATAAATGGATCAAGGAATTTCTTAGTTTATTTGGGCAACTATAACAAAATACCTTAGACTGGGTGCCTTATAAACAATAGAAGTTTATTTCTCATGATTCCGGAGGCTGGGAAGTTCAAGATCAGAGTGCCAGCATAGTTCAATTCTGGTGAGGACCTTCTTTGTAGACTACTGACTTCTTTCTGGGTCCTCACATAGGAAAAGGGGCACAGGAACTTCTCTGGGCCTTTTTTGTAAAGCTACTCAACCCATTCATGAGAGTTCTGCCCTCATGATCTAATCACATCCCTAAATGTCCCACCTCCTAATATGATTTTGGGGGTTAGGATTTTAACATATAAATTTGTGTGGTGGGGGGGGGGACACAAATATTCAGACTATAGCAAAGCGTAAATATTTGAAAATATTTTAACTTAAGGTGGCTTATTTGATCTGTTGGCTTCTTTTGAGAATTTTTTCTTCAGGATGAAAAGAACACTGCAAGATTGACTCAATTTCTATACTTCTGTTTAAGAGAGAGGAGGAGAGCAGAAGAAAGGAGGGGAGAAGAAAGAAAAATTACAGGCTGGTGTAGCTGTAACTGGCTTAGCAAACAGTCTGGGGAAGGAAGAGCTTCTTTTTGTGAGGAAAGAAAAAAAATGTTTCCTAAAAATAGTTTTACCTATCTTGAGATAAATACAACGCTCAAGAATTAGAAGTTTTAAGAGGTACATACAGCCACACACATCCTCCAGAGTATGAGTCAGCTCTAACTCACCCCATCTCTCTCCTAGTTTGTCCTAGTTAATTACAAACTTTCTCATCCTAGCAAAATCATTAAGAGTCAGACACAGAGGACAGAGCATTGAAAATTAATTCCATTAATTTCATTTAGAAAAGTAGGATATTTGTGGAAGAGCGTCTCTGTCTTTCAAATCTCTAAAGCAAACAGGTTGATGGTTTTTAGTTACTAAATCAAATGTATGAATGATCTAAGAGATAGTATGCTCCAAGGAAATAGGGATTTATAGTCTCAGCTCTAACACTAAAAAAAAAAAAAAAGTGACTAGGGATACCATTTTAGCCTTCTAGAGTGGGTTGAATACTATACCCAGATATTTATGTCTACTCAGAACCTAAAAATGTGAACTTTTTGGGAAATAAGCTTTGTTAATATATTAGTTAAGGATCTTGACATTAAGTCACTCTTGATTTAGAGTGGGCCCTAAATCCAATGACTAGTGTTTTTATTAGAAGAGGATAGGACACAGAGAGACACGGAGAGGAGAAGGTCATGTGAAGACAGAGGTAGACATTGAAGTGATGTACCTAGAAGTCAAGGAACGCCAGGTATTGCTGGCAATCACCAGAAGCTAGGAGAGAGGCATGGGGCATTTCTCTCTCAGAGGCTCCATAAGGAACAACTCCTGCCAATAACTTGATTTCAGGCTTCTGGCCTCCTGAATGGTGAACAGATGCATTTCTGTTGTTTTAGACAACTAAGTTTGTTCTCTTTTGGTATGGCAGCTGTGGAGGAAACTAATATACTTTTCCTGTCCTTTGTCTAATTTGTGATACACTGGAATCGAGTTATATATTTATCTACTCTTGGTTCAGTAATTACACTGTATTTGGGCTGGGATAACAATAATAGAAAGACATAGACTTGCCATCAAAGAGTTTACATAGAAGTTGGGAACTGAGACATTAATTAGAAAATAAAAAACAGCCCTAAAGGGGTTATCATAGTAGTCAGTAGAAGGTATTGGGGAAAATGGGGTAACATGGAGGTGGGTAGAGATGGAGTCCTGGGGAAGACAAGGAAAGCCTTCAAAGAGAGGGACCACTGGGATGAGCACTGGGATAGGGGAGGGGGTGTCAGCCTGGTGGACAAGAGCCTTATCTAGTGAGGGCTTTATGCAGTTTCATGTTTCACAAGAATTAAGTAGTAGGAATGGGAAAGTAAGGAGACAAGAATAGAAAGGTAGACAAGGTCAATCATGAGTGAAGTACTGAAAAGCATACAATTTTACTGAAATAATGTTGTTATTGATTGAATGTTTGTGTTCCCCCAAAATTCATATCTTGAAACCCTAGCCCCCAAGGTGATGGTGTTTGGAGATAAGGCCTTTGAGAGGTAATTAGATCATGAGAGTGGAGCCCTCATAAATGGGAGTAGTGCCTTTTTAAGACAACACAAGGAAGCTTACATTCTCTCTTGTTTTTTGCTTTCCACCACGTGAGAATACAAGAAGAAGATGGCCAGCTGCAAGGTAGGAAGGGGGAGCCCTCATTAGACACCAGATATGCTGGTACTTTTATCTTGGACTTCTCAGCCTCCATTTTGACAAAAAAAAATACATATATGTAAATAATAAATCTCTGTTGTTCACACCACCTGGAATATGGTATTTTTGTTTTGGCAACCCAAGCAGACTAAGACAGGAATGTACTTCAATTTACTCATCTGTAAAATGTGTGGAGTGGACAAAGTCATAATTTTACCTCCAATTTCAAGGTTCTGAAGATCTAGGAAGGTTAAAGTTCTTGAAAGTTGTTGTAATTTTGGCTCTGACACCAGGATAACTAAGCGTCAGATCTGTTCAATCAGAAATAACTATTACATGAGTAATATCAGAAAAGTGTACATCGTTAAGTGGCTGATTAACTAAAATGCATTTCCGTAAAGTTCTGTACCAAAATGTTACTGTAAGGAAACCAACACCTCCATTCTATCCCTACACCTGAGTTTGTGTCTTAGTGAAAGATACACAGATCTTTGGCAATGCATCATCTAACTAAGAAGTGGTTTTGATTTTTGTTTAGGGATATACAATAGGTTTCAGTCCCATTCTGACATAACAGTATTAGAATACTGAACATGTAGTCAATACATGGCCCCTGAGGTGGTGGTAGTCTTCGTGGACCAGGCCACGTTCTACGATAAGCATTGTGACCTGGAGAGCCTGGGCATGGTCCTCTACATCATGCTGAGTGGCTACCTGCCCTTCGTGGGTCACTGCGGGGCCAACTGTGGCTGGGACCGGGGTGAGGTCTGCAGGGTGTGCCAGAAAAAGCTGTTTGAAAGCATCCAGGAAGGCAAGTATGAATTTCCTGACAAAGACTGGGCACACATCTCCAGTGAGGCCAAATGCCTCATCTCCAAGCTCCAAGCTCCTGGGGCGAGATGCGAAGCAGAAACTTAGCGCCGCCCAAGTTCTGCAGCACCCACGGGTGCAGGGGCAAGCTCCAGAAAAGGGACTCCCCACTCCGCAAGTCCTCTAGAGGAAGAGCAGCACAATGGACCTGACACTCTTCGCAGCTGAGGCCATCGCCCTTAACTGCCAGCTATCTCAGCACGAAGAGAACGAACTAGCAGAGGAGCCAGAGGCACTGGCTGATGGCCTCTGCTCCATGAAGCTTTCCCTTCCCTGCAAGTCACCCTGGCCCGGAGGACAGGAGCCCAACCACAGCACTCTGAAATGCTCCAGTCACACCTTATAGGCCCTAGGCCTGGCCAGGCATTGTCCCCCTGGAAACCTGTGTGGCTAAGGTCTGCAGAGCAGGCAGCAGCGTCTGCTCTATGGCTCCATTCAGGCTTTTTCATCTACGAAGGCCCTGAAGTTCCCACCAACCCCCCATTTCCCTAGGGTCCTCGAGGAAAAAGCTTTTTCCAAAGGGGTTGTCTTTGAAAAGGAAAGCAATCACTTGTCATTTTGCATAATTGCCTGCAGCAGGAACATCTCTTCGCTGGGCTCCACCTGCTCAGCCGCCTGCAGATCTGGGATCCGGTGTGCCCTCACCGCTCTAGCGGTGGCTGGGGCTGCAGCCTGCAGGGAGAAGCAAGAAGCATCAGTTGACAGAGGCTGCCGACCCGTACCTGTTCCCTCTCTGCTCTGTCACCCTCCTCTGGCGGTCCTTCCACCTTCCTCTGTCCTCTGAATGTCCTCTTTGCCCGTCTTATCCCTTGGCTGAGCAAAGCCATCCCCTCGATTCAGGAAAGGGCAAGGAGCCTTCCTCATTCAGGAAATCAGATCAGTCTTCCGGTCTGCAGCACGCAGAAGCACATAATCTGTCTCCCTCATTTATCATTCCCTTTGTTTGTGATTGCTGCTAAAGTCAGTATTATTTCTTTTTTTTAAGTTTGTTGTTGTTGTGTGTTTTGTTTTGTTTTTTGAGACGGAGCCTCGCTCTGTCTCCCAGGCTGGAGTGCGGTGGCGCAATCTCTGCTCACTGCAAGCTCCGCCTCCCATTTTCACGCCATTCTCCTGCCTCAGCCTCCGGAGTAGCTGGGACTACAGGAGCTGCCACCACGCCCAGCTAATTTTTTGTATTTTTTTTTTTTTTTTAAGTAGAGACAGGATTTCACCGTGTTAGCCAGAATGGTCCTGATCTCCTGAGCTCGTAATCTGCCCGCCTTGGCCTCCCAAAGTGCTGGGATTACAGGCGTGAGCCACTGCGCCAAGCCAAGTTTGGTTTTTTAACCATGCTGTTCCAGCAAAGATGGGACCTCAAACTACCACTGCAAGCCCATGGACTTCCCAGAGAGGGTAACGGCTTGCTCTTCTTTCTGGAATGTCCATGCATTTGGGTTTTGATCAGCAGTTCCCTATTGCTCTAACTGATTTTAAGCTGTTCCTATGACAAACTTAGAGACAGCGTCGGTGTCTGCTGCTGTGTCCCCAGGTATTGTGTGGGTGGCACAGATCTGGGCAGTTAGATGGAGCTCTATGCATGAGATGAAGCCACACTGGCGTGAAGCCTCGCTGCCCTGTTTGAGTGAGGCAGTCCCTGCTGCCCGAATGCGTGAAGGTACAGCCATTCAGGTAAGCTGAGCTATTGAGTTACATAGAGGAAATAGATTTGCATTTGTCAGGCAGACATTTATACAACACCACGATGTTTTATACATTATGCTTGTTTTAATAAAACTGAAATTCTAAAAAAAAAAAAAAAAAAAGAAAAGAAGATGTTTAAAGATCCTGTATATAATCCTGAACCACTCCATACACTGAAATGGCTCAATTAATGCTAACTCTTGTAGAGACTTGTAAAAATTATTTATAATTCATTTCTACCAAGTAGCATCTGAGGGTTGTGTTGGAATTTTCCCAGGAATTAGGGGCTGTATAAAACATCCAACTTACTAATAATGTTACCCAACTGCATTATTATCTTCTGTCCCCTATCTCTACAGAGAAAAAAAAAATGTACTATTTAGGAATTACATTTGTGTCTGAAAAGGGATGACCCTTCATGTTTTAGAATAACAACATCTTCACATCAGCAGGCAGTGATGTAACAATTAGGGCTTTTTGAATGGTAGGCTAAGGTGTAGTACAGGAGACTTGTCTTTGAATCAGATAAAATTGATTTACCATCTGATATATTTTGGCTGTGTGCCCACCCAAATCTCATCTTTAATTGAACCTCCCATAATCCCCATGTGTCATGGGAGGAACCTGGTGGAAGGTCATTGAATCATGGGGGCGGGTTTGGCCCTTGCTGTTCTTGTGATAGTGAATAAGTCTCACAAGATCTGATGGTTTTATAAAGGGCAGTTCCCCTGCACATGGCTGTCTTGCCTACTGCCATGTAAGATGTGCTTTTGCCCCTCCTTGGTCTTCCACCATGATTGTGAGGCTTTCCCAGCCAGGTGAAACTGTAAGCCCACTAAACTAAACCTCTTTTTTTTTTTTTTTTGAGGCAGAGTCTCACTCTTGTCACCCAGGCTGGAGTGCAACGGCATGATCTCCACTCACTGCAACCTCTGCCTCCCAGGTTCAAATGATTCTCCTGCCTCAGCCTCCCAAGTAGCTGGGATTACAGGCACCTGCTACCACGCCTGGCTTTTTTTTTTTTTTTTTTTTTTTTTGCATTTTTAGTAGAGATGGGATTTCACCATGTTGGCCAGGCTGGTCTCGAACTCCTGACCTCAGGTGATCTGCCCACCTCGGCCTCCCTAAGTGCTGGGATTACAGGCATGAGCCACCGTGCCTGGCTAATCCTTTTTTTTTTTTTAAATAAATTACCCAGTCTTGGGTATATCTTTATAGCAGTATGAAAATGGACTAATACAGCATACTAATTCCGCCACAAGTCGTAAGAAGAGTAAGTTAACTCTTTGGTAATGTGAGAATAATAATGACCACTTCATGAAGTTCATATGGTCATCTCATGGGATAATGCATATGGCAACACCTAGTTTAATGCCTTAGATACAGTGGGCAACAGAGTAATAAATGTTTTAAGTAGCACATGCATAAATACTACCACCTTTGTCCTTTTTTTGTGGATGTAGGCTTGTATATTTAAATGGTAGATAAAAAATAAAATGAAGAAAGTGTGAACACTAGGTTGTTGACCTATTTACACAGTCATAATGCCTAGCACAACTGCTTGTACTTAGCTTCACATTCTATTGTACAGATTTGGGCAGTTTGTTGTAATTTTTATGTTTTTTTACAGGGTTTAGTACTCTGTAGATGGTAAGCAACAAATACAATAGAGCACATTTTATGCTATTTATAGGTCTAAAATATCTCTTTTAAAACAATTGGTCAAACAGACTACAATTTATAGTGGCATATGTTAAGTTACCATCTATAGTCTAAGGTTCAGAATATTTTTTTCTTGGTGAAGCAGCACTTTCTTTTTATCACCCATCCACTATTTTTCAGGATTTAATAAATTTTGCATAATACAAAACACAGGCATCTACTACAAAGCCAGGATGTCTGTTGGTATTACACACATACACCTGTGAATATACACACCTATTAACAAGCCCTTGAAATATTCACATAGTCACATTGCTCATCTGAGGAAAATCCATATCACTGTACATGGCTTATATGTAGTGAATAGAATTATATAATATATGTGGCTTTTTGAAACTTATTCATATGCTGTAAATAAATGATATTATTGCAGTTGCCAAAGGATTTTGCCTCAGTCTCACTCAGCCTCGTCCTTAAAAATCAGGAGTGCACAGGCCAGTTGTGGTGGCTCATGCCTGTAATCCCCACATTTTGGGAGGCTGAGGCCGGTGGATCACAAGGTCAGGAGGTGGAGACCATCCTGGCTAACACAGTGAAACCCCATTTCTACTAAAAATACAAAAAATTAGCCAGGCGTGGTGGCGGGCGCCTGTAGTCCCAGCTACTCGGGAGGCTGAAGCAGGAAAATGGCATGAACCTGGGAGGTGGAGCTTGCAGTGAGCAGAGATCACACCACTGCACTCCAGCCTGGGCGACAGAGCGAGACTCTGTCTCAAAAAAAAAAAAAAAAATCAGAAGTGCACAGATAAAATGTATTATCTTTAGTCATAGAAGTCCTAATTCTGGACCAAAAATATTTACTTGTTAATTCAGTGTAGATCCAATGTGACTGCAATGTAAGAATGGATGGTACTCTGTCTCATCAATAGTACTATTATTTTTCCTATGGCTCCAAGTGCCAATCAGTCAAAGAAAATCTCCATCTCTGTTGCATTTACGTTTCTGAAATCTTCATTTCCTAGAAAGAGGTACAAAGGTAAATAATTACAATAATGATATGGCCTCAGAAGGTTATTTTTAAGTAACCATCAAAAAGGACACATAATGTTCAGACCCAAATTTAATATATTATAATTTAAAAATGTAGGATTTGGCACACAGTAGGCTTAGTTCTTGCCTTTTCCTTGATAGGAAAAGTTGAGCATGTTCTATAGACTTTGATCTCAGAGTCTTATTCTGTAATCTGAATAGAATAGTACTTCCCACGTAGATCATCCTGACAGTGACCCTGGATGAGTTCACTGAAAAGTTTATCATGCAGAGCCTTTTCTTCTTTCCCTTGAGTGCCGTCAAGTTAACTGTGGCAATTACTATAGGAATCGGAAGGGCAATGGGCCTGGGATAGTATGACCTCGGTAAAACTTTGTTTCTTATCAGTTAATATTTGTTTCACCTGGACAAGTCACTTAATCCCCCCAAACTATAGTTTATTCATTATAAGAATTCTTCAAAAAAGAAAGAAAGAACAGTTTCTTTCCTAGTTTGACTACCTCACTAGTCTGTTGAAGGTAAATAAAAAACTAGATTTCAAAGTGCTTTGTAAACTGTATCAAAAAGCCTTTAAAGAATATAGCCCAGGCCAGGTGCGGTGGCTCACTCCTGTAATCCTGGCACTTTGGGAGGCCAAGGCGGGCAGATCACGAGGTCAGGAGATCAAGACCATCCTGGCCAACACAGCAAAACCCCATCTCTACTAAAAATACACAAAGAGTTAGCTGGATGTGGTGGCAGGTGCCTGTAGTCCCAGCTACTCCGGAGACTGAGGCAGGAGAATCGCTTGAACTCAGGAGGCAGAGATTTCAGTGAGCCGAGATCACGCCACTACACTCAAAAAAAAAAGAATATAGCTCAGCAGTTAACTGGCAGGGACTTCCAAGTTGTTTTGTTAAATAAACAATGTTGATATGTTGGGAAATATGTAAAAAATGTTTGATTTTAAACAATGATAAAAACTATACATACGCCCATATATAAAAATATATTTTTATAGTATATTTGTATCTATATATTTACATGTAAATACATCTGTAGATATATAATGGTGGAATTCCATCAGCATAGATAAATATCAGCAATCCTTACATGGGCCAGGTAAAGTAAGGATGGTGGAAGAAGAGAAAATATTGGCATTAGAACAGCAAACAAACCGAAAACTTACAAAACAATTTCCTGAAAATAAAAACTATCTATATCCAAGATAAGTATATGTGTGTGATATAATCTATGTTAATCTGAAGTATATAAATATTGTTTGCATGTTTTTGTTTATAGACATAAACTATATAAGGATAATCACCAAACATTAGTGGTAGCCATCTCAGAGTGAAATATGGTGGAGGAATATGTTTCCATTTTATTCCTAAACATAGTTAGTATTTTTCATTTTTGTTCAATGAGCACATATTATTTATAAAATTTTAAAAATGCACGTTTTTATTGTGAAAACCAAAACACATTTACTAACAAATCCAAGGAATTATTATCCACTATACCAGGCATTTTTATAACCTATGTTCTGTTATTTCTCCTACTTTTCCTACTGTAGACATTATTAGTTGATTATAACCTCCTTTCTTATTAAGACTAGACACAACCTCATAATTCTTCCTCACACAGTGCAACAGGAGCTACTATTAAGTGATGAGAGATGGTCAGTTAAATGAAATAATGTCTCGCTATCAAGGCATTAATTTACTTCCTTGAAGGGATAACCCTGGATTTTCATTTCTGCAACTGCATTGCATCAGCAACATTTTAGCCAAATGTGTGCAGAACAAATGAGTATTTTATTAAGATAATAATTACAATTTAAACAATGGTTATTTTCACTAATGATATTAGGCAGTAATTAATACAAAATTAATTGTTCACATATGTCAATCTTCAACAGGGAAAAGGTCAATGAAAATAAAATGATATTTAAAAAGAAAACTCCTAACATAGAAAAATTAGACACATAGATCAAAATTGTGTGGTTATGCTCCCATTACTGCTGAAGAAACAGTAAGATATTCACTTATTGGTGAAATAGATTATGATTTCAGTGAAATTATTTAAAGCAAGATTTCCAGCATGACATTGCTCTCTAAATTCATAGTAATTTTCTGTAAATAACTGTACCTCAGACTCATTTGCCTTATCTGTAGAATGGAACTAAAGCAATCCCTCTCCTTCCTCAAAAGATTGAATACATGTGAAAATGCTCTGCTAACAACTAAGCAAGATAAAAATGTAAATAATTGTGATTATAGATGGTTACTACTGCATGTCATTTATATAAGAAAAATGACATGCCAGTCATAACAAAACTTGGTAGAATTGGGTAAAGGTGATCCTCTTGGGAGAAAAGATGGTTTCTGTACGAGCAACTTAGTTTTGTCTTTTGATTAGGCATCTTCAAATTGTTTAACATCATAATCAATTATGGATAATGACAATTGCATCCTGTAACTGTGCAATAAATGGTTGTGGTGTTGAATTGCATAGGGGAGGGCCAGGAGTATATATCTTCAGATTCTTACTTTATTAAAATTCAAAATTCAAACGTTTTGAAGCCTTCTATTACTATTTGTAAAATGGAAAAAAAAATCAAGACACATGGAATAAAATGGTTAAGAATACAATTTGTTTAGATAGTTTGAAGAAATGACTTGTTTGATTATAGCTCCCTAGATTCCTTTACATTAGTAAACATTGTCTGATAAGCCACAGTATATAAACCTTGTGTTGGATTGTTTAGGAAACACTGTGGGAGAAACAAAATACTCAAAATAAGTTAAATTTGAGGTGGTTCATAAGTGTCTTTATAAAGATAAAATGCATAGCAGGGGCTCAGATTTTAGTTTTATCTAACATATATTCATTCAATAGTTACCCTGTACTAGGAACTGTGGTAGTTTAAGATACAGTTCTTCCAATAAGAGAGATAGATTTTAGAGAAAAGAAATGATACACTATTAGGACTGCACAAAATGATATTTCAGAAGGAATCCTAGGGCATATAGCTGTACAGAGAAGACCCTCCCTCTGCTATCTACACACAACAATTCTATTAGTTCAGACAGGAAAGACTTTTTGAATGAGGTGATCTTTGAGTTGCGTTTTAAAGAAGAAGAAAACAGCTGAATTAGAGAAACAGAGCCAAAGAATGAAAGGGTGAATCAAAGAAAAGGCAAGAGTAAAAGTAAAATTTCATTCAGCTCAAATTTTGAAGTCAGTGCCTTTTAAATATATTAGGTATGTAAAGGTGAGATACATATTATTTTGTCCCACTATTATTTTATTTTCATTTTTTATGTATGCTCTATAGAGGCCCAGTATAATTAAATGGTATGTCAGGATTGGAATTCAATTCCATTCTGATCTCTCTTTCATTTTCTTAATATTAACACTTCTTTCTATTTCAACTCCTTACTTCTTGCAGACATGGAAGAAGAAATAAGCATAAAAGCCTTAAATTTTCTTTCTAGTAGTAAGAGTGAGATTAGAATTTTCCATACTAATTTTTCTTTTTCTTCTAAGACCAAGATAGGGACTTACATAAGGGTTAGTGGTGCCTAAGGAAAACGTGAATAAAATGCTGATCACTGACCATTTCTTATCAAGTTGAGGTCCTAATCAGTCCTCAGTTTCTTTCAGAAAATATTACCTTGTGGGTAGAATATTGTCAAACATCATGCCAGAATATCTTGCAGAAGAGGGGCAAATAAGGAAATATTCTCAGAGAATGTAATAAATGCTACAATGTAGACCAGTACAAAGTACTGAGGAAATGACCAACACTGTGAGAATGCTGGGGAGGGTGTCATGGGAAGATCATATTTAAGAGAGGTTTTAACGGATAAACAGGCATTTCTTTTTCAATGTAGAGGGGGAATAGGACATACTCTATTTTGAGTGAACCTCTTAAATGAAGACACCACAATGTGTGAGTGGTGTTTTGAGTGAAGAATAATCAACCTGCAGTCTGCCACTAATGGGCATTTAGACTGATTCCACGTCTTTGCTATTGTGGATAGTGCTGCAATAAACATATGCATGCATGAGTCTTTATGATAGAATGATTTATATTCCTTTGGGTATATATCCAGTAATGGGATTGTTGGGTCAAATGGTATTTCTGTTTTTAGGTCTTTGAGGAACTGCCACACCCTTTTACACAATGGCTGAACTAATTTATGCCCCTACGAACAGTGTATAAGTGTTCCTTTTTCTCCACAACTTCACCAGCACCAGTTATTTTTTGACTTTTTAATAATAGCCATTCTGACTGGTGTGAGATGGTATCCTTAGCAAACGGACGAATAGTTAACAGGAACAGAAAACCAAGTACAGCATGTTCTTACTTATAAGTGGAGCTAAATGATAACACGTGGAGGCAAACAACAGACAACGGGGCCAATAGGATGGTGGAGGGTAGGAGGACGGAGAGGATCAGGAAAAATAACTAATAAGTATCAGGCTTAATACCTGGATGATTACATAATCTGTACAACTAATCCCCATGACACAAATTTACCTATGTAACAAACCTGTATAGGTACCCCAAACTTAAAATTTTAAAAAGATATTAATTTATGGGACTGTCTATACTGCTAGGTAGAATCTGATTGTGTCCTCCCTAGTATCCCAGAAGTCTAGCAGAGGAAGATTGCTTCGGGGCTGTTTGGAAAGACACGATGATGGCTTCATTTTTTCTTCTAGCATGATGGATCAGTATCAGTACAGGATGCACTGGTCAACTGACCATCAGTGGAACAAAATCACTTAAGGACATTCATAAAGGATAGCTGCTCTCTCTAACTCTGTTTCTCTTTCTAGACACACACCACATTCACACACACATGCGTGCGTGCACACACACACACACACTTACACACTCCTGATTGTTTCTATGGCTATGTTGATGCACAGTCTGAAAATTACATGTGACACATATCTTGATTCTGCCACTTATGAATTTAAAGGTCAAGAGTAAGTTAATCCATCTTTCTGAGCATTCATTTTTCCTCATTTGTTAACTGGAGTGATAATACCTCCCTACCAAGGTTGCTGTGAGAATTTAAATATAAACAATATATTTGATAACCCTTGACATAATCTAACAGACAGCAAGTGCTCAGTAATTTTTTCTTCCTTTCACTTTCTTGAGGGAAATTTTTTGTAGCTTACAGATTCTTGGTCACCAATACCAGGGAAATAAATTACTTCTCTGTATGACAAAAAGAGGTAAAAGTACAGATGATGGGTACAGTATTCTTACTGTGCATGAATACCACTGACACTTATTAGGTCCACCCCAGGTACCAGACACTTTGGTTAATCTTGGAGACACAGGATTGTGAAGGAAAAGACCCCTTCCTCAAACAACTCACAACCAATTAAGAGCAAGACATACATGAATCACAGAAAGTTAGGTAACAAAATGGAATTAAAACTCAGAATAGACTTGCTTACAAAATCTCTAATGGGTCCAACACTCATTAATATGTCTAGAACACTTGTTGCTAGATGATATTTAATTAGTGAATGAATTTAGACTAAAAACTTGATACAGTTCTGTGTCACTCAGGAAATCAGTTTGTGTGGGAATATTTTCAGACCAAAGAGCATGAATCAATTTCACTAACCCCAAATAAAAGATGCATTTGAGAAAACAGGAAAGTACTGTCATCTGAGAGACAGTTATTTTTTCAACTTAATTTTGTTTCTTATTTTGTCTGTCTTTTCTGAAGATTAAGACTAACTCCTTTTTTTCCCACCTAGCTTTGACGTTTGTGTGTAGGGTCTGTAGATGGTATAAAAATAACTTTTTCAATAATATATGCTGTTTCATATAGACAGAACTCTCTCAGTAAAATATATATGAGAACATTTCTTCCAGCCACCAGCTATGATTCATTTATTACCCAGTTGGCCAGAGTTCTTGGGAAAAGAGAATGGTCATTTCTCTCAACATCCACCCCACAATTCTCCAACTTTTACCCTTTTTCTAGTAATAATGCCAATCATACCTTATTAGATATTTTCTTACCCCCACCCCTCAACCAAAGTGTTTTCCTGCTCCACCTGCCATTCTGACTCAGTGATTATTTTCTGGTATTATAAAACCAGACCAAATTTTGCTTAGAAAATGTAAAGTAAAATCTTTAAAAGGGGTGCTTTTAAATGGTGCTTATTGATAGCTACTATCATTTTTCTCAAGCAACATTCCTTTGATGTGGCAGACGTAATTTCAAAGGATTTTAGAAACATTCAGATGTTCAACTGACTTTATATATTGACACAGTACAATCAAGAATTTCACTGTGAGCCTTCCATTTGCCATAAATAATATAGTATGCAGTCAACAGAGGATAGACAACCAATAGGGAACTATTAGAAGGGGTCTGCAGTAATTTTTAATGTCATAGTATATTTCTGATGCTATCAAAGACTAAACCAAGAAAATGTTCAGATAAGAATAAAAATTCATATAGTAGGTCAGTTTGTTTTGAGTTAATTAGAATTAGAATTAGAATTAATGATACAGGTGAAATAAACAGAGGTAGCAACTTGGCAATAATGTCTATACTCCAGCTTTAGAAAGGTACAGTTCAATGATCATAATAATCAGAAATATGCTAATGGACGTTTAAGAATAAATGCAAATGGCTCTCCTGGGATGGATATTTTGAATGTCTGTACTACTTTGATTAATACTGTTATGACAAAAGGCGCAGTCCATAGTTGCAAGTACAGTAAGGTCTTGTGTTCTGAATGAGAAATGTTAGGAATTAGAAAGTTTTCTTCTCTTTAATATTAAGTATGTTCTTTTTGATGACATTCCTTTCTAAACCAGCTTTCGGGCATACTTACAGAAGCGTTAAAGAAAATATGATATGTTTAAATTATATAAGCATAAAGCTGAAAGGGACCTTTTTAGTCTAATATTTTACAGATAATGGGAGTGAGATTTAGAGAAATGAGGGAATTCTACTACAGCCACACAGATAGTTGATAGCAACACCAGAATAGAAATAAACGTCGTTCCACTACTGCAAAAATATATTGGCAGCTTGGAGTTCTCCTCTTTCTACACAACCAACCTGCCCCTGTGCTAGCTCACCTCTTCCTTCATCACCACTATAAATTGCAGTTGGAGGCAGTCACTGAAAAATAAAAGGAAGGAAGCTAAATTAAAAGTCAAATATTCGTGTTACTTTCTGATGCTCAGTTCTACTTAACTTATTCCCCAGGTGAAACTTTAAGGAAAAAATTTTTATTTTTTAGTTAACATAAAACACTTGTTTGAAATCTAAATTCAGGATGGACACGGTGGCTCACGCCTGTAATCCCAGCACTTTGGGAGGCCGAGGTGGGCAGATCACTAGGTCAGGAGATCGAGACCATCCTGGCTAACACGGTGAAACCCTGTCTCTACTAAAAATACAAAAAATTAGCTGGGCGCGGTGGCGGGCGCCTGTAGTCCCAGCTACCCAGTAGGCTGAGGCAGGAGAATGGCGTGAAGCTGGGAGGCGGAGCTTTCAGTGAGCCGAGATCGTGCCACTGCACTCCAACCTGGGCGACTAGCAAGACTCCGTCTCAAAAAAAAAAAAAAAAAAAAAGACATCTGAATTCATAGCAAAATATGATGTTTATAAAACAAGTTTCATATGTCACTGAAAAAAAGTCTCCAAGGATCCTTTGCCTGTAGAAATATTTTTCTTGTTCTTCATTCTTCTCTAGACTTTATAGTACAGTTGTTTCTCTGTATTAGTGTGCAGCTGAGCTCAGGATCTCCCATGAACACTCAAATCTAAGATGTTGCACGTTCTTCATATAAAATGACAGAGTATTTGCATATTACCTGGGTACCTCTTCCCCTATACTGTAAATCATCTCTAGGTTACCTATAACACTTAACATGATATAATCATACATGTTCAGTACAGAAGAAACCTTTTTCTAAATATTTTTGATCCATGGTTCATTAAATCCACACATACAGAATCCATGGATACAGAGGGCCTACTCTATGTAGAAATTGTTTTCAAGATCAATCTTGTAAGAAAAATTCTAGTAGAACATGAACATATGGAGATAGTATGCTTTAAACCTTGTAAGATGATTTTTACATTGCACTTAGCCTTTTATTCTGCTTTTTGGAGTTAATGGTTAAGTGATGTATTAGCTTTTTTTTTTCATCTTGCACATGTGGAATGGGAGGTGAGTTTGATAAAACAACTGTACGAGGGAACAGCTGGAGACACTATGTCATAAATGCCCAATGTATAACAGGTAGACTCCTTAATCGGAGTCCTAAATACTCTGCAAAAATCACAAAGTAGTTTAGTCTCTTGCCTTTATAACTCCAGAAAATATCATCTACTACCATAGTTTTCACTACTACCTATACCTCTTCACAATGCCAGAATGTCCTACCGAACATTCATACCCAAGGCTCTTCAAATTTAATGTGTCCAAGTGCACACATTACCTTTTCCCTTATTTTCCTTCTGGTCCTCTTAGTTTCTATACAGTTCAGCCTTACCAGAAATTCTGAAAATCAACAAGCTCTCTATGTGTTCTCTTTTCTTTCAACTATCACTACCTTAGTGCAGACTTTTCTTGTTCTTTATTTGGACTAATATTTAGATACTTCAACTACTCTCCTCCCTATCCTCTCTTTTTTATAACAATTATTCTGCCATTGATGTAAGAGTATTTTGCGAAAATTTAAATCTGTGCATGATCTATCCTGGTTTCTAATCACCCAATGGCTTCCTATCATCTGCAATTTAATTTCCAAATAATTCTTAGTCATAGCTCCATGATAAACAAAAGCAAACTTAAACTAAATTCCCATTGTTCGGTAAGCTTGGAAATGCTGTGTATTTAACTTCCTTTAAACAATTAGTGTGTCAAAATATTTGCAAACGGAGCCATATGAAAACCTGCTTGACTCAGTTGGGCACAAGTGTCTTATAATTAATTCTATATACACATGTTCAGCCACTTCTCTTGTTACCCTACTCTTACATTTTTTACAATGTACTATGCCTTACCACGTATTTGTTGTTTGGTCTCTGTAAGAGCCTATGAAAAAAATATGTTACCCTTGAAATATCTCAAAGTATACCGTTGAAAACAGGTACTATCTTTTCTGTATCTCTATATCCCCATTACCTACAATGCCTGGCACACAGTAGACTCTCAGTGAACATGTGATGACAGAATAGGTGGAGGGATGGGTGATGGTAAACTGATAGGCTGCAGTCATGCATTATTCTAGACAATGAGGGAGAAAAGCTCTACAGCAAGTTTGTCCAACCTGTGGCATATGGCCATATGTGGCCCAGGACAGCTTTGAATGCAGCCCAACAAAAATTCATAAACTTTCTTAAAACATTACAAGTTTTTTTTTGAGATTTTTTAAAGTTCATCAGCTATCATTAGTGTTTGTGTATTTTATGTGTGGCCCAAGGCAATTCTTACTCTTCTGGTGTGGTCCAGAGAAGCCAAATGATTGGACACCCCTACTCTATAAAGTATGTTCAACAAAACAGTTTGTGTAGAGAGACAATGGCAAGTGTCCATGGCTTTTTGTTCGGTTACCATTTCTTGCCTGAGGGGATATTTACCCTTCACATCTGAGGCTTCTCTGAAGGGACACACCAGCCATGAGGAGGTCGTCAGTGAGATACCTTTCTTTTGGAGAAAAAGGAAGATTTCAACTCAGCCTTGGTTTTAGCCATTTTCTCCAGAGATCTTGCCTGTTTCTTCTTTGTTTTGTTTTTATTTTTTTAATGCAGGGAAGTGAATTCTCAGTTGAGAAGACTTCATATTTCACAATATTCTAAATAAATATTAACCTCGAGGGACTGTTTTTGTTGTTGTTGTAGTTTTTGATTTTTCTTTTTTTTCTTTTTTTTTTGAGACGAAGTCTCGCTCTTTTTCCCCAGGCTAGAGTGCAATGGCGCGATCTCGGCTCACTGCAACCTCCGCCTCTCAGGTTCAGGCGATTCTCCTGCCTCACCCTCCCGAGTAGCTGAGATTACAGGTGCCTGCCAGCACGCTCAGCTAATTTTTGTATTTTTAGTAGAGACGGGGTTTCACCATGTTGGCCAGACCTCAGGTGATCTGCCCACCTCGGCCTCTCAAAGTGCTAGGATTACAGGCATGAGCCACCACACCCGGCCCATAGTTTTTAATTTTTCATATAGTTTTTTGGCTTTTTAAAATTTGTTTATAGCTTGTGGGCTCAAAAATGTCAAAGATGACTACGGGTCAGTGAAAATCTGCAGAACAGTTAATTGAATTAGGACTCCACAGTCTGGGCAAGGGTATTTAAAATTTCTCTTTGTAACCCTCATTTGAGAAGTCATTCTCATATTAATTAAAAAATTAGGGCTCATGTATTGAGACTGAGTCTTACACAAATCAATTGCCTTATTTCTCTGCTTTGTAATATTCACTCTTTAAAATGTTGGGAAATAGAGTATATATTTGATGCTATAGGAAATAAAACTGTTTTACTGCTAATATATTCATGATAGCATCCCGTAAGGCTTCAATGAGACTGCATGAAGAATATTAAATATCATCTCTAAATAAGGAAACAAAGATTCTGTTAAGCAGGAAATAAGACATTAGGGAAGTTACAAACACATGTTAATTGAAAGAAACATAAACTGCCAAAGACTAAAATACCAGAATAGCTAACTTGGGTAAGGGCTATTATATGTATTTGCTAAGCATTGATGTTAAAGGAGGAGAGGAAAGATATTTAGACTGATTCAGTAAGTATAAAAAGTGAAATGTGATGGGGTTATTAAGTGGACACTTTTCACTAGGTGATCAGTAGTGACCTAACCTGCCCATGAAGATGAGGGTATAGATTACTCCTTGAGAACTGTAGTGAGAGATGTCGCTAAGATTTTTGGCTTTTTTGTTTTAAGTCATTTAATATTTGGCTCAATAGTTTTTGCTTTCTTTTTTTAATATAAAAGGGGACTCTAATCTTGGAGGAAATAATCATTTCCCGTGTGATTCAGTGATTCTTTTGTTTCTCTTGTATCCAAAATCACAAATTTAGAATTGAAGGGGACAGTAATAATAATAATAATGACATGTATAATGCAAAACTTATTTAGGTTTACAGAATGTTTACAGTTTGCAAAGCAATTGCATTTGTGTTCTCTTTTTGATGCACACCAAAACATCACAGAGCAGGTGACATTACCACCATTTCAATCAAGAGGATCCCAGAGATAGTGATTTTATGAAGACACAACTCAGTGTAGGAATTTTTTTTAAATAGCAACTACTGCCACCATATTTTACTGCCTGCTATATTACACAAATTGCCTAGGTACCTTATAGATATTTCTGTTCCTCATAACAATCTTCTGTAGTAAGGATTACAAGAGTGACTTACTGATAATAAAACTAAAAGTCAAAGTGGTTAAGTGACTTTCACAAGGTCACGCAATTAGTTTTAGAACAGTCTCGCCACCAGGTGATGTCCTAGCTTTTAACGGTGATGTTTCCATTTTTACCCTAAGAAACTGTCACCCAGGTCCTACTTACATACTTCCAGGATTAGACAACTTTTTGTGTACTTAGTATGATTTATTATCAACTATTTTGTAAAACATGTTCTTCAATGAGAATTTAAATTACAGCTCATTGTAAGATTGAATTAATATAGTCCCAAAGACTTCCTCTTCCACAGACAGCCTTTAATTCTGTAAGGAGATTTCAAGTATTCCAATATTAAATACAGCAAATAAGAAAATAATTGTTTTTGTTTGTACTGTGGACTTGAACCAGGCCATGATGCATCATGGTCCTCACCCATTGGCTCTTTAGTTATAGACATGTGATTTCAATGTCACTCACAACCTGAAAACTCTGGCAAGATCAACACTGCAGGTTGCTCTCATACTTGGCCTACTTCTATGAGATTTTCAAAAGCCCATCAGGCCCTCAAGTTTGTTAGGAATTTTAATAGGTCATTTCACCAGACATTTTATCACATACTTAAGAACCCTATAGAAATGCCTTACAAGTGAATGTAAGTATAGCAAAAACTGCAATTACTTTTGCACCAACCTAATACCTATAGTACAGAATGTAATGTACTCACAGGGATGGGAAACTCAATGCTGCCTATCCTCTGTTGAACTGAGAAAAGAGGAAATTAGCACATTTAATAATTACCCAAAACATATGGTTTTAATTTTCTTATTTGATAGGTGAGAGAGTCCAAACAAATTGATGCAAGTAGCACATCCCCAGTAGGTTTGTGCAAGTCTTTGAACCTAGATCTGACTCTTTCTTTTATATTACATTATCTAAGAAAAGGAAAACAAGCAAATCATTGCTGATCACTTCTATAACACAGACTGAATGAGATGAGGCTTTTTTTTTTTAAGTTCTTGTCGTGTGTGTGTATTTTTTAATCTATGTACTGGAGAGCTGGCATGAATCATTGGCCAAATAATGCCTGACTATCTCCAGAAAACTCAGAATGTTTGACTGATAAAATCAACATATAATGGATGGGTTTAGAAATATGAAGAGTCTCCTCAAAGAGAATGAATAGTTCCCAAGCCAGAACAAGACTTGACTCATTGGTATCAGCTGAGCTAAAGAAGAAAACTATGTTAAGAGAAAATAGGTTGTCAGCAATGGCAGCTGAGGAAAATGCAGAGAGAGGAAAACCAATGTTGGCAATGCATATCTGGACAGTGCCTAAGGAAAGAAAAATTGAATCTGGGTGATGTGAGCATTGTCTCAGAGGAGCTGAGTGTCCCTCTACAGTCCAATCCTCTCATATTACACACGCCCCTTCTGAGGAAGAGTCCTGCTACTAGAAGCACTCACTTCTGAGAATGTTGAATTGACCAAATTTTCTAGGAGATAGAGCCTTAACAGACTTAGTTTAAGAATAAGTCCTTATCAGGGTTCTTCTACTCTTTCTTGAAATAATTTATTTGCATAAACTTAGTAAGACAATCCTGGGTCAAGGACTGCTAATTCTACACGGAGGTGCTCCAAAGTCCAGATATTTCTAGGCTTTAGGGAAAACTATCTCCTTCACTATGAACGGAATGTTCAGAGTGGGCCATAATTTGAAACTGAAATAATACAATCCGAGATTTGGCGAAGGTTTAACTAAAAGACTTAGCCTGCTATGATGCTAGTGTTATATCAAACTAAATTTGGCCTGAGGATGTCTCCATACTCGAGTCCTGACATAACAAACTGCTACCTAACTTAGTGCATAAACTGAAAGCCTAAATTAGGAGTATACTTACGTAACAAACAGCTGAGGGTCAGCCAACCACAGCAGTTGAGCTTCAGTCAATTGCAGAGGGCCAACAGTTCAAACTATGTTCCAATAAGGCAAATGCTGAAATATAATCAATCGAGCTGTCTCTGTACCTCACTTTCATTTTTTGTACTTCATTTCCATTTTCTATCCATAAATATTGTCTGACGACGTTGCAGACCAGAGTTCTTTGAACGTGTTTAGGTTCTGAGGGCTGCCTAGTTTGTGAATTGTTCCTTGTTCAATTAAATTTTATCAAATTTAACTTGCTTAAGGTTTTCTTCTGTTAATACTAGGATGCAGACTGCCTCCAGCGTATTTGTATTAGTCAGGGTAGGCTAGATTATGGTGACAAATAGATCTAATTAAATGTGGCTAGCTCAACACAGTAGAAGCTTATTTATGTTCATCTTAATGACTGGTCCTAGTTTGACAGGAATAAGTTGGTGGTGTTATTTGTGTTTCGTTTTGCAGGAAGAAGCTCTTCTCCACACAGCCAGTCTTGAACCAAGACTATGACAGCTCTGGCATCCCCAATTCATAGTTCCCAAGGTTACCCTTGAGATCCTTTCCCAAGTTGAAAGGAGCAAAACTCATAAAGGAACATGTGGAAGGGTTTTATGTTCATCCCTACAAGTTGTATCACTTCTGATCATATTTCATTAGCTACAATTCAATTCTATTACCAATCTAACCACAAGGGACATTGGAAAATGTAGCCTGGCTGGGTTTCTGGGAAAAACAGGAGAAAAGATTTGCCAACACCATTTATTACCAACTTAGGCAAAATGAATTCTACCTGTAGATCAGCTAATGTTACAGAAGGAATATATTAGGGGTCAAATAGGGTTTTGTAAGTTATCCCTAAAGCATTTCATGTGTGTGTGTGTGTGTTTGTGTGTGTGTGTGTGTTTGTGTGTGTTCGCATTTCTTGTTGTTACAGCATTTTTCATCTTTTTCCTCCTGTCCTTTCTTCTCTGGTAAGGCTTATTGGAAGAGATAGGTTTTGGAGTGAGATGCTCTGGGGTTGCAGTCCAGCCAGCTCTTCTACGTTTCAGCTATATAGACTCACCAAGTTTTAGTTTCCTCATCAGTCAAATTCGGGCAATAATATGTAGGCACTAGAAGGCCAGTCTGGCATGAGATAGGATGTCAGAGAGATTCTGTGTTTTGGCCCCATCTGCTCATATTAGAAAAATCTGGTCACTAGAAAAATAGGAAATGAAATAACTTTGATCTTGACTTTAAAAAGTCACTTAATATTTTTATTCTTTATTTTTCTATATTACCTTTATTAAGATATGCTTTATAGACAACAACATTCAACAATTTTAAGTGTGCAATTTGATAAATTTTGACAAGTGTATACAGTGGTATAATGATAGTCATAATAGATAATATTAACATGTATTTCCAATACCCCAAAGCTTCCCTCATGTTTCCCTTCAGTCAATACATTCCCATTCCACCCCGGCCCTGATAACCATTGGTATCATTTCTGTCAATGCAGCTTTTCCTTTTGTATAATTTCATATAAATGAAATCATAACGTTTTTTTATGTGTGGCCTCTTTCATTTAGCTTGATGTTTTGACTTTTATCCATTCTTTGTGTATATCAATAATTTATTTTCAATGATGAATATTATTCTGTTGTATAGATATACTAAATTTATTTATAAATTCTATGCTTCAGGTCATACACATTTGTATTGTTTTTGGCTTGGCTAATGTGAATACATCTGCCACGAAAATTTGAGTACAAGTCTTTGTGTGGACATATATTTTCATTTCTCTTGAGTAAATACCTAGGAACTGGACTTCAATGTCCATCTGCTTTGTTTAAATGCTTAATAATTTATATGTGTTTGCTAGCCTGGCTTATATCTCTACATTGGGGAGGAAAACATTTTGCGTAAAAGAAAATAAATTTTGTTTACATGAATGGGATATGCCTCTATTAAATATTTAATACCTTGACTGCTTTATATAGTAATCTCTCAAGCTTGGCCAATGTGAATTTGCCAGACAAATAGCAATATAAGAGCTATAGTTAAGTTTCTTCCGTGTATTAAGTTTCTTAAGTTTCTTCCATGTATTAAGCACTGAACTTGGTAAGGTCTTAACAGTAGCAACAACAAGTATTTAAACCTTCACAACTCTGTCACTGAAAAATTTTTATGTCATTTTTAAAATGTAGAAACTTAGACATAGAGATTATTATACTTGCCCAAAGTAACTAATTAGAAAGGCGCACAGAATAAAGTCCAAACCCTGATCTACCTGACTTTCATTCCCAAACATTTTCCATTGATCTATGTTTTTGAAATTTCAAAGCTTCAGAAAACTTTCTGGCAATGGAGATCTCATTTGTGGTTTTGTCTGTAGGAAGAACCATCTGAGTGTCTTGCAGCTCCTCTCCCTTCACTAGGCATCCTTCTGCCTATGGCAGATTATGCAGAGCAGATATTGCCCGTTACTTTCTGCATTACATGGAGTCAATTTGGACCTTGACAAGTTATTTCCATCAGACTCTCAATACAAAATTTATGAAAATAGATATACTTAATATTTTAAATAATGAACGTTATAGCAATCCTAGATAATAGAGAAGTTTTCAAAAAATTAATCATCACCTCAAAAAGGCAACATAATCTCTCACAGTTGACAAACTCCTTAGCAACACAAACAAAGCCCTATAAATCCTCCTAACATTTTTCCCCTTCCCTTTAAGTGTACCATGTTAGGCTGACTCTAGATCATCTAAGTTTAATATCATTCATGATCTAGACAATGACAAAAAGAGGATAATAGGAGTTTTATGTATTTTAAACTGCCTTATCTTTATAAATAATATTGAAATTTCTCAGCTATTCTATCTATGCCTTGCGTGTAAGACAAGAATGGTGTTTTGCTCATAGAAAGTTCTCAAATAAGTACTTATTCTAGAGTACAAGGTCAATTTGTCACTTCCCCTTCCATTAGTTTTGATTATACCATCCTAGAATTATGAAGCTATTTTCTATTAATAAGGACTTTGTTTCAGCAATGGGTGAAGGAGAGAGTATTTGCAGATGTAACCTCAAATAGTATATCATGTGATTTAATAAAATAAAATAACTTCAACTATTTTCAATTTCATTATATCATTAAATTTATGATATTTATTTAGCAGGATGGGTGATCCAAGGAAGCAAGACATAGGTTCATTTGAGTAATACTAGAGGCAATAGTTAGGGAATTTTATAATTTCTCCACTGACAAACCAATATGTTTTTCCTACTTCCTCTCTGTTCTTCCCTTTCTAGTAAAGCTTACTGGAAGAGACACAGTCTTTGGAGTTGGATGATCTGGGATTGAAGGCTGGCTCTTTTGATTTATATCTACCTGAAGTCTTCAAGTTTTAGGTCTCTACTCACCAAAACAAAGATAATAATATCTACCTGTATGGCTGTTGTGAGAATTAAGTGGCTGCTTGTGCCACTCCCTAAGGTAGGAAACATAGGAGAGCAAGTTTAGGTGGGGAATATAAACTTTATTCCTGTGATGTGCTCAGGTGCCTGTGGGACATTTGTAAATTATTTAAAAGGTGGTGGGTGGGTAGGGTCAATCTGGGCAGCCAGATCAGAAGGGTAGAGATTTCTGAGGCATCAGATGGAATGACTGTTGTTTTCCCAAGGAGAGAATGTAGAGTCAGCAAGACTCTGGACACATAGGGTGGAGACCTGGGCACATCAGCATGTTAGGAGTGAGCAGAAGTGCCACAAAAGCAATGTAGAAGCTTCCAGAGAGGATATGCATAACCATGTTCTTCTGCATCTTTGTGGGCTAGAGTTGCGCACTGTGCTATTTTTATGAGGCTTTTGTTCAGTTGATTAAAAAAATAGTATCCTTGAAAAGAGCATTAGAGAACACCATGGGAAACTTATACTTGCCTAAACATTCAAGTTTTCTAAGTTGTTGACGACAGCTGGTTGAGCAGTCTTTTCTTCTACTCTCCAATTTACAGGGAAATGCTGCAAAGAATTTCTCACCAGCAGATGCTTTCCTTGTAGCAGAGGCTGCTTTGTGGGTGAAAGTGAAATGAGATCACCCAGGCTGTCTGATAGTGAAGTCTGCATCCTTGGCTTGATCTGGCCTCACTTTTGGCTCCATTTAATACATATCCTACTTATTGAGCATCTATCACATATTGGGTTGGGCAATTGGGACAAAATATGAGTGAGAACCAGTTTCTGCCAATGGAAATTTTACAATCTGGTGCAAAATTGAGCCATACCAATTTATGGAGACAAACATAAAAAAGAATGCCTAACACCACACCTGGCCCTGATTTTAAAATATTTTCTTTAACAGGAAGAGAGTTTTCAATTGTGTACCTTCTCTCTGTCTCAGGCAATATTAGATTTGTAACTGTATTACAGAAAAGGTATTATTACCTCCGTTTTTAAAAAGGGCAAATTAAGTCTAAGAGTCTTCAATTTGCCTAGGATTACAAAGCCAACAAAAGGTAAAGATAAAGTATTAGCTGGTTATATTGGACTGCAAAGCCGAGTTCATTGCACAACACTATTTAGAAATGCAGAAAACCAATTGTAAAATTTTAAATGAGAATACACGGTTTACCTGTTAAATTCAAGAGAGGAAGAGAGGACAGGGAGAAAGAAGGGAAGATGGTGAGGAGGAAAGAAAAAAAAGACAGGAAAAGGTAAGAAGAAAGAGAATGCAAAGAAGTAAAAAGAGTGAGGAAAGAAAGGTAAAAGAACTAAGAGATACAGGTGATAATGCTTTCCTGAGCTAAAGATAAGCATCCCTTCCAGCCAATGTTTATAAAAATTTCTTCCCCAGCGTTCAGAAGGTGAAAGAAGATCATTACTCAGTAGGACCTCTTCAAAGGGTGACTAAAAGCTATAGAGTTAATAATGTTAAAAAAATTAATTCCCAAAAATCAAGAAAAGCAGGAGAAATAAAATAAAGCTCAAAGGGAAAATAGAACCAAAGATAAAAATCAGACCATGCTATTACTAACTCAAAGACTTGAAACAAGAGCACAATAATATTTATAGACCTGTGGGCTGTGAAATGAAGGGATCTATTTCTCTGGCATGCATATGTCAAATGTAAATGTATGCGTGTATGGACTTCATAATTTGCCTATCCTACTTTTATTTGAGGATCTACAAAATGTGATAGAGAAATGTAAAACTTGAAGTTAGAAACCTTTGAGTATGGCTCTCATCTTTTACCCAATTATTTGGGAAAATAATTCATATCAACCTCAGGGTCTTCAACTGTAAAATTGAAACAATTAACATACAAGCCATATCTATGAAACTTGTTATGATCAATTATCTTGAATCAAATGAATTGAGGTAGTAGTGGCATAATGATTAAGATCATGGCTGTTTGGTAAGTACCAGGTTTGAATTAAGGACCTGCTGTTTAACACTAATCAAGCTGTTTTACTTCTGTAAGCATCATTCCCTTGTCTATAGAATGGGGATAATAACAGTACCTAAGTCATGAGGAGGTTATGGGAATTGTTTGAGATCATGTATATCATTGCCTCCTACAGTACCTGGTAAGCAGTAAGTTCTCAAAAAGTGCTATTTGATTATTGTAAGGATGATAGCAATGCATGACAATGACAAAGATAATCATCATAGTTATGGTGGGGAGGATCTAATAGCATCTGGGAAGACTTCCCTTACCTCATTCTTACCTTTGCAGGAGATACAAATGTCCACCTCGATGTTACTGTACAATTTTGAACATACTGAACATACTTTCACTATAGATCTTTGTTAAATAATGATACTGACAGGACAGAGGGAGTGATGATGCTATAAGATGTATTAGGCACAGTATAGGTAGATAGCACATTATCTATCAGCTTTTGATAAAGTACCTCAATCCTGAGCTGAGTCATATCAATACAATCTTTAAAAAGCTACTCTGAATGAAAACTCGCTAGCCATATGTAGAAAGCTGAAACTGGATCCCTTCCTTACACCTTATACAAAAATTAATTCAAGATGGATTGAAGACTTAAATGTTGGACCAAAAACCATAAAAACCCTAGAAGAAAACCTAAGCAATACCATTCAGGACATGGACACAGGCAAGGACTTCATGACTAAAACACCAAAAGCAATGGCAACAAAAGCCGTAATACACAAGTGGGATCTAATTAAACTAAAGAGCTTCTGCACAGCAAAAGAAACTACCATCAGAGTGAACAGGCAACCTACAGAATGGGAGAAAATTTTTGCAATCTACCCATCCGACAAAGGGCTAATATCCAGAATCTACAAAGCACTTAAACAAATTTACAAGAAAAAAACAAACAACCCCATGAAAAAGTGGGCAAAGGATATGAACAGACACCTCTCAAAAGAAGACATTCATGCTGCCAACAGACACATGAAAAAACGCTCATCATCACTGGTCATCAGAGAAATGCAAATCAAAACCACAATGAGATATACCATCTCACACCAGTTAGAATGGCGATCATTAAAAAGTCAGGAAACAACAGATGCTGGAGAGGATGTGGAGAAATAGGAACACTTTTACACTGTTGGTGGGAGTGTAAACTAGTTCAACCATTGTGGAAGACAGTGTGGCAATTCCTCAAGGATCTAGAACTAGAAATACCATTTGATCCAGTGATCCCAAGGGATTATAAATCATGCTACTATAAAGACACATACACACATATGTTTATTGTGGCACTATTCACTATAGCAAAGACTTTCAACCAACCCAAATGTCCATCAATGATAGACTGGATTAAGAAAATGTGGCACATGTACACCATGGAATACTATGCAGCCATAAAAAAGGATGAGTTTCTGTCCTTTGCAGGGACATGGATGACGCTGGAAACAATCATTCTGAGCAAACTATCACAAGGACAGAAAACCAAACACTGCATGTTCTCACTTATAAGTGAGAATTGAACAATGAGAACGCTTGGACACAGGGCGGAGAACATCACACCCCAGGGCCTTTCCTGGGATGGGGGTCACGGGGAGGGATAGCATTAGGAGAAATACCTAATGTACATGACGAATTAAGGGTGCAGCAAACCAACATGGCGCATGTATACCTATGTAACAAACCTGCACGTTGTGCACATGTACCCTAGAACTTAAAGCATAATAAAAAAAAAAAGAAAGAAAAAAAAACATACTCTGAACGGCCGCTTTCTCACATGGCCCTCTCCACCTTCAAACCAGCAATAGCAAGTGGAGTATTTTTCATTCTTTGAATCTCTCTGATTTTCTCTTCTGCTACCAGTTAACGACAATTCTGTGCTTTTAAAGAGTAATGTGATTAGATTTGGCTGATTTACTGAAGTAATCTCCCTTTCTGTGAACCAAAGGTCAATCGATTAGCAGCCTAATCATTGATTGATAGGCCTACTAATTGATTAGTAGTACGATTTTGACTGTATGTCTACTATAGATCTTATAACATAATCCCGTTGTCACTAAATTTCCTGCCCTTCTTTCCTGCCAATATGAGCATCATGAGGTTCTGTTCCCTCACTGCCTTAGACATAGTAGACTCTCAAAGAATATCTGCCAGCGGGGCGCAGTGGCTCACGCCTGTAATCCCAGCACTTTGGGAGGCCAAGGCGGGCGGATCACACGGTCAGGAGTTCGAGACCTTCCTGGCTAACATGGTGAAACCCCGTCTCTATTAAAAATACAAAAAAAAAAAAAATAGCCGGGCATGGTGGCGGGCGCCAGTAGTCCCAGCTATTCGGGAGGCTGAGGCAGGAGAATGGCATGAACCCGGGAGGCGGAGCTTGCAGTGAGCCGAGATCGCGCCACGGCACCCCAGCCTGGGCGACAGAGGGAGACTTCATCTCAAAAAAAAAAAAAAAAAAAAATCTGCCATAATATTCTGGGATTGCACACTTTAAACTCTAAAGCAGTAGAGGCATGCTCACTAGTGTAACTGTAGTTGTTTATATAGTTTTTTTTCTCCTTTTTTTTTTGTTTGTTTTTTGTTTTTTGAGACGGAGTTTTACTCTTGTTGCCCACGCTGAGGTGCAATGGCCCGATCTCGGCTCACTGCAACCTCTGCCTCCCAGGTTCAAGTGATTCCCCTGCCTCGGCCTCTCAAGTATCTGGGACTACAGCCATGTGCCACCACTCCTAGCTAATTTTGTATTTTTAGTAGAGACAGGGTTTCATCATACTGGTCAGGCTGGTCTTGAACTCCCGACCTCAGGTGATCCGCCCACCTCGGCCTCCCAAAGTGCCGGGATTTACAGGCATGAGCCACCACACCTGGCTCAATTTTTTTTTTAATAATAAGCACTCAGTGTGTTGTGAAGTTCTCCAGTATCACCGCCACCTGTGACTGCGAAAACAGCTGTTTTTTGTTTGGTATGAAAGCAAGCAGGAAGAAATTGACTTGGAACTGGAGGTATTTAATAACAGCACAAAAGATAAACAATATAAAACTTGTTGATGAAAATGTGGTCATAGAAGACTAGCACAACTATCTCCTGGGATCTCATTAGACAAGCAAAATCTCAGTCCCCACCTAGAACCTATTGAATTGGAATTTGCATTTAACCAAATCCTCAAGTGATTCCTCAGTTTGAGATGCCCTGCTCTAAAACCCTTGGCATAGTAACTGAAGTAGGCATGAGCTCTTTTTATGAATTATCTTCAGGAAAGGGCACTTGGAAGGAAGCAAACCTCTATAGATCAATTGCTATGTACCAAGCTCAGAATAGATGCTTTGATATGCATTTTACTTTAAACTACCCAGTGTTCTTATAAAGTGTATACTGTTATCATTCTTTTTTTTTTTTTTTTTTTTTTTTGAGACAGGGTCTCACTCTGTCACCCAGGCTGGAGTGCAGTTGTGCGATCTTGGCTCACTGCAACTTCTACCTCCCAGGATCAAGCGATTCTCCTGCCTCAGACTCCCAAGTAGCTGGGATTACAGGTGCACACCACCACACCCAGCTAATTTATGTATTTTTAGTAGAGATGGGGTTTCACCACGTTGGCCAGGCTGTGGAACTCCTGACTTAAATGATCCACCCACCTCGGCCTCCCAAAGTGCTGGGATTACAGACATGAGCCACCGCACCCAGCCATTATAATTCTTTTATAGACAAAACCCTGATGCTCAGTGACAATTAATAATGTAGTCAAGTCAAACAGTGAGCAAGTTGCAAAGTTTGAATATGACCTGATGATGCTACTTCAAATCCAGTATTTGCAGGAATCCTAAGCAGTCACATCAGGCTCGAATTTAGTGAACCTACTCTTAGTCTCCAAACCTCCCATCCAGAGCCATTACAGAGAAAACTACCTCTAACTGAAGTTGCGCATTGGAACACCTTGTTTAAAGGCCGGGCTTCAAATTCAGGCAGGTATGTGTTGAAATCTCAGCTTCTCTATTTATTTGCTATGAAACATTAATATTCCTGTACCCACACAGAAAAAATACTCCCTCCATAGGGCTGCTACAATGACTTAATATCATGTGCATAAAGCACTTGGCACAGTCCTTAATGGACATTAAATATTCAACAAACACTAGATGCTATTCCAATTAAACTATTTCTTTCTAAAACTTTCTCAATTTGATATAAATAACACTCCCAAAAACTCTTAATCAAAGTATTGCTTATTATTGTGTTTTATAGTCAATAGCTACTTGTTAAATATACTTGGTTATTTCAAAAGAACTCAAAGCAAAATATCTAATTCCAAACTCATTATTTCCCCTATTTATTGCACTATAGCTTAAGCTATCTTTGTCATATCAATTACTATATTATACTGTAATTATTTTTTATTCATACTGCAGTATGACTTATTTAATATCAGGCAGCATATTTTACTCATACTTTGAATGCAGTCCCTAGCACAGTGTCTTGCACATGAAAAACATTAAGTGATTTTATATGTTATTGGTCTAGATATGCTCATATCTTGGTATGACCATAGAAACAGCATTTTTAATTGTCTCAGAGGGAAATGCCATATTTTCTTTAGATCACACATTTGGTAACTATAAACTATAAACTATTCTATTATATAAACTATAAACTATTCTATTGGGGAAAGTAGACTATTCACTTAAGAGTCGAGTTATTATTAAATGCTGCTATATTCTCTTTTATTTTAAGACCTGAAAAGAAAATTCCTACTTGTAAAATATTACCAGTTTGTTAGGAAACAAACAAATAAATAGATCCACTGCAATTCTGGCTCTTTGGTATAAAGAATAGTTGATATAAGGCACAGGATAAGCTGCCATTATGTTAACTGAAACATCAATTCTTTTACAAGGAAGTAATATTCAATGATTATTTGACAAGAATTATATTTCCTCTTTCTTTGTTGCCACTAGTTGATTAATAATATATGAAAATTCTCAAGGGTATTAGTTTGGCCAGTCTCTCAGTAGAGCTTACATTATAAGGGTTGTGTAGCTGGACCTCAGATCTAAATCCATAATACAGACCAATAGTATTCTATTTCACAGAGGTGACATGGCAACATATGCAAGGTTTCAACATGAAGCCTCTTTGGACTTTATTGTTAAAAATGAGGAGCCTTTATTAACTACGCACCTCGAAGCTTAATGGTTGTGTTTTCTAAGAGGTAGAGTATCATGAACAGAATAAGCATTACAATGCAACTTTTCTAGGGTTTGAATCCCAGTTTAAATATACTCTAATTGTATGAAGTTACAAATTTACTTAATGTTTCTTATTCTCATTTTTACATTTATGAGACTGAATCTTCTAGGGCTATTGAGATGAAAATGAGGAACATGTATAGCAGGTAGGAGTGAGCACAAACAGTAGTTATTCTACTCTTTCCAAAGTGAATGGTGAATGTCTAGATTCTGGTCAAATTTTATCTACTATAAAGGAATATCAACATACACAGCAGAAGTTCCCATTACAAGACTCTGTTTCTATCTCTCTCTGTCTCTCTCTCTGTCTTTCCTTGCATGGACCGATATATGTGTGTCTAATTACATCAAGGTTTCCTATAACTAGGTGATGCATTTCCCTCTGAGAATTAGGTTTGTAAAGTCTATATATAATGCTTTAGATTAGCAGAAGTTGCCTTAAGGGATAGAATGTCTCCCAAATTAGAATGGGAAAGTAGAATCTAAAAATCTAATGAAGATATGTCTAAAATTAGAGTAAAGCTTATAAGATGATGATGATGACAGGGGTGATAAGGATAGCCATCATTTATTAAATACCTATTATGTGCTAGGCTCTGTAGCAGATGTTTTATAAACATTATCTGCAAAGCTTTGAAAATACCTACAAAGATATTGTTTCCATTTCAGTTCTCCAGAAACTAAAGTACAAGTAGTTTGAACTACTTTCTTGGAGTGAAACAACTAATAACTGGCAGAATAGGAATTAGAATTTAGATATTTTCTGACTCCACAGCTAGATGTAATAGACTACCATCGTACTCCATTGGAAGAAATGTCACGAAAGTATTCTTCCAAGAAACTACTAAAAGGAAACTTAAAAATCAAATAAAAAATGGTGTTGCATCTTAAGCATTATTTGAAGGAGCTGTCATTGCTCTGACTGGCTGGTATGGAATTCTGGTCACTTTACAGTTTTAGCCCTGTGTAGATGTAGATATAGCTGGTTAACCACATTATTCATTTTATAAGAAATAAACTTGGTTTTTGTGACTCAAAAATTCATGAACTTAATTATCACTGGATACATTGACCATGTTTCTGCATCTTCAGTGTTGAATCTAGTCTCTGAAAAGTGTTGTCCCATAAGGCCTGGACTACACCCACTTATCAATAAGTACAGCTTAGATCACTTAGCCAATCTTCTGCTGTGACATTGCTGGTTTTTGTTATGGTTAATAACATCTACCATCTTAAAACCACATGACAGTAATCTTCTGCTGTGACATTGCTGGTTTTTGTTATGGTTAAAAACATCTACCATCTTAAAACCAAATGACAGTCAAATGAACATTTTAAACAGATTTCACGGCATTTGGTATGTAGGTAATATATGCAAAATAACAATCTAACCAAAGAGAGTATTCACATCCTCTTTTAATTTTCCTATTTTTTTCTTTAACTTTCTTTTCCTCCCTACTTCAATAAAGGTAAAAGAATTGTTTCCTAGCTCACAAATATCATATGCATAAAGATTAAATAATTTCTCCGTGGCTCACGCCCATAATCCCAGCACTTTGGGAGGCTGAGGCAGGCGGATCACGAGGTCAGGAGATTGAGACCATCCTTGCTAACACGGTGAAACCCCGTCTCTACTCAAAATACAAAATATTAGCCGTGCATGGTGGCAGGCACCTGTAGTCCCAGCTACTCCGGAAGCTGAGGCAGGAGAATGGCCTGAACTGAGGAGGCGGAGCTTGCAGTGAGCCAAGATCTTGCCACTGCACTCCAGCCTGGGTGACAGAGCAAGACTCTGTCTTAAAAAAAAAAAGACAGTTCCAAGATGGCTGAATAGGAACAGCTCCAGTCTATAGCTCCCAGCGTGAGTGATGCAGAAGATGGATGATTTCTGCATTTCCAGCTGAGGTACCAGGTTCATCTCACTGGGGCTTGTGGGACAGTGGGTGCAGGACAGTGGGTGTGGCGCATCCAGCATGAGCTGAAGCAGGGCGAGACATCACCTCACCCGGGAATTGCAAGGGGTCAGGGAATTCCCTTTTATAGCCAAGCAAAGCTGTAACAGACGACAGCTGGAAAATCGTGTCACTCCCACCCTAATACTGCACTTTTCCAATGGTCTTAGCAAAGGGCACACCAGCAGATTATATCCCACACTTGGCTCGGAGGGTCCCACGCCCATGGAGCCTCACTCATTGCTAGCACAGCAGTCTGAGATCGAACTGCAAGGTGGCAGTGAGGCTGGGGGAGGGGCGCCTGCCATTGCTGAGGCTTGAGTAGGTAAAGAAAGTGGCAGGGAAGCTCAAACAGGGTGGAGCCCACCACAGCTCAAGGAGGCCTGCCTGACTCTGTAGACGCCACCTCTGTGGGCAGGGCATAGCCGAACAAAATGCAGCAGAAACCTCTGCAGACTTAAATGTCCCTGTCTGACAGCTTTGAAGAGAGAAGTGGTTCTCCTAGCACGGAGTTGGAGATCTGAGAACGGACAGACTGCCTCCTCAAGTGGGTCCCTGACCCCCGAGTAGCCTAACTGGGAGGCACACCCCAGTAGGGGCAAACTGACACCTCACATGGCCGGGTATCCCTCTGAGAGGAAACCTCCAGAGGAATGATCAGACAGCAACATTTGCTGTTCAGCAATATTCGCTGTTCTGCAGCCTCCGCTGCTGATACCCAGGCAAACAGGGTCTGGAGTGGACCTGCAGCAAACTCCAACAGACCTGCACCTGAGGGTCCTGACTGATAGAAGGAAAACTAACAAACAGAAAGGACATCCACACCAAAACCCCATCTGTACGTCACCCTCATCAAAGACCAAATGTAGATAAAACCACAAAGATGGGGAAAAAACAGCAGAAAAACTGGAAACGCTAAAAATCAGAGCGCCTCTCCTTCTCCAAAGGAATGCAGTTCTTCACCAGTAATGGAACAAAGCTGGACAGAGAATGACTTTGACGAGTTGAGAGAAGAAGGCTTCAGATGATCAAACTTCTCCAAGCTAAAGGAGGAAGTTCGAACACATGGCAAAGAAGTTAAAAACCTTGAAAAAAGATTAGACAAATGGCTAACTAGAATAACCAGTGCAGAGAAGTCCTTAAAGGACCTAATGGAGCTGAAAACCATGGCACGAGAACTACATGACGAATGCACAAGCTTCAGTAGCCAATTCAATCAACTGGAAGAAAGGATATCAGTGACTGAAGATCAAATGGAATGAAGTGAGAAGAGAAGTTTGGAGAAAAAAGAATAAAAAGAAATGAACAAAGCCTCCAAGAAATATGGGACTATGTGAAAAGACCAAATCTACATCTCGTTGCTGCACCTGAAAGTGATGGGAGGAATGGAACCAAGTTGGAAAACACTCTGCAGGATATTATCCAGGAGAATTTCCCCAACCTAACAAGGCAGGACATATTCAAATTCAGGAAATACAGAGAACGCCACAAAGATACCCCTCGAGAAGAGCAACTTGAAGAAACATAATTTTCAGATTCACCAAAGTTGAAATGAAGGAAAAAATGTTAAGGGCAGCCAGAGAGAAAGGTCGGGTTACCCACAAAGGGAAGCCCATCAGACTAACAGCTGATCTCTCGGCAGAAACTCTACAAGGCAGAAGAGAGTGGGGGCCAGTATTCAACGTTCTTTTTTTTTTTTTTTTTTTTTTGCATTTTATTTCCTTTTTTTTTCTTATACTTTAAGTTTTAGGGTACATGTGCACATTGTGCAGGTTAGTTACATATGTATACATGTGCCATGCTGGTGTGCTGCACCCACTAACTTGTCATCTAACATTAGGTATATCTCCCGATGCTATCCCTCCCCCCTCCCCCCACCCCACAACAGTCCCCAGAGTGTGATGTTCCCCTTCCTGTGTCCATGTGATCTCATTGTTCAATTCCCACCTATGAGTGAGAATATACGGTGTTTGGTTTTTTGTTCTTGCGATAATTTACTGAGAATGATGATTTCCAATTTCATCCATGTCCCTACAAAGGACATGAACTCATCATTTTTTATGGCTGCATAGTATTCCATGGTGTATATGTGCCACATTTTCTTAATCCAGTCTATCATTGTTGGACATTTGGGTTGGTTCCAAGTCTGCTATTGCGAGTAGTGCTGCAACAAACATACGTGTGCATGTGTCTTTATTGCAGCATGATTTATATTCCTTTGGGTATATACCCAGTAATGGGATGGCTGGGTCAAACTGTATTCAACGTTCTTAAAGAAAAGAATATTCAACCCAGAATTTCATATGCAGCCAAACAGAGCTTCATAAGTGAAGGAGAAATAAAATACTTTACAGACAAGCAAATGCTGAGAGACTTTGTCACCACCAGGCCTGCCCTAAAAGAGCTCCTGAAGGAAGCACTAAACATGGAAAGGAACAACTGGTACCAGTCACTGCATAAATATGCCAAATTGTAAAGACCATCAATGCTAGGAAGAAACTGCATCAACTAACAAGCAAAATAACCAGCTAATATCATAATGACAGGATCAAATTCACACATAACAATATTAACTTTAAATGTAAATGGGCTAAATGCTCCAATTAAAAGACACAGACTGGCAAATTGGGTAAAGAGTCAAGACTCATCAGTGCGCTGTATTCAGGAAACCCATCGCACATGCAGAGACCCATATAGGATCAAAATAAAGGGATGGAGGAAGATCTACCAAGCAAATGAAAAACAAAAAAAGGCAGGGGTTGCAATCCTAGTCTCTGATAAAACAGACATTAAACCAACAAAGATCAAAAGAGACAAAGAAGGCCATTACATAATGGTAAAGGGATCAATTCAACAAGAAAAGCTAACTATCCTAAATATATATGCACCCAATACAGGAGCACCCAGATTCATAAAGCAAGTCCTTACAGACCTACAAAGAGACTTAGACTCCCACACAATAATAATGGGAGATAACACCCCAATGTCAACATTAGACAGATCAATGAGACAGAAAGTTAACAAGGATATCCAGGAATTGAATTCAGCGCTGCACCAAGCAGACTTCATAGACATCTACAGATCTCTCCACCCCAAATCAACAGAATATACATTCTTTTCAGCACCACACCGCACTCATTCCAAAATTGACCACACAGTTGGAAGTAAAGCACTTCTCAGCAAATGTGAAAGAACAGAAATTATAACAAACTGTCTCTCAGACCACAGTGCAATCAAACTAGAACTCAGGATTAAGAAACTCACTCAAAACTGCTCAACTACATGGAAACTGTACAACCTGCTCCTGAATGACTACTGCATAAATAACGAAATGAAGGCAGAAATAAAAATGTTCTTTGAAACCAATGAGAACAAAGACACAACATACCAGAATCTCTGGGACACATTCAAAGCAGTGTGTAGAGGGAAATTTATAGCACTAAATGCCCACAAGAGAAAGCAGGAAAGATCTAAAATTGACATCCTAAGATCACAATTAAAAGAACTAGAGAAGCAAGAGCAAACATATTCAAAGGCTAGCAGAAGGCAAAAAGTAACTAAGATCAGAGCAGAACTGAAGGAAATAGAGACACAAAAAATCCTTCAAAAAAATCGATGAATCCAGAAGCTGGTTTTTTGAAAAGATCAACAAAATTGATAGACCACTAGCAAGAGTAATAAAGAAGAAAAGAGAGAAGAATCAAATAGATGCAATAAAAAATGATAAAGGGGATATCACCACCGATCCGACAGAAATACAAACTACCATCAGAGAATACTATAAATACCTCAATGCAAGTGAACTAGAAAATCTAGAAGAAATGGATAAATTCCTGGACACATATACCCTCCCAAGACTAAACCACGAAGAAGTTGACTCTCTGAATAGACCAATAACAGGCTCTGAAATTGAGGTAATAATTAATAGCTTACCAACCAAAAAAAGTCCAGGACCAGACAGATTCACAGCTGAATTCTACCAGAGGTACAAGGAGGAGCTGGTACCATTCCTTCTGAAACTATTCCAATCAATAGAAAAAGAGGGAATCCTCCCTAAATCATTTTATGAGGCCAGCATCATCCTGATACCAAAGCCTGGCAGAGACACAACAAAAAAAGAGAATTTTAGACCAATATCCCTGATGAACATCAATGCAAAAATCCTAAATAAAATACTGGCAAACCAAATCCAGCAGCACAGCAAAAAGCTTATCCACCATGATTAAGTGGGCTTCATCCCTGGGATGCAAGGCTGGTTCAACATACAAAAATCAATAAACGTAATCCAGCATATAAACAGAACCAAAAACAAAAACCACATGATTATCTCAATAGATGCAGAAAAGGCCTTCGACGAAATTCAACAGCCCTTCATGCTAAAAACTCTCAATAAATTAGGTATTGGTGGGACATATCTAAAAATAATAAGAGCTATTTATGACAAACCCACAGCCAATATCATACTGAATGGGCAAAAACTGGAAGCATTCCCTTTGAAAACTGGCACAAGACAGGGATGCCCTTTCGCACCACTCCTATTCAACTTAGTGTTGGAAGTTCTGGCCACGGCAATCAGGCAGGAGAAAGAAATAAAGCGTATTCAATTAGGAAAAGAGGAAGTCAAATTGTCCCTGTTTGCAGATGACATGATTGTATATCTAGAAAACCCCATCGTCTCAGCCCAAAATCTCCTTAAGCTTATAAGCAACTTCAGCAAAGTCTTAGGATACAAAATCAATGTGCAAAAATCAAAAGCACTCTTATACACCAATAACAGACAAACAGAGAGCCAAATCATGAGTGAACTCCCATTCACAATTGCTTCAAAGAGAATAAAATTCCTAGGAATCCAACTTACAAGGGATATGAAGGACCCCTTCAAGGAGAACTACAAACCACTGCTCAACAAAATAAAAGAGGAAACAAACAAATGGAAAAACATTCCATACTCATGGATAGGAAGAATCAATATCGCGAAAATGGCCATACTGCCCAAGGTACTTTATAGATTCAATGCCATCCCCATCAAGATACCAATGACTTTCTTCACAGAATTGGAAAAAACTACTTTAAAGTTCATATGGAACCAAAAAAGAGCCCGCATTGCCAAGTCAATCCTAAACCAGAAGAACAAAGCTGGAGGCATCACACTACCTGACTTCAAACTATACTACAAGGCTACAGTAACCAAAACAGCATGGTACTGGTACCAAAACAGAGATATAGACCAATGGAACAGAACAGAGCCCTCAGAAATAATACCACACATCTACAACTATCTGATCTTTGACAAACCTGACAAAAACAAGAAATGGGGAAAGGATTCCCTATTTAACAAATCATGCTGGGAAAACTGGCTAGCCATATGTAGAAAGCTGAAACTGGATCCCTTCCTAACACCTTATGCAAAAATTAATTCAAGATGGATTAAAGACTTAAATGTTAGACCTAAAACCATAAAATCCCTAGAAGAAAACTTAGGCAATACCATTCAGGACATAGGAATGGGCAAGGACTTCATGTCTAAAACACCAAAAGCAATGACAACAAAAGCCAAAATTAACGAATGGGATCTAATTGAACTAAAGAGCTTCTGCACAGCAAAAGAAACTACCATCAGAGTGAACAGGCAACCTACAGAATGGGAGAAAATTTTTGCAGTCTACTCATTTGACAAAGGGCTAATATCCAGAATCTACAAAGAACTCAAGTAAATTTACAAGAAAAAAACAACCCCATCAAAAAGTGGGCAAAGGATATGAACAGACACTTCTCAAAAGAAGACATTTATGCAGCCAAAAGACACATGAAAAAATGCTCATCATCACTGGCCACCAGAAAAATGCAAATCAAAACCACAATGAGATATCATCTCACACCAGTTAGAATGGCAATTATTAAGAAGTCAGGAAACAACAGGTGCTGGAGAGTATGTGGAGAAATAGGAACACTTTTACACTGTTGGTGGGACTGTAAACTAGTTCAATGTCTTGCACCATTGTGCAAGACAGTGTGGCGATTCCGCAGGAATCTAGAATTAGAAATACCATTTGACCCAGCCATCCCATTACTGGGTATATACCCAAGGGAATATAAATCATGCTGCAATAAAGACACATGCACACGTATGTTTGTTGCAGCACTACTCGCAATAGCAGACTTGGAACCAACCCAAATGTCCAACAATGATAGACTGGATTAAGAAAATGTGGCACATATACACCATGGAATAGTAGGCAGCCATAAAAAATGATGAGTTCATGTCCTTTGTAGGGACATGGATGAAGCTGCAAACCATCATTCTCAGCAAACTATCGCAAGGACAAAAAACCAAACACCGCATGTTCTCACACATAGGTGGGAATGGAACAATGAGAACAGTTGGACACAGGAAGGGGAACATCACACACCGGGGCCTGTTGTGGGGTTGGGGGAAGGGGGAGGGATAGCATTAGGAGATATACCTAATGTTAAATGACGAGTTAATGGGTGCAGCATACCAACATGGCACATGTATCATATGTAACAAACCTGCACGTTGTGCACATGTACCCTAGAACTTAAAGTATAATTAAAAAATATGTATAAAAAAGATTAAGTAGTTTCTGTAAACCATTTCTACATGCCAGTATTTCATGGACTCATATGGAAAAAACACAGTCACTTCTCCAGACGGTGACTCCACTCCCAAATGCCAATGCCATCTACCTCCTGACAGGCTCTTCCAAGCAGCTGCTACAAGAGAGAGACCAGCCCTTCCATGTCTAAACTGGTTGCCAGTTTGTTTTTTCGTTGAAATTAAGTGCCAGTATATTATGAGGATGGATCTGTCAAGACCCATATGCAAACACTGGACCAATTATCAAGTGGCAGGCAGCACCTGGTTGGCTACAGCAGCCAAGAGACTCAAGGCATCATACACAGCACAGCTTAATATGATTGCTTTGACGGAGGCTCAAAAAGAAGTAGATCAAAAGCAATAGAATGGGTCAACCAGCCAGGGCCTTAGCCTGGTAGATTTGTGTATTATCCTCTGTGCTCTCATCTTGTGTATTTAGTATAATGAAAGCAAATAAAGTTAACTATTTAATAAAACAATTTTCTTCTTAATAAAATTCATTGCTGATCAAATTAAATGATGAATGTGAAAGCAGTTTGAAAGCATAATGCACAATGCACACTGATTTGTAAGCCTTGGATTAGGCTTTTCTCTGGAATTGGGACAGGTGCCCCTTGACAATCTTCATCTGTAGGCTCTTCTTTGATGATACTCCTGGAGTCTTGGCAAGACAGTTGCAAAAGAGTTAATATCTAGTTACCATGGATTTATATCCAAAATCTCATACACCTCTGTAGTGAAGAAAACTCAGAGTTCTGGCAGGAACTGAGTCTGTCCTGGGCAAAGTCAATTACTAGCTCTACAATCTTTGCCAAGGCACTTCTTCCTCTGAAACTTGGATTCCTCATCTATTTAATAAGTACAAATGTCTGTCTCACATAGTTGCAGAAGAAATCACAGCCAAGCCTAGGATTTCAGAATTGCTCAGTCTGTGTTAGTTCTGATCCCATCTGCCCAAACTCTACACTATTACACTAATGTTCTAGGCCATTTGATAAACAGGAAGATGGGAAAGGCAGCACTAGTCAAGGTCACAGCTGTAAAAATGCAGAGACCCCCAGTTTCAAGTTTTTAGAAATAGTGTCTATAAAATGTATGTTTCCAATTTTTAGCTCATTTATCCCTATCATAAAGAGAATTTCTATCATGTAAATGATCAAGATAAATATAATTTATCACTGTAAATCCTACTAAAACACCACTGCTTAATCATTCATGTATCTTATTTTAGGAGCTTTCTTTTTTCTGAATACAGTCATGTGTTGCACAATGATGGGCTATAGTCTAAGCAAGGTGTCATTAGGCAATTTCATCATTGTTGCAAATCTCTTAGGGTGTACGTACACAAACTTAGATAGTGTAGCCTGCTAAACACATAGGTTATATGGTCTGGCCTATTGCTCCTAGGCTACAAACATGTACAGCATGCTACTGTATTGAATACTGTAGGCAACTGTAACACAATGGTAAGTATTTGTGAATCTAAACATAGAAAAGGTACAGTAAAAATATAGCGTTATAATCTTATGGTACTACCATTATATATGTGGCTTACAGTTGACCAAAACATTGTTATACAGTACATGACTGTACAGCTTAAGAAAGATACAGAAAGACATCAGTGAGCTTTTTTCCCTCATCTTTTTGAAGAAGGATGAGTTTGATTGCAATGTTTCTATTTATCTATGAAAATTTATGGATAAGGTCTTCCATCCATATAGAAATATCAGCATTTTCCTATTAAGTCAGAAACAACAGTCTAAACATCACATATTTTCACTGATCTTTAATAAAAATACAAGGTGATGGTAAATTATTTTCTAGAATACTTATATATTTCCCTAGAATGTGATCTCCTTGAAAGCACAATCTATAGCATGAAGTCACTTCATAGCATAAACTGCACGTTAATTACCATAACAAGGAGCTAATTAACAAGTTAATGTTTAAATTAGATTACAAATTTACTAGCTCTTTTAAAAAAATAAGCTTTTTCCTTTTTCAAAAATAAGTTAGCATTTTGGTATAAGAATAATACAACAGGCCAGGAGCGGTGGCTCACACCTGTAATCCCAGCACTTTGGGAAGCCGAGGCGGGGGGATCACGAGGTCAGGAGACCAAGACCATCCTGGCTAACACGGTGAAACCCCGTCTCTACTAAAAATACAAAATATTAGCCGGGCTTGGTGGTGAGCGCCTGTAGTCCCCGCTACTCGGGAAGCTGAGGCAGGAGAATGGCGTGAACCTGGCAGGCAGAGCTTGCAGTGAGCTGAGATGGTGCCACTGCACTCCAGCCTGGGCGATAGAGCGAGACTCCATCTCAAAAAAAAAAAAAAAAGAATAATACAATATGGACTAGAGGGAGATGACACTTAAGTTCAAATACATTTAAACAAATAGATATAGAGATAACATAGATGATAGATATATAAAACAAAAGGGAAGACTTTTGCTTGCAGTAGAAACCTGAGTGCCAACTAATGTATATGGATAAAGTGCTAGCGTTTCAAAATCTCCATTTTACACTCATCATTGGGAGAAAGAAAAAACTGTATCAGGCAAGAATCATGAAAGGATCAAAGGTTGCTAAATCTAGGTGAAAATTCTCTTGATAAACAGGGTATTTTTATGATCCTAACTAATGTCCTCACCAGCTGTTTATTAGTTGCAAAGGAAGAAAATAGCAATCACACAATGGGAGAAACTGGAAAACACCTTGAATAAGTAATCAAAGTTAATATGACTAATGAGAAGTTAGACATTATATGCCTCTAGATGTGATACCCTGAGAAGGACAAAACATCACATAACTTGAATCTAATCATGAGAAAACATTAGATAAATAACAAATAGGGAGCACTCTTTTTAATAGAGGGGAGCACCCTGTCCCTTATTAAAGAAAAGGGGAGGGACTGTGTTCTTAAAAATGTAAATGTCAAAAAAAAAAAAACAGAAATCAGTGGAATGCTGCAGGTGAGAGAAAGGTAAGGAAGCATGGTAGCTAAATGTAATGCCCAACTCAAGACTGAAAATGGTATTGACAGGGAAAAAACACTATCAAAGATGTACTTGGACCATTTGAAAAAAGTTGAATACAGAAAGTAAATTAAATAAAAATTTTGTTATCATTATTACATTTATAGAAGTTAATAACTGTATTGTCACTAAGAGAATCTTCTTTTTCTTAGAAAACTATATTGATATCATTAGGTTTAAAGGTCCATAATTTGTATGATTTATCAATAAATGTCCAGAAAGTATACAGAAGTTATAAATCAAATGTAGTAACATGTTGACAATAGCTTAGTGTGGGTAAAGGGTATTGACTGCTTTTTGTGCTACCTTTTTTTTACACCTTTTCTGTAAGTTTAAAATTATTTACAAACCAAAAGGCAAACCATTTATTAAAAAATCACTGGGCTATATATAAAATACAAGTGACTTATGGATCACAGAATTTTATGGATGAACCTACTCTATGGGGGATAACTTGGGGGAAGGATAAAAAATGCCAGTGTACTGATTATTTTAAGACTTCATAAGCTGGTCATTTTTTTATCTCCCACAAAGATTGTCTCATATTTTCAGAATATGATTATTGTCAGTTCTCTGTCTGTTCTTAAGAGTTATAGGTTTGTCACATCAGCCTCATAACTCATGATTTTTCTGTGACATCTGACCCCTGGAACACCTTTTGAAGCCAGGGTAATACAAGGCAGATGTTCTGCCAGCTCAGACCAGAACCTTCTAGTACCTCAGACCACCTGGGCCTGGTGATATGAAGGCCAACCACAGAAGCTGATAGGAAAAATCTTGGAGTCTCGGTTAGATTGCTCTACCCTAAAAATTATAGACATCTTATGCAAAACTGCATAATAAAATTTATATCTGCAACTTAAATAACAATACAGTCTTTCATTCTTTCTGGTATATAATAGGAGCAGATTTTCCAATAGGACAAGCAGAGGAGGATTTCTTTTTGTTTTTCTTTTTGCTCCTATTTTGGGAATACCAAAAGGAGTTATTCTAAATCACTCAGGCGTGAAACAAATGACTGTACTAAAATTGTGAAATGCCTTCAATTAAAAGAGTAACAAAACCTGTGGGCTCCTTCTGGGGTACTAGTCTATTGTCCCTCTATAGTTTAGTGTTTAGCATTCAGACCTTCAGTCAGGTGATACAGATGAAATTGCGCAAGAAGTTCATCTCAAAATAATGTCAACATTTTCTATATAATATAGACTGTCCAAGCTGGAAGCCACATAAAAGATGGCCAGCTCCTAAATCTGCAGAGGTAGAGACTAGAATTTAGAGATTCATGGTCCAGCTAGAACAGACAGTTAATCTCCTTGTTCTAATTTGATAGTTCTATCCATTGTACCACTCAAAGTGAATTTTTCATACCTATGACAATTCTAATGCCATGAGGAAACACAGATATAAAAGGAGACAGTACCTATTAACTTATCTTGGGATTGTTGGACTGAGTATTATGAGAGATAAGGGCAGGTAAACCATGAGTTACTTTTTCTCCTACATTATTATGCTGCCCAGGAAGGAGTTGGTGTTCAATATGTGCTTATTGAATGAAGCATTACATGAACGCAGAGCTGTGATCCCACTAAACACCTACTATGCACCGATTGTGTGCTGCACACTGCATTAAAAGCTCCACAATCCATAAAACACAGTCCCTGATATAGTTTGGATATTTGTCCCTGCCCAAATCTCATGTTGAAATGTAATCTCCAGTATTGGAGGTGGGGCCTGGTGGGAGGTGACTGGATCATGAGGGTAGATTTCTCATGAAGAGTTCAGCACCATGCCCTTGGTGCTGTCCTCGTGATAGTGAGGAAGTTCTTCTGAGATCTGGCTGTGTAAGTGTGTGGCACCTTCCCTCATTACCTCTCCTCTCTCTCTCTCTTGCTCTTGCTTTCACCATATGATGTGCCTGCTCCCCCCCTGCCTTCTGCCATGATTGTAAGCTTCCTGAGGCGTTCCTTGAAGCTGGGCGGATGCCAGCACCATGTTTCCTATAAAGCCTGCAGAACTGTGAGCCAATTAAACCCCTTTTCTTTATAAATTATTGAGTCTCTGGTAGTTCTTTACAGAAATACAAGAATGGCCTAATACAGTCCTACTAAAGGAGTTCACAGTTTACTTGAGAAAACACACAAGTAAACAGATACAATATTATATGATAAGTGCAATGGTGAAGAGGTGACCTGGAGATGCTACAAACCTTTGAAACTGAGAAACTAAAAAGAAGCAGGCCTATATGTGTTGTAGTATAGCCAAAATAAGCAATTCGTAGCAAAATGTGTTATCAGTTAAGACTGGAAGCTTTGGATAACATACTTATTTCTGACTATCATGTGGCTGTTTTTTTTCAGTTGAAACTACAGGGCTATAGCATACTCCTATACATGGGGATAAGGTCACCTGTGAAGGGAATGGCTATTCCTATTAATACTATCAGTCATTCCAACAAAAACCATCCTGCAGCAGAAAATGAACACTCAGAAGAAAGGTGTTACGGGCTGAATTATGTCCCCTCATATATGTGACTGTATATGAAGACAGGGCCTTTAAGAGGTAATTAAGGTAAAATTACATCATTGGGATGGGCCCTAATGCAATATAACTGGTGTCCCTTAAGATGAGGCCATTATGACACAGAAGACAGAATGGGGGATGATGACCAGGTGAGGACACAGTGAGGAAGCCATCTGGAAACCAAGTTAAGGGACCTCAAAAGAAACCAATCCATTGATATCAGACTTCTAGTCTGCAGAACTGAGAGAAAATAGATTTCTGTTGTTTTGGCCATCTAGTCTGTGGTATTATATTATGATGGCCCTAACAAGCTGATAGAGAAGACTCCAGATTAGAATGAAGAAAAGTCACCTTCTCCTTCTGGTGCCAGGAGTTAGTTTGACTTTCACTCTGAGCTCTTGAGATTTCTAAGGCATTTCCAGAAGAAGCTGGTAAACTAGGCCCAGCCACTGGAAGCAGGTCAGGGGTGAGGCAGAAAGTCCGAATGGGGAAGGCAGGCCAAGTTTTTTCCTGGCTTGGGCCTGAGGTGTAACTTATTTCCTGCCCTGTACTTCTTTTCTGTTACAGTCAGACTTTCAATAAAATAATTATTAATATTATAACCTGACCTTTGGTTCTTTGGGATGGTTTGCCTCCTTTCATTGGAACAAGTAAAGAAGAAAAACTTCTGGGTACACTGGAGTTTCATTTCTATGAAGGAGGGTCATCAGGGAGCAGAGAGCAAGGGGAGCAAAACTGAGCAACTTGTGTTGAGCACACGTGAGGCCCAAGGTGCACCTCTCAGGCAGGAATACCTTAGAGGGAAAGGGGCCTAATTTCAGGCAGGCTAGAAGATGTCCTTGAAATTAAATTAAATGTAATATTATTTTCTATGGCAGTTTAATAAATTCTGAAGTATGCAGTTGGCATGAGGAAATGAGAGACATATTTTGAGAGTCTATACAGAATTCGATTTGGGAAGATGATTATGGGTTGGATATTCAAACTGCTGGTAAAAGGGTGAGACATTTAGATGTTAAAATCTAAAATCGCTGATCTGGAGAAACAGTGTGGCTCACTCTGTCAGTCAGAGAGTTTTTTACACATAGAGGGCACCAGCCAAAATAGAACTAGAAAGAAACCGATACACACACACATTAATGTGTATATTTTTAAATATATAAACAAATATATACCATATGTAAATATATGGTAAACATATAAGTAAATAAGAATTAAAATAGAGATGTTTAAACATAAACTCTGTGATGCTGTCTTATAGTGAAAGATGGTGTTTCTTCATGTAGGTGAGAGGCAACTTAGCTATATCTAACTAGAGATACTACACGTAATTACATGCATGAACATGTATTTCTCCATATATATATAAAGATAAATATTTATTTTTAAAAATCCCCAAATCTCACATAATCACACATAACCCCACAAAGCAGATGTGATTCCACGTTCCCTGGAGGATCTCACATAAACACACATACATACACACACACACACACACACAGATGCACTTTCACTGGGAGGATCTCACATACACACACACACACACACACACACACACACACACACACCCCAGATGTACTTCCAAGTTCTCTGGAAGACACTCTGCTTTTCTGCCACCTTGTGGCAGCACAGGGAGCAAACAAGCCCACAGGAGTTTTTTCTGCCAGTTTTATAAGACATTTTATAGTTGGCAAATACCTGGCCATTGACCTTTAACCAGAGCATGCCCAGCAGCCATTTCCCTCTAGTAGAAAAGCTGCCCACACCTCCAGAACCTCTCAATGAGGCTAGGTGCCCATGTTTTGAGTATGTAAGGTGGATGCATCCAATGGTGTCCCACATCAGGTGGGTGAAGAAGAGGCTTTCCTCTTCAGAATTTTTCAGAATGCGCTGGGGGCAGTGCAGTTGTGGGGGGTTACGGTGGTACAGGGCCAGAGGGGCAGCAGGTCCAGAGGAGGACCACGCAGGGCGCCCTTGAGACTTTCTGGACGCAGACTGAGAAAGCCTGTTAGGGCAGTCTAGTGGGTCTACAGCACTCCTTATGGCAGCCTGAGGAACACCTGGATGAAAGGCAGCAGGAGAGCCATGTGCCTGAGACCTCACACCAGTGTGAGCAGCAGGGAAACAGGGGTCTGGCTTAACAAAACCCCTGGACTGCAATGTAGGTGGTTGACAAGGAAGAACAGTTCAGTGGTAGAGTGTTGGGCACTACCTTCCCAGCTGGATGAATAATGCATGTCCCAAAACTAGGGCCCAGCTTGTGGTTGAGGCAGTTCATTGTGCTGGATTCAAGTGAACTTGCTCAAGTGGGGATGCTACTGACCATCCTCAGGCCTTGGGCTGGGAACACTGTTAGCTTTTTGTCTGGCTTGTGCTTGTCAAAACAAGGCTGGATAATGCATGGCTACACAAGCCAAAAAAATGGATGATCTCTTCTGTTATTTGATGCTCAGGAAGACAGTGACCAGGTAGAAATTGAATGGAAGAACACCTAATTTGATCAGGTATAGTAGGTTTTTGATGCTCCCGTTCATGCCAACACAGTTGGTCAGCACTCTTTGTTGATCTCCACAAGTGTGTGTGCAAGCTGGCCCAAACACCAAGGGAAATAGTGTCTCTGATCTGGACATCCAACATGAAGCTGCATCTTCTCACGAGACCAGAGGATCAACACTCAGTGGGGTCTCAGTGTTTTAAAATCACTGATCCGCAGAAACAGTGCAGCCCAGTCTGCTAGTCTGAAGTGTTTCACTCATACAGGGCATCACCTAAGAAAAAACTAGAAATAGGAGGAGTGGAGCCAAGATGGCTGAATAGGAACAGCTCCAGTCTACAGCTTGCAGCGTGAGTGACACAGAAGACAGTGATTTCTGCATTTCCAACTGAGGTACCAGGTTCATCTCACTGGGGAATGCCAGACAGTGGGTGCAGGACAGTGGGTGCAGCGCAACATGCATGAGCCGAAGCAGGGCAAGGCATCGCCTCACCCAGGATGTGCGAGGGATCAGGGAATTCCCTTTCCTAGTCAAAGAAAGGGGTGACAGACAGCACCTGGAAAATTAGGTCACTCCCACCCTAATACTGCGCTTTTCCAACGGGCTTCACAAACGGCACACCAGGATATTATATCCCGCACATGACTCGGAGGGTCCTACGCCCACGGAGCCTTGCTCATTGCTAGCACAGCAGTCTGAGATCAAACAGCAAGGCGGCAGCAAGGCTGGGGGAGGGGCGCCCACCATTGCTCAGGCTTGAGTAGGTAAAAAAAGTGACCCAGAAGCTCGAAGTGGGTGGAACCCACCACAGCTCAAGGAGGCCTGCCTGCCTCTGTAGGCTCCACCTCTGGGGGCAGGGCACAGACAAACAAAAGACAGCAATAACCTCTGCAGACTTAAATGTCCCTGTCTGACAGATTTGAAGAGAGAAGTGGTTGTCCCAACATGCAGCTTGAGATCTGAGGACGGGCAGACTGCCTCCTCAAGTGGGTCCCTGACCCCCGAGTAGCCTAACTGGTAGGAACCCCCCAGTATGGGCAGACTGAAACCTCACACGGCTGGGTACCCCTCTGAGACAAAACTTCCAGAGGAACGATCAGGCAGCAGCATTTGCGGTTCACCAATATCTGCTGTTCTGCAGCCACCGCTGCTGATACCCAGGCAAACAGTGTCTGGAATGGACCTCCAGTAAACTCTAACAGACCTGCAGTTGAGGGTCCTGACTGTTAGAAGAAAAACTAACAAACAGAAAGGACATCCACACCAAAACCCCATCTGTACATCACCATCATCAAAGACCAAAAGTAGATAAAACCACAAAGATGGGGAAAAAACAGAGCAGAAAAACCAGAAACTCTAAAAATCAGAGCGCCTCTCCTCCTCCAAAGGAACGCAGCTCCTCACCAGCAATGGAACAAAGCTGGACGGAGAATGACTTTGACGAGTTGAGAGAGGAAGGCTTCAGAAGATCAGACTACTCCGAGCTAAAGGAGGAAGTTCGAACCAACGGCAAAGAAGTTAAAATCTTTGAAAAAAAATTAGACGAATGGAAAACTAGAATAATCAATGCAGAGAAGTCCTTAAAGGATCTGATGGAGCTGAAAACCATGGCACAAGAAATACCTGACGAACGCACAAGCCTCAGTAACCGATGTGATCAACTGGAAGAAAGGGTATCAGCGATGGAAGACGAAATGAATGAAATGAAGAATGAAGAGAAGATTAGAGAAAAAAGAATAAAAAGAACAAAGCCTCCAAGAAATATGGGACTATGTGAACAGACCAAATCTACATCTGATTGGTGTACCTGAAAGTGACGGGGAGAATGGAACCAAGTTGGAAAACACTCTGCAGGATATTATCCAGGAGAACTTCCCCAATCTAGCAAGGCAGGCCAACATTCACATTCAGGAAATACAGAGAATGCCACAAAGATACTCCTCGAGAAGAGCAACTCCAAGACACATAATTGTCAGATTCACCAAAGTTGAAATGAAGGAAAAAATGTTAAGGGAAGCCAGAGAGAAAGGTCAGGTTGCCCACAAAGGGAAGCCCATCAGACTAACAGTTGATGTCTCGGCAGAAACTCTACAAGCCAGAAGAGAGTGGGGGCCAATATTCAACATTTTTAAAGAAAAGAATTTTCAATCCAGAATTTCACATCCAGGAAAGCTAAGCTTCATAAGTGAAGGAGAAATAAAATACTTTACAGACAAGCCAATGCTGAGAGATTCTGTCACTAACAGGCCTGCCCTAAAAGAGCTCCTGAAGGAAGCACTAAATGTGGAAAGGAACAACCAGTTCCAGCCACTGCAAAAACATGCCAAATTGTAAAGACCATCAAGACTAGGAAGAAACTGCATCAACTAATGAGCAAAATAACCAGCTAGCATCATAATGACAGGATCAAATTCACACATAACAATACTAACCTGAAATGTAAATGGGCTAAATGCTCCAATTAAAAGGCACAGACTGGCAAATTGGATAAAGAGTCAAGACCCATCAGTGTGCTGTATTCAGGAAACCCATCTCACATGCAGAGACACACATAGGCTCAAAATAAAGGGATGGAGGAAGATATACCAAGCAAATGGAAAACAAAAAAAGGCAGAGGTTGAAATCCTAGTCTCAGATAAAACAGACTTTAATCCAACAAAGATCAAAAGAGACAAAGAAGGCCATTACATAATGGTAAAGGTATCAATTCAACAAGAAGAGCTAGCCCAATACAGGAGCACCAAGATTCATAAAGCAAGTCCTTAGAGACCTACAAAGAGACTTAGACTCCCACACAATAATAATGGGAGACTTTAACACCACACTGTCAAAATTAGACAGATCAATGAGACAGAAAGTTAACAAGGATAACAAGAACTCAACTCTGCACCAAGTGGACCTAATAGACGTCTACAGAACTCTCCACCCCAAATCAACAGAATATACATTCTTTTCAGCACCACACCTCACCTATTCCAAAATTGACCACATAGTTGGAAGTAAAGCACTCCTCAGCAAATGTAAAAGAACAGAAATTATAACAAACTGTCTCTCAGACCACAGTGCAAACAAACTAGAACTCAGGATTAAGAAACTCACTCAAAACCACTCAACTACATGGAAACTGAACAACCTGCTCCTGAATGACTACTGGGTACATAATGAAATGAAGGCAGAAATAAAGATGTTCTTTGAAACCAATGAGAACAAAGACACAACATACCAGAATCTCTGGGACACATTCAAAGCAGTGTGCAGAGGGAAATTTATAGCACTAAATGCCCAGAAGAGAAAGCAGGAAAGATCTAAAATTGACATCCTAAGATCACAATTAAAAGAACTAGAAAAGGAAGAGCAAACACATTCAAAAGCTAGCAGAAGGCAAGAAATAACTAAAATCAGAGCAGAACAGAAGGAGATAGAGACACAAAAAACCCTTCAAGAAATCAATGAATCCAGGAGCTGGTTTTTTGAAAAGATCAACAAAATCGATAGACCGCTAGCAAGACTAATAAAGAAGAAAAGAGAGAAGAATCAAATAGACGCAATAAAAAATGACAAAGGGGATATCACCACCGATCCCACAGAAATACAAACTACCATCAGAGAATACTATAAACATCACTATGCAAATATACTAGAAAATCTAGAAGAAATGGATAAATTCCTTGACACTTACACTCTCCCAAGACTAAACCAGGAAGAAATTGAATCTCTGAATAGACCAATAACAGGCTCTGAAATTGAGGCAAAAATTAATAGCTTACCAACCAAAAAAGTCCAGGACCAGATGGATTCACAGCCAAATTCTACCAGAGGTACAAGGAGGAGCTGGTACCATTCCTTCTGAAACTATTCCAATCAATAGAAAAAGAGGGAATCCTCCCTAACTCATTTTATGAGGCCAGCATCATCCTGATACCAAAGCCTGGCAGAGACAAAACTAAAAAGAGAGAATTTTAGACCAATATCCTTGATGAACATTGATGCAAAAATCCTCAGTAAAATACTGGCAAACCAAATCCAGCAACACATCAAAAAGCTTATCCACCATGTTCAATTTGGTTTCATCCCTGGGATGCAAGGCTGGCTCAACATTCAAAAATCAATAAACGTAATCCAGCATATAAACAGAACCAAAAACAAAAACCACATGATTATCTCAATAGATGCAGAAAAGGCCTTTGACAAAATTCAAAAACCCTTCATGCTAAAAACTCTCAATAAATTAGGTATTGATGGGACGTATCTCAAAATAATAAGAGTTATCTATGACAAACCAACAGCCAATACCATACTGAATGGTCAAAAACTGGAAGCATTCCCTTTGAAAACTGCCACAAGACAGGGATGCCCTTTTGCACCACTCCTATTCAACTTAGTGTTGGAAGTTCTGGCCAGGGCAATCAGGCAGGAGAAGGGAATAAATGGCATTCAATTAGGAAAAGAGGAAGTCAAATTGTCCGTTTGCAGATGACATGAATGTATATCTAGAAAACCCCATCGTCTCAGCCCAAAATCTCCTTAAGCTTATAAGCAACTTCAGCAAAGTCTCAGGACACAAAATCAATGTGCAAGAATCACGAGCATTCTTATACACCAATAACAGACAAACAGAGAGCCAAATCATGAGTGAAATCCCATTCACAATTGCTTCAAAGAGAATAAAATACCTAGGAATCCAACTTACAAGGGATGTGAAGGACCTCTTCAAGGAGAACTACAAACCACTGCTCAATGAAATAAAAGAGGATACAAACAAATGGAGGAACATTCCATGCTTATGGATAGGAAGAATCAATATCGCGAAAATGGCCATACTGCCCAAGGTAATTTATAGATTCAATGCCATCCCCATCAAGATACCAATGACTTTCTTCACAGAATTGGAAAAAAACTACTTTAAAATTCATATGGAACCAAAAAAGAGCCCGCATTGCCAAGTCAATCCTAAGCCAAAAGAACAAAGCTGGAGGCATCATGCTACCTGACTTCAAACTATACTACCAGGCTACAGTAACCAAAACAGCATGGTACTGGTACTAAAACAGAGATATAGACCAATGGAACAGAACAGAGCCCTCACAAATAATGCCACATATCTACAACTATCTGTTCTTTGACAAACCTGACAAAAACAAGCAATGGGGAAACGATTCCCTATTTAATAAATAGTGCTGGGAAAACTGGCTAGCCATATGTAGAAAGCTGAAACTGGATCCCTTCCTTACACCTTATGCAAAAATTAATTCATGATGGATTAAAGACTTACATATTAGACCTAAAACCATAAAAACCCTAGAAGAAAACCTAGGCAATACCATTCAGGACATAGGCATGGGCAAGGACTTCATGTCTAAAACACCAAAAGCAATGGCAACAAAAGCCAAAATTGACAAATGGGATCTAATTAAACTAAAGAGCTTCTGCACAGCAAAAGAAACTACCATCAGAATGAACAGGCAACCTACAGAATGGGAGAAAATTTTTGCAACCTACTCATCTGACAAAGGGCTAATATCCAGAATCTACAATGAACTCAAACAAATGTACAAGAAAAAAACAAACAACCCCATCAAAAATTGGGCAAAGGATATGAACAGACAGTTATCAAAAGAAGACATTTATGCAGCCAAAAAAACACATGAAAAAATGCTTGTCATCACTGGCCATTCGAGAAATGCAAATTAAAACCACAATGAGATACCATCTCACACCAGTTAGAATGGTGATCATTAAAAACTCAGGAAACAACAGGTGCTAGAGACTATGTGGAGAAACAGGAACACTTTTACACTGTTGGTGGGACTATAAACTAGTTCAACTATTGTGGAAGTCAGTGTGGCGATTCCTCAGGGATCTAGAACTAGAAATACCATTTGACCCAGCCATCCCATTACTGGGTACATACCCAAAGGATTATAAATCATGCTGCTATAAAGACACATGCACACGTATGTTTATTGCAGCACTATTCACAATAGCAAAGACTTGGAACCAACCCAATGTCCAACAACGATAGACTGGATTAAGAAAATGTGGCACATATACACCATGGAATAGTAGGCAACCATAAAAAAGGATGAGTTCATGTCCTTTGTAGGGACATGGATGAAGCTGGAAACCATCGTTCTCAGCAAATTATCGCAAGGAGAAAAAACCAAACACCGCATGTTCTCACTCATAGGTGGGAATTGAACAATGAGAACACATGGATATAGGAAGGGGAACATCACACACAGGGGACTTTGTGGGGTGGGGGGAGGGGGGAGGGATAGCATTAGGAGATATACCTAATGCTAAATGACCAGTTAATGGGTTCAGCACACCAACATGGCACATGTATACATATGTAACAAACCTGCACGTTGTGCACATGTACCCTAAAACTTAAAGTTTAATAATAATTAAAAAAACTTAAAAAAATTCTGCTTAGTAACTAATTTAATCAAATATTTTACTCCTAAGTTTTATTTTTTTTCCATTTCATACTTTTCTATATTTGGGTACTCTAGAAGTTTGCAATCTGTGAAAACTAAAGATTCCTCATGTGAAATGGTAAGAATTTCTTTGTTTATTCATCATTTTATATTGTTCATGTTTTTTCACCTATTTTTATATTTCAAAGTCTCTTTTTGTACTTTGGAAAGGCCTTGTGTCTTATCATTATAGATAAAGGAAATAGTCACAATATATGAAAAAAATATAAATTCAGTATTCTAATTTTCTAAAAGTATGTTTTTATGGTTGATATATTGGCATTGTATGTTTTTGTACAATAAGCATAATTCAGAGTGAGGAAATACATCTGGAAGGAGTCATGAGTTCCAACTATGATTATCTCTGCATAGTGAACATGAGGGATTTTTAACTTTTCAATAATAGTCTGTTTTCCATATTTTCTGCAATAATCATGTATTATCAAAAATAATATTTGTTTTAAAACTAAAAATAATAACTAGAAATAAATATATTCACACATATAAATGTGTTTACATTTAAAGGTATAAGGAAGTATGTAGCATGTAAACATGTGTATGAACATATAAATAGAAATACAGATGTGTAGACATAGATCTTTGCTGCACTCTCTGCCAGCCTACTTTGGTGTTTTTTCATGCAGGTGATTAGAAAACATAAAATATACATATTCTTATGAAGGAATAAATTTGGATATTTGGTAAAATTATATATATTTATATATAAATACATATATTTAAAATAAATTTATAAATATACATATATATGTATAAAATAAACATTACCCAAAACTCAATGAAAATACCACACGTACTACAAACTGATGCACTTGCATGCGTATTAGGGGCCATCGGTCCCCTGTGGCCTTCATGCCACCTACTAGCAGCCTAGGGAACACTTAAGCCAGCAGGAGTCCTTTCCTGCCAGGTCCATGTCACTGGTCATAGATGGGAAACACCTGGCCATTGCCCTTTAACGAGAGACAGTCCAAGGGCCATCACCCTCCATTGGGAAAAATGGCCAGTTTCCCAGAACTTGTGTATCAGGTTAGCTGGGCTTCTTTCGAGCACTTCAGGTGGGGGCAATACAATTAGTTTGGTGAGAAGAGAAGTGGCTTTCCATGGAGAGAAAGAAGTGTCTGAGCCCTCAGGATGCACTGGGAGCAGAGAAAGCAGGTGAGGTAAAATGGCACAGGATGGAGGGGCAGGCAGGCCAGAGTGAGACTGCACTGAGTGCCCTCGAGAGCATTTGGGGACTAAGAGCAGCAGCATGACTTCCCTCAAACACTGAGGGAAGCGATGGCCCTGACGCCCAAAGTCAAATTCACAGCTGCATCTTCCCACTGGGCCAATCAACACTGGGTGGGGCCTCAGCTTTGGGAATCACTGATCTGGAGGAACAGGGAGCCCCAGGCTGTTGGTCTGGAGTGTTTCACACATTCAGGGTCCCAGCTAAGACATAGCGAGAAATAGATATATCCACATTCAGAAACGTGTTTGTTAAAGATATAAGGGCATATTTAACATATGTGAATATATGTATCAGCATATAAATAAATTAAGATGTATATATATATACATGTATATATTTATACAGGAAACTGGGTAGGGCTTTCTGCCTGTCCATGGTGGTGTTTCTCCACTCAGGCAAGAAGAAAATCTATCTCCCTATCTATCTATCTATCTATCTATCTATCCACACATACATAAATATATACATATTCATATAAATCAGTGAATGTAAATATTCTGTATAATCTGTATTTATATATAGAAAAACATGTATGAACAAATATATAAATATAGGAATATATGTATAAGTCTCTATGTATAAAATAAACATAACCCAAACATGTTACCCCAAATCCACACAGATGCACTTGCACTTATATGAGAAGCCACTGGGCCCCCTTACCACAGACTGGCAGTGGAGTGAAACAAAGAGGCCCAAAGTCTCCTTTCCTGCCAGTTCTGTGTGAGCCTCCACAAATGACAAACACCTGAACATGGCCCTTTGATCAGATCCCGCCCAAGGGCCATCGTCCTCTAGTGGGAAAGCTGCCCACTTATCCAGAAGCTGTCACTCAGGACAGGGACTCCTTTTTTGATAGTTGAGGTGGGGACATAGAGAGGCATCCCGGTTTGGGGGCGTGGAGAAGAGGCTTTCCAGGAGGATGAAAACAGGCTAGGTCTGAACACACAGGAGGAACTCGGCGCAGCATGAGTCTGGGTGCAGTAAGGGTGCTGCGGGCCTGAGGGTCAGCAAGGCCAGAACAGGATGGCTCTGAATGCTCCTCAGAGCATTCGGGGACCAGGAAAGTGGCCCCCAATTTATTCTGAAGACTACACAGACCTGCATGAGCCTGTTATGGCAGGCTCCAGCTGCATCTCGAGAAACCAGGGCAGACTCAGAGAACACTTGGATTAAAGACACCTGGGAGGGAGGCTGAGATGGGTAGATCACTTGAGGTCGGGAGTTCAAGACCAGCCTGGCCAACATGGGGAAACCCCGTCTCTACTAAAAATACAAAAAAATTAGCCGGGTGTTGTGGCAGGCACCTGTGATCCCAGCTACTAGGGAGGCTGAGGCAGGAAAATCGCTTGAACCTGGAAGGCGGAGGTTGCAGTGAGCCAAGATCGTGCCACTGCACTCTGGCCTGGGCAACAGAATGAGACTCCATATGAAAAAAAAAAAAAAAAGACACCTGAGAACCCACAGGCTTGAGGCTTCTTCTAAAACTTTGAGAATCATGGAAACGGGTCTGGCTTGACAAAGCTTTCTTGTCCACAGTGTAGGTGGTAGATGAGGAAAACCAGGTCAGAGGCAGATGCTGGACATGGCCATCCCCAGGGGATGGATGATGCCTTTCAAAGAACTCGGCCCCAGCTTGTGGGTGAGGCAGGTGTGTCCCAGGAGGCTGAACTATGAGTGCAAAAGTGGAGAGTCCACCGGGATCCCTGAGGTTCCAAGCCTGGCATCTGGCCTTGGGTGCCAGCAGCAGTGCTAGCTTTCTGCACAGACTTTGGTTCGCCAAATCTAGGCTGAAAAATGTATTGTCTTACACCCAAAAGAAAGCCCCATCTCTTCTGTCCTTTGAAGCTCAGGGAGGTAGCAACCAGATGGAACAGAGGTGCCTTTCCACTCTTCCAGGGGATAGACAATCAGTGGGGCTCAGTGTGTGGAAACTGCTTCTCTGGAGAAATGAAGCAGTGGGGTCTGCAGGTCTGGAGTGCTTCACACATACAGGGCACCAGTTAAGGCATAACTCGAAAAAACACATACACAAATCCATGTCTATATTTTTAATATATGAAGAAATTGATAATCTATATAAATATATGCATCAACATATAAATAAATAAAAATTAAAACATAGATATTTATACATGGAACTTTTAAGAGCTGTTTCCCTTTGTGGTGGTATGCCTCCAGGCAGGAACAAGAAAGCCTACATATGTAAATTAATACATAAAAATATGTATTACTTAATAAACTTATATAATCACATAGATTTATATATAAATATGCATGTGTGTACATATATTCAGATATGTATGTATGTATACTCATATATAAATCATAAACCCTCAAGCATGTGGGTATACACACACACACGTATAAACTAAACATAACCCAAAAATCTCACACAAAGACACACACACCCCCACACACAAATGCACGTACTTTTACACTCCTGGCCATTGGGCAATGCTGCCACCTACTGGCATGGAGCCAAAAAGCCACATTACGTGACCCCTTTGCAGATGGTAAACACCCAGCCTTCCTTTTGAAGCAGGGCTAGTCCAAAGGCCATCATCCTCTAACTTAAAAGCTGTCCACATCGCCAGAAGCTGTCAATCAGCATAGGTGCTCTTGTTTTGGATACCTTAGGTGGTTGCATTCAAGGGTGTCCTTCACGGCTGACTGAACTACGCAGGAGCAGGTGAGGTTTTCACAGCACAGCTGCATCTTCCCAGTCCACCAGAGCAACCACACTCAGTGGGGGCTCAGGGATTTGGAATCTCTACTATTAGGGAACAGTGTGGGGCACACTGTGAGCCTGGAGTGTTTCACACATAGAATACACAAGCAAAGATATAACCAGAAATAAATATACACACAAATACGAATATTTAAAATGTATCATGAAATATGTGACATGTGAATATATGCATCAACATAGAAAGAATTAAAAACTGATATACAGGTTTTTATACATACAGTATCGTAGTGCTTTTTACCAGACTGTGGTGCTGTTTCTCTATGCAAAAGAGTAAAAACCATCTACACACAAACACACACACACACATACATATGGAAACTATAACATTATACCCAAAATATACTTCTTTGACATATTTTGAGATAGCCTTTCAGAGGGCCTGCAATCAGAAGGAGCCCTACAAAGTTGTCTTTTGCAGGTGAGATTCGCAACTTTATAGAAAAGCCGCATTGATAGAGTCATAATTGAAGCTCTAAGGCCCTCCCTTTTCTGGATGTAAGAAAGATGAACTGAGAATCTGACACATTTAGAGGTCTGAGAAAAAAAAATTACCAACTCTTTCTCTGAGGGCTACCACCTGTGAGGATTCTTGTAAATAACAAGACCACCTTTCCTAGCCGGGCCTTTCTGTCTCCTCTGATAACTGGTTTTGCCACCATCCCCTGTTTTGCCACTATCCATGCCCCTATTCTTTGTGTTACCTGAAGATGTCATAAAACATCAACCCTTTGCTTCTCTTTGAGTTCCTATATTCTGCATATTTCATGTGCACATATTTCAAATGTATATACATTTGCATGCTTTTTCTCTGATTAATCTGCCTTTGGTCAAATGTTACTTTAGAGAAACTCAAGAGGGCAAAGGAGAAGTTTGCCCTTGGCCTGTACAATGTATCTATACCTCAGTAAATATAGATATCATATATACAGACATAGGTGTATAATATATAGGGATAAATATATAGACATATATAAATTTAAATATATAAAATAAACACAACCAGAAAATAAACACACACAAACATAAAAGCAGATGCAAATACATTTACACTAGGGGCCACTAGGCCATCTTACCACCTGCTAACTGTGAAGGGAGACACAAAGATCACAGGAGATTTTTTGTTTTGTTTTGTGGGTTTTTTTTTTTTTTTGAGACGTGGTGTCACTCTGCCACCCAGGCTGGGGTGCAGTGGCATGATCTCGGCTCACTGCAACCTCTGCCTCACAGGTTCAAGCAATTCTCCTGCCTCAGCCTCCCCAGTAGCGGGGATTACAGGCATGGACCACCACGTCCAGATAATTTTTGTATTTTTAGTAGAGATGGGGTTTCTCCATGTTGGCCAGGCTGGTCTCGAACTCCTGACCTCAGGTGATCTGCTTTCCTCGACCTCCCAAAATGCTGGGATTACAGGTGTGAGCCACCGCGCCCGGCCTGACCACAGGAGTTTTACCCCGTCACTTCCATGTGACCCTACACTGATGGCAAACACCAGCCCACCACTGTAACCAGACCCAGCCCAGGTGCCATCACCCTCCAGTGCAAAAGTTGTCCACATCCCCACAACCTGGCAGTCAGGATCGGTGCTCTCCTTTTGAACACCTTAAGTGCTTATGTGGTGCCCCGTTTAAGTGGGTGGAGAAGAGCCTTTGTGCAGAGAGAAAGAAAGTCCAGGTCTGAGCCTTCAACACCTGCTGGGGGCAGTGTGAGTGCGGGAGGAGCACGATGGTAAAAGGCCAGAGGGACAGTGAGGCCAGGGAAGGTCTCTGCTGAGGACCATTGACAGCTTTCAGGAACCAGGAAAATGGGTCAGATTCTGAAGGCTCCTCAATTCTGAGGAAGTTTGTTCCAGCCAGTTTCATCTGGATTGAGAAAATTCTGCAGTTGTTCTTGAGGTGCTTGAGGAGTCAGGTGCATGAAGTTTCTTTCATAAAAATAAAACACATGGAAAACAGGGTTCTGGCTTTCTAGACTCCGAAATTGTTGGCAGGCAATGAAAACCACATCAGAAAAAGTCTCTTGGACACTGCTGACTCAGTGAATGGATAGTGTCTGTCACCATACTAAAGCTTAGCTTGCGCAGTGATGTGATGCTATCATGTCAGATATGAACTGTGCATGCACAAGCTGGGAAGCTACAGAGAGCCCTGAGGCTCTGCGCTAGGGATCTAGTCTTGGCCAGAAGCACTGCTAGCTTCCCAGCTGGCCTCTGCATCCAAAGGCCAGGCTGAAATACATGGACCTACAGAAAGCCTCGTCTTTTCTATTTTTAAAATCTCATGGAGGTACCAACCAGATAGGACTTGAATGGAAAATCACCTGATATTACCCGGTTCCATAGGCTTTTGGCATCTCCATTCATCCCAGAATAGCCAGTCAGCTCTCTCTGCTGTGTCCTAGAGCACCAGGAAACGAATAAATAGTCCTAGAGTGAGACACAAAGGATAAAGCCAAGTATCGGAGGTGAGTGGCAAGGCAGGCAGTGGCTCTTCTGCCTCATCCTCTCTGCGTGAGCATATCGGGAGGAGGTCTGGGTGACAGCAACCATTTGGAGTCTCCTCCCTCCTCACTGGAGAGTAGTAAGACCTGAGGTCTGCAATGACCCTACTGTCCTTGCCTTTGTTGGGGGTCACTCAGCAGCCAACCCCCTATGCTCTGGGTTTTTAGTTCAGATTTTGATGATTCCTGGGGGGTGCTATAGAGTTGTCACGTGCCTTGACAGTAAGTGTATGGAAGCTAGGTTTACTCTGGCAGAAAGAGAAGTACAGGGACTCCTTAGGAGCAAAGCCTCTTCAGAAAAGAAGAATTGAGCTCAGTCATCTCCTTCAGAAGTGCTGGCTCGCTGCTGCTTCTACACCTCACCGTACTGGGGGAATCTTTTGTGCGGCCACCCTGGGTCCTGTCTGCCTGGACGCTCACCCTGCAGATAGCTCTCTGCATTCAGCAGGGTCTGGTCCAGGCCCTCTCATGGAGGCCGGAGACCACTCTACTCTTCTCCACACACTGCAGAATTCTGGGGAGGAGAGGAAGGTGGAACACACATTTTCTTCCTGCTTCTCTAGGTTGCTGGGTCATCTCTCTTCTTCTTTTAGCTACAAACTCACAGTCTACCCCCTTCTTCTTCTTTACAAGTCCCTTGGGTCCTCCAAGGACCAAAGTAAAAAAATGTTTTAAAAATGTGCAGGTTCATTCTACTTCCACCCTGCCACGTAGCTTCCCCGAAGTGACACTGCACAGGTTCTTCCATCTGCTTGTGGGGGAGGAAGTTCCATCTGCTTGTGGAAAATAAAAGACAAACAAGGGATACAATTCAATGTTTAAAAAAATAATATTTAGGAAAATCAATCATAAAGATATTGATTATAAAAGCCCACTATTTTGGTATAAATTTGTCAAATAATCAAAAGAAGAGAATCTCATTTCCAAGAGTTTATTCAAGTGAAAGCTGGGAAAACCCCTTCATCTTGGTAAGTGTAGGAGTGGGAGAAATAGCATGCATAAGTCATTATTTATAGACAGCCATCCACTTCTTAGAATATGGTCACTGTATTCATACAGCACTGTTTTTGAGGCCTACTAATAGTGCTTTATTTGTATGTATGTATGCATATATGTGCACAAATATCTATTTCCTATAAAACATATAGTTAATATAGCTATCTTACATAATGATGAAATTGTGTGTAATCACTATAATATATAGAGAAAAATATACACATCTATAAATGTAAATGTATAAAATAAACACAGCTGGAAAATAAGCACACACAAACAAAAAACAGGTGCAAATACACTTATACTAGGGATCATTGGGCCCTCTTGCCAACCTGCAAATACATTTATATGAAATTGTGTGTAAAATTGTGTGTATGCAATTGTGTGTATATGATATAGATACAGAAATATATATGTATATAAATATAAATGTATACAATAAACACATCCATGTCTCATGCATAAAATCTCCAAGTAAAGGTCATCTAAATTTAGTGTATGTTGCAGAACAGTAAATGTTGCAAATAAGATCTTTGAAAATGTCTTCTATGGCTTCTTGTCAGGGGAATATGCCCAGGATGTGATGATCGGGACTTAAAGTATATACATAATTATTTTCACTAAATATGAAGAAAATCACCAACTGTGTCTGCATCCTTGAGATAAAGCATGAACATGTCCACATACATTTCCACTAAATTTGGCATAATGCAAATTTCTAAAATTAATAAATTGATATAAAGCGCCCTTTTTTTTTTTGAGATGGAGTTTCACTTTTGTTGCCCAGGATGGAGTACAATGGTGCAATCTCTGCTCACTGCAACCTCTGCTTCCTGGGTTCAAGTGATTCTCCTGCCTCAGCCTCCCGAGTAGCTGGGATTACAGTTGCCCACCATCAGGTCAAGGTAACTTTTTGTATTTTTAGTAGAGATGGGGTTTCACCATTTTGGCCAGGCTGGTCTTGAACTCCTGACTTCAGGTGGTCCACCCGCCTTGGCCTCCCAAAGTCCTGGGATTACAGGCTTGAGCCATCGCGCCTGGCCTAAAGTGCTCTTTTGTGTCATTTATCTGATCCCTAATTTTTCTGAGTTTCCCTTCACATATTTTTAATCTATTAAAGTTTTTCCTACTTTGAATTACATTCATATGCTTCTCAGTGTTCTGTTGGATTTCACAAGTCTTTTCTTGTTAATGTAAAATAGTTTCTTAAAAAGGAATCACTACTATTATAGAATGAGTGTTCTGTGTGTCTAAAAATCCTAGTTTCTTCCCGATATTTATTCTCTCATTTTTTGTTAGTTACTAGAGCCCCACATATTCAGTTGATAACATCATCATCCATGTAAATACTACACTTCTTAGCCTCCCTTGTGGCACAGTGTGGCCATGGAACTAAAGTTGGGAAAGTGAGATAGAGGCAGAATTGTCTGTGACTTCCAGGGATTTTCCTTACTGGAGGAGTTATTTTGTTTTTTTTGTTTTTTGTTTTTTGTTTTGTTTTGTTTTTTCCTCCTTTTTCATGATTGCAGCTTGGGATGGAGTTGTGTTTCCTGGAGCTCCAGCAGCCATATGTGACTCTGAGTAAGGGAGCTGTGTCCTGGGCAAAGCTGGGGAGCGCAGAGTTCTTATGGCTCATGAAGCAGAGCTGCCACGCCAAACCTGGATGACCGAGCCTCTGTCTGATTTTACATGAGCAAAAAGTATGCTCACTTGTCTAAGGAACTGTTATTTGGGGGATTTTCTGTCACATTCAGTTGAACCTTATTCTGTGTAATAGAGGCTGTACATAGATCTACTCCATAAACACAGATTATAGAGAAGAATCATGAATGACATAGGCAATGTGGCTTTGCCGTCGTGAATCGGTCAAGATTATTTACTCCATTTTCACTTCTGGGTACCTTGAATGTAGTGTATGACACTTGTTTCTTTTTCTCTTATCACAATTTTAGCTCATTTAATGACTGCTGGGCTAACCATGGCACATTCTTCTTCTGCATGTACCGTACATCTAGGTTCATGTCACTGTGTGATATCAGTGTCATTGTGACAGCCGTAAGAGGATACAGGAGCACCAGTACAACAAAGTCACCTGTTGCGGCTGATGTGAGTATTCCTTTAGGTTTAAATGAACAGGAAAATGGACACATTGGCAACAGGGAGCTCAAAAACAGTCTGTCAAATGAGGTCACAGAAACTATATGCAAATTTAATTTAAAATGCTGAGCTCTGTCCTCAGTTGCATGTGCCTCTGCACAACAGGTTTCTATTTGGGAAGGGCAGTGTAGTTCTTCTCACATTTTTTTGCTTTGTTTTCTCCCAGGCTTCATGTGAAATCAGAAGACCCATGAGAGGGCATCTGGAGACTGGCCCTAAAGTGCTTTTCTCCACAGGAATGTCACGTGGGCACTGCAGCCAGGTGTCCCAGTTGCCTCTGAGGAGGGCTGCGTTCCCATCTTCAGTGAGGCAGAGCTGAGAGAAAGCAGGCAGGGTTCAGAGTTCCTTCACCCACTTGCTTAAGCCATACATTAAAGGTTCAAACTCAAATAAATCTGAGATCTTACAGAAGCATTTAGAACCACGTATAAAGTATGGATCACTTTTAAGTATTTGAGAATGCACACAAACCACATGAAGCTACTTTTGTTAAAAGTATATGTTCTTTGCAGTAGTGGTTAGTAGTATTCTTTTGTGAGGTGGCTTTTTTTTATTTTTTCGAGACAGGGTCTTACTGTGTTACCCAGGCAGAAGTGCAGTGGTACGATCATAGCTCATTGCAGCCTCAAACTCCTGGGCTCAAGCAATCCTCCCAAGTAGCTGAGACTGCAAGGACACGCCACCACATCTGACTATTTACGTATTTATTTTTTGTAGCAACAGGGTCTTACATGTTGCCCAGGCTGGTCTGGAACTCCTGGCCTAAAACAACCCTCCTGCCTCAGGCTCCCAAACTGCTGGGATTACAGGGCTGAGCCACGGTGCTCTGCTAGCATTTTGTTGTTGTTTTAAGCAATCACCGTTTGGATTCTTAGTTCTCTTAACTTTTAGGTTTTTAACAGTTCAATACACCTTCAAGTGTTCCTTGGAATATTTTTTTCTGGTTTAACTATTGGTTCAGGCAATGTCTATGGCCCGTTATAACGCTAAGACTCTCTGATCTGTATCCATTTGGTTAGAGAACGTATGAGTAAAGCAAAGGTCATTCAATGACTTCACTCCAATACCTTTTCCGTAATCTCTAGTTCTAAAGTTTGCCTAATGCTTTTGGGTATTTCACTCTAATAACTTTTCCGTAATCTCTAGTTCTAAAGTTGCCTAATGCTTTTGGGAAAAAGGTGCTTTTGAGACAAATACTTCAGAGTCCCTGCTCTGCTAATGCAGAGCCAGTCTTAATTAATAGTGAAAATGACATTGTTTTGCCTTATTCAATAAGATTAACTGAGCAAACATTTATTGAGCAGCAATTCTGGACAAGACGTTAAGAAACATACAAAATGGGTTGGGCGCAGTGGCTCACACCTGTAATCCCAGCACTTTGGGAGGCCGAGGCAGGCAGATCATGAGATCAGGTGATCGAGACCATCCTGGCCAACATGGTGAAACCCCATCTCTACTAAAATACAAAAGATTAGCCGGGTGTAGTAGTGGGTGCCTGTAGTCCCAGCTACTCTGAAGGCTGAGGCAGGGGAATCACTTGAACCCAGGAGGCGGAGATTGCAGTGCTCTGAGATCGCTCCACTGCACTCCAGCCTGGTGACAGAAGGAGATTCATTCTCAAAAAAAAAAAAAAAAGCAAATAAAAAAGAAACATACAAAATGATAATAAATTGTATTGACATTAGGAAGCTTAAGGGAAATATGACATACTAATAAATTACCGTAATTAAGGCATAATATAATAATAAAATAAGAGAATAAAGTGTTTTAATAAACATGTTCTACCACCCACAGTTCCCAATGTGCAGCTTCACTCAGGGGAAGTAAGTTTCTAGGCCAGCCGCTAAGGATGCATTTAGTTTATATTCAGCCTCTCAAAATGCAGTTCTGTAATCAGAATACAAAAACAACCAACAACATCACTAGCCCAAACTTCATTACATTTCAGGTAATACTAAAAGTCATACAATGCTTACAACATAAAACTTTGTCGTGGAGAGTATATTCAATAAACCTTACATGTAAAGCAGTAAGAGCTCTTTGCCTACAAAATATAAAAAGTAATTACAAGTAATACTCTCAATACATCTCAGATGCATTGCTATTGTTCGCTGACTTGCTCAGTTGATCCTCTCTCAGTCAACTTATAGCTCTTCCTTACCACTAAGCGGCAGTAAAGGCTAAATAATGACGCAAATCTACTAATCTACTAATATATAATTAATAATAAAATAATATATAATCTACAAATCTACGTGTTCCCTATCCAAGTGAAGTTTTCCCATTATTTATACTTAATAAATAAATAAATAAATGTGAGATGGGATTTTAAACTTCCACATTAAAAAAAAGAAGAGTGGAGGGAAAAGTGGGGAGGGGAGAAATAAAGACATGTGAATAAAACATTTGCTTTACCATTTATCTTTTAAAATGACATGGAATGCCAATTTCAGGATCACTTAATCTTTAAAAAAAACAAAACAAAACAAAACAAAACTGCAGTCTGAACACCGTCCTTACAAACCTGCCAATCGCTGGTTCACTGTGTTAGGTCTCCCATGTTGCCTATATTGTCACTGAATTACACTTGACCCTTGCATGGGATTACCCTCCACCCTGTGGGTCTTCACTAACTAGGACCCCATCTGCCTGCATGCCATGCTGACCACTTTCCTTGCCATCTGTTAGCTCCTTCTTTAGTATTTGATCTTCAGGCCCCCACTTCCCCTTCTAGCTCTTTCTGGCACTCTGGTTTTCTCTGTTCCTTTAGCCCATCCTATCCCAGATCAGCTCTCAGAAACGAAAATGGGGACTTCAGGAGGGAGAAAAGGAAAGCTGTTATTATAACCCTTCCTATCTCATTTTCCTATACATTTCTCCCTTTCTGTCTTAGTCTCTCTCTCTCTCTCTCTAATACACACTCATACACACACAGAGAGAAATTTACATAGTAAGAGAGATTAGGAAGGTAAATTTCTTGGCAGAGTCAGGAAAAGGTTGAAGAGTTGCTGATATTAAAACAAATTTGAATTAAACTTTTTTAGACTTCATAGGTAGCTCCTCTCAAAAAGGTTAAGTTAAGGAATTTTGTTCAGGGCAGATTACAGAATATATGTAAAATATTTGATACTGTTTTGTTATTATTAAAACTCTAATCATATAATTGTATATAATATTTTTAGAGTAAATAATTATATAGTTTATATTTCTTTCTAATCTAGATATGGATTCTTACTTTAGCTTGGATATTTGTTAATCTTTTCACAATCATTGAGATAAAATCAACTTATATTTTATGTAAATTATAGTCCCTTACTGAATACCATAGAATTGTTATCATAAATCTTAAATAAGAGGTTATATGTTTCATATAACTTTCCAAAAATAAAACCAACAGTGTGCTTTGTTTTCCATTATTATGACTCTGGAAGTTATAAAGCTTTTACTATTGCACATATTGTTACAAATAAACAGTTTGACTGAAAATGCGTGCAGTTTCACCTAAAAATAGAAAACAAAAGCTTTGTTTTAAAAAGCTGTCAAGGAAAATTTGAATAAAAGCGATATTTTCCACAATTCAGATTTAATTAATTTTATATATTGCAATTGATTTAAATAGAATTTTAATTTCAGAACCATTTTAGATTTACAGAAAATGTGTGAAAATAGTATGGTGTTCCTGTAAAGCCCCAAACCCAGTTTTCTCTATTATTAATATCTTACTATGGTATATTTGATATAATTAATGAATCAGTATTGATGAACTATTGATATCTAAAGATCATACTTGTTCGGAATTCCTCAGTTTATTTATTGTCTATTTTCTGTTCCAGGATACAATTTAGAGCATAACATTACATTTAGGCATTAGGAGAGAGACTCGAAGTCACATTGTGCTGCTGGTCCATTTAAAACTTCCTGTTTGAAGATGCGTAACAAATTATATTTTCAAGTTTTAAAAGTCACATTTTTAACTTACAAAATGTTTAGAGTGCACATGAGTATGTGAAACACACTTTCATGATTAAAATACTAAATTTTGGAATATATAAGTTTTAATTACTAGAAAATGTTTTCAACTGTGGGTGTATTTAGTTTATTTAAGTGTTTTTATGAAAGCATTTTGGAAGTCTCCACCCATGAATTGGTGTCTCTTAACTTCTACCTGTATTTCTAAGTGTCAATTATATATATTTTACTGTTTTTCTATTTAATGCATAAAGTTATTTTTGAGTGCGGTATATATCTTTTAATAATATAAAAGGCATAACTCTGTTCTTTTTACCTATTAAATGGATAAACTTTTATTTACGCGTGTCCCAATATCACTGATTCAATTTTTGCAATGTGAACTCTGCTTTCTACTCCAATAAACAAGTCATTTAATTAGAGTCTTGTTTGTTTCATTTCCTTAGCGTTTTCATTTTTGTGTGTACTTCTGCACCATCCGTTCTCTTTCCTAACAGATTTAAGTAGTATTGATTGACAGCCTACTCTGTGCCAGTCTTTCCTCCATGGGACTAGCTTCTAAGTCAACACTTCCAGAGGCTCTGGTTCAAGTGCCCACAGGCGGGTCAGCTGGCTCCTCTCTTTCCATGGGCACACCCATCAGTCAGGTCCCTTTGTAGCTCTTTCCATTGGCTTCTCATATTTTTCATCCCTCTTGTCAACAGAGTCAGTGTTTTCTTGATTTTTTTTAAATAAAAAGCTCATGCTTTTTGAAATTTAATTATATTTCTTGGACTGATATTTTCCTGTTTATTTTATACTAAAAACATGTTTTTCTTCTGAATTATTCCTTTCCATTAATGCTGTAGGGTGTTTTTAAACGTTCAAAAGTTGTTTTAGATTGTGTTGTTTTAATTAATTTTATTCTGTTCCTCATCTTTTAAATAAATTAGACCAGGCGTTTTGCTAATAACACTGCATGGATAAATTCTCCTTGGCCCCAGTTACCGTTCACCTGATTGCTGTTTCAATTTTCACTTCAGACCTTAAACTGAAGAGTGGAATGATTGTCACAGTCTCTAGCCATATTCTAGTGATTGCCATTTGTTTTATAAAGTTCTGAAAGAGATAAAAATATGTATGATGCTCTTTCCTAGTTATATGAATATATGTAAGAGAGTTTAGTCATAAATTATTTGATGCATACACTAACATAAATTTTTGAAAAACAGAGGAAAAAAGCATAACCAATTCCCAAGGAGCATGACTCTCTTAAGTTCTTTCTTACCCATTCCTTTTGACTTTAGTATTCAAAAGTCAATATTTTAGGACACCTTGCTAATCTACTTCTATCCCCGATGGTTTTGCAATAATGAATAAGTAGGTTTCCACATAAATGAGGACAATGTTTCACTAATGGACTGTGAAGGAATGCAGGGAAAGAAACAGACAAATAGACATGGGTAGGCGGGAGTCACCGGGACAGCTTCTTCTGAATAGTGAAGGCGCAGGTCTGAGGTAGGGAGTATGCCGTTGGGTAGACAGAAACCTTTTATCCCTCTTCTAACTAGCCCCAGTATTTTGTCATTGACTCCATCTCCACGTTGGTAATGGGAAATTCTCATAGTTTCTGACAGAAATAGCTTCTTTGTATACAGCCTTTAAGAGAAACGCTTATATTGTTGAACATTAATTTCTTTAATAAATGAGGAGGTATGCATGATTTGATTATGTGAGGAAAACCATATCATCAAAACAATTGCACTTTTGTAATTAAATTTTGGGAATTATACACTAAATTATTGTGCATTTCTAAATCAAAACATACTAAGGAATCTTCTGTGTTAGAGAGCATTATCACCACTACTCCCACCACTACAGCCAGCATAATCATATATTTTCTTATTGGTGTATATTTTGTACCAGGAAAGTGGTAAACATGTTACATTCATATATTCATTTACTTATGTTAAAACGTTATCACATAGGTATCATTATTATCCCCACTTGACAGACAAGGCAAATGAGTGAAAAAGTTACTAACTAAATTGATAAGGGTCACAGAACTAGTTAGATCCAATAGGTGATTTGTGCTCTTAAATACCAAGGTAGAGCAGAAACTTAGAAATTACTTTTAAGGACTGGACATTTCTGTGTTAGACATTCTCAAACCACCAGAGAGAACAGTTAAGATGTTTATTTGAGGAGATTTCTAAATAGCATCCATGCTATTAATAGACTACCTGTGCCTATTCTACTCCACAAGTATTCTAGAACCTGTGAGAATTTTTAAAGTATCCCCAGGTGATTGTTCTTAATCCTTACTCCTCCCTAGTTAAAAGTCCTAAAAAATAAGGATAACTGAGAAATAGAATAATGCTTCTCATACTTAAATGTATATGGCAATCAGCTAAGAATTTTGGTAAAATGCAGATTCTAACTCAGCAAGTTTGGGATAGAGCCTGAGATTCTGCATACCTAGCAAACTTCCAAGCAATGTTGATACTGCTTGTCCGTGGACCACTCTGAGTAGCAAGGGTCTAGATTATTTGGAACTTGCTGCTAACCGGCCCAGTTACCCAAATATCATCAACGTAATGGACCAAAATGATATTTGGCAAAAATATTCAGATTATTATTTTGAATGTTATATTCATCTGACTTATCTAGTCATATAATTGTTCTTATAGCATTTTAATAGATACATTTTTAAAATCTGAACCATATTATCTTGATCTTCTTGTATGCTTTTTCTCACTTAAATTTATTTTCTATGATAATTTTATTTGATCTGTTTGTCTGTCTTAGATCTAGATAGAGAATGGTCTTAAGAGGATGAATATAAATGATAATTGGTATTTCATTCATTGAAATGTAACAATTTTTTGACGTTGAGAATACAAAATGTCGATATGTGAATGCATATACATTAGGAGGGCTGTTTTGACTGCTATCGTTGTCCTCCTAAAAGCTGGACAACGGCTTTGGATTGTCTACATTCTCTGGACAATAAATGGATTGTCTACATTCTCTGGAAATTCACATTGCATGAGAAGAGAACTAGTCTTCTAAATTTGAAGAACAGCCTTAAAGCTCAGTTTTCAAGTATGCACAAAGATACTGCTATGGTTTAAATGTGTCCTCCAAAAAGCATGTGTTGGAAACTTAATCCCCACTGCAATAGTGTTAAAAGGTAGAACAGTTAAGAAGTGACTAAGTCATGAGGATGCCAGCCTCATGAATGGATTAAGGCTGTTATTGCAGAAGTGGGTTCCTTATCATGGGAGTAGTTTATAAAAGGATGAGTTTGGCTTCCTCTTATTCTCTCTTATACTCTTTGCCTTTTGGCTTTTCACCATGAGATGACACAGCAAGAAGGCCCCATCAGATGCGAGCTTCCCAATCTTGGACCTGTCGGCCACCAGAACTGTAGGAAATACATTTCTCTTTACTATTAATTATGCAGTCTATGATATTCTGTTAAAGCCACACAAAATGGACAAGACAGATATTGTGAAGGATATTGATGAACAATATTTTTTCTATGACCAAGAACAATGATATACATTTAATTTTGCAGATAATCAGGTGATTAAGACTTATTTCAGCTTCTTCAAGCATCTGCAGAACTGGTAAAGCCCAGTGCTGGTTCTACCAGCACTGCTGTGTCCTGCAGGGCTCTTTGCTAGAAGCAACAAGGCCCTAATCATACTCTTTTCTTGTCTGGATTTTGACTTTCCTCCAATGGTATGCCTCAGTTTCTGTCTATGTTCCTTATTTTAGAGATGGCTCCTGCTGAGTTGCTCAGGCTGTTCTCAAACTCCTGAGCTCCAGCAATTCTCCCACCTCAGCTTCCTGAGTAGCTGAGATGACAGGCACAAGTCACTGCACCCAGCTGCTGCCTATATTTTTAAACCTGGTTCCTCAACCTTCCAGCCAAATCTGGGAACTCCATGACATTCATCCAATAAATTAGGTGTCTGTTTAAAACAACTGGATTTTCTTTCTGTTGTTTGCCCTGATTAATAGACAGCTTTGATCTGCTTCAGCTCAGTCATTTGGGCTTCTGTTTCTTATAACCGAAGAGCTTTGATTTAGGCTCTTTTCAAATAAAAAAACCACAATAAATGGAAAGCCAGACACTTCTATCACATTGTTTTTCAAGTTGAAAAGAGATTATACAGTAGTAATTCTTCATCATTTTGGGATCACTAAAAGTAAAAATCATTGTTGGAGATTACTGTACCCACACTCCAGAAAGATGTGCATCTATATATACACAAATAAATTTGCTTATAATATTCGGGAGTTCTGAGACAGAACAATGGAGTCAGGTAAAATGTTATAAAATACACTTAATTTTTTTCAAAGAAAAGAATATAGAATTTATTTTAGAATTTATATTTTCCAGCTGGCCGCAGTAGCTCACACCTGTAATCCCAGCACTTTGGGAGGCCGAGGAGGGCAGATCACGAGGTCAGGAGATCGAGACCATCTTGGCTAACACGGTGAAACCCCGTCTCTACTAAAAATACAAAAAAAAAAAAATTAGCCGGGCGTGGTGGTGGACGCCTGTAGTCCCAACTACTCTGGAGGCTGAGGCAGGAGAATGGTGTGAACCCGGGAGGCGGAGCTTGCAGTGAGCCTACATCGCGCCACTGCACTCCAGCCTGGACGACAGAGCGAGACTCCGCCTCAAAAAAAAAGAAACATTTTATTTTCCAATCTCTTGTCCAAAAATAGATATTGTGTACAGTCTCATTCTTGCCTGTTACAAATAGCTCATTCTGACTTTGGTTTACTAATGTCACTAATGTCTTTGACAATGGTCTCTGGATTGTTTGTTTGTTTTGTTTTGTTCTGTTTGAGACAGAGTCTCGCTCTGTCACCCAGGCTGGAATGCAGTGGCACGATCTCGGCTCACTTGCAAGCTCCGCCTCCGGAGTTCACGCCATTCTCCTGCCTCAGCCTCCTGAGTAGCTGGGACTACAGGTGCCCACCATCATGCCTGGCTAATTTTTTTGTATTTTTAGTACAGAAGGGGTTTCACCGCGTTAGCCAGGATAGTCTCGATCTCCTGACCTCATGATCTGCGCTCCTAGGCCTCCCAAAGTGCTGGGCTTACAGGCGAGAGCCACCATGCCCGGCCTCTGGCCCCTGGGTTTTTAATCCATGTTCACACTTCTCATTCTAGGATGGAAGTCCTAATTTAAAGTCAATGACATGGTAAACCCATTAAGTATTCTTATTAGCTTCCTTTCAAGGGATCCTAGATTATGCAGTGTAGGATTTATGTAATGCAAGACCTAGCTGCGAAATAATTGGGGATCAGTAAGTATTGGAGGCAGGAGGAGCCACAAATGATATTCTGAAACATCATGTCCAATTCCATAATAAACCTCTGCTTCATGTGCAAACTGACAAGCAATCCACCTAATGTTACCAGGTTTAACCTTTTCTTTTCACACTGAATTCTGTTTCACTTTTTCACATTTACTCTTTTGATTATTTTCCAGAAAAGCAAAAAAGTAGTCTTAAAAAAGAAAACTGAAAAGCCAATTGAAAAACAATCCGTTTTTAAAATAATTGATTTTAATGCTTCCCCATCAGCAACAACTGATTCCAATTTAATGCACAATATCTTCTTTAATTGTAATAAAAGGCTTATTAGAGGCTCTCGATTTACAGAAGGATTTATCCAATTTCAGCTGAAGCTGCCCATTCCTTTTTAGATGCTTTCCAAGGCAGATTGTCTGCAGTTAGTATGCGGCTCAGTGACCCTCTGTTGTCTCGGCTCCACACTGTGGTTTGGTGCCACAGGTGCATTTAGCCAAAATATGGGGAAAAGTGCAAAGGAGGAGGAGGGAGCACACAGAGAAAAAAGAGAGGGAGATGCCAGAAAGACAAAGACTGCAAAGAAACAAAAGCAATAAAAATGCACAGAAATCAGATATTTTGCACACTAGATCTTGACTTCTGCCTATCTTTCCTATTTGTCAAGGTCAGTTAAATAACCTAAGGTTATTTATTTGAGAACTTTAGTAAGATAGTGTGTGACAGGTGTGAAGGACATGACCATCCCTCAATAGCACATGGCAGGCAGGTGTGCAGTGCCGGATGGCAAGTGAGGAGGAAGCTGTGCTGACTTTTACTTACTATTTTCACCCTTTTCTTCTTCCTTTTCATCAAATATTTGTTGATTGGCTCCTGTGTTCTATTTGGCCAGTTCTATTTGGCCTCTAAGGTGTGCTGTTCATTGGATGATATTTATTAATATTTAGAGGGAAAAGTGGTCAGAACACCTTGCAGGGCAATGCAAATGCACCTACTCTTACGGACGTACTAAGAAGCACTAAGTGAAAGGAAAGGCCAAATGAAGAAGTGAAACACACGTTTGCTAGGGATCTGGTAGTACTTGGTTCTGGTTTCAGCTTTGTTGTGTATTAACTGTTTAATCATCGACAAAATCACTGACATCCAAACCTCTGTTCTTCACCCATGTGAGATCTTGTTGGAGCTGTGTTCAGGGTTACATAAAGCTGTGAATGAAAACGGCAGAGAAGAGAACCCAAACAGATAAACATAACAGCATCCCAGGGACACAAACAGCTAAAACAGGCAGTGATTACAACCAAAGTATTTATATGAAAGAACAGGTTCAAAGATGACATATCAGGACAGATTTCCATCACTGCAGACCAGTGATAGAAGGCTCCAGACTGGTTTAACGTAGGACATGAACCCATGTTTTGTCATCTGTGTCTCCTGAGCCATTGGAAAAAAGCTACAAGAAATTTTTGTGTTTATTGAGACATGAACAATGCATTGGGAGGACTTGTAAGAAAAACGAAGTCACTTTGGAAAAACTGATTTACTGTACTTTACTTTCCTTAAATACGAATTAAACCAGAGAGGCCATGCCAGCTACAAATTTACTAAGCCATACCAAATTCTTAAGGCAAATTGATAGTTTCATAGTCCTACAAACGGATCCTTGCCCAGAGGAAATAGTTTATTCCTTAGAAGCTTCACCATAGCCAAATGCACAGATTGAAAACTATTTGGTATGTGTACACCAAGTGCCGTTTAAAAGGAAGTCAATTTAGCAACAAGTAATATTTAAATACCAATTTTTGGAAATAGAAGAATAAACACATTTGTTTATCAATCTTAAACTTTCAGTTTAAGTGATATATTGTACTTTTTTTTTTTTTTTGAGACTGAATATCACTCTGTCTCCCAGGCTGGAGTGCAGTGGTGCGATCATAGGTCACTGCAGCTTCAACCTCTGGGCCTCAAGCTGTCCTCCCATCTCAGCCGCCCAAGTAGCTGGAACTACAGGCACGTGCCACCTGTAGAGACAAGGTCTCACTATATTGCCCTGGTTGGTCTATTGTACTTTTTCAAGGAAAGAAATGGGAAAATAATTTCCTAGTCTAAAACCTAACTTTAAAAAATGTAAAATATAAGACACATAGAAGAGACATGCAGTGTATATGTGGAGTTTACAAAAATAACATAAAATGTTGTTGTTTTTTTTTGAGACAGTTTCACTCTTGTTGTGCATGCTGGAGTACTATGATGCCATCTCAGATCACTGCCACCTCTGCCTCCCGGTTCAAGCAATTCTCCTGCCTCAGACTCCCGAGTAGCTGGGATTACAGGCGCCTGCCACCATGCCTGGCTAATTTTTTGTATTTTTAGTAGAGATGGCATTTCACCATGTTGGCCAGACTGGTCTCGAACTCCTGACCTCAGGTGATCCACCCGCCTCAGCCTCCCAAAGTGCTGGGATTACAGGCATGAGCCACCATGTCAGGCCAATAAAGTGTTACTGAGGCTGTATCAACCATGTGATGCAGTTGATTTGAGAAAATGTTTGGGGCCCCAGTACTCCCCTTTCAAATTGCATTGCTCTGCCTCCTCATCCCCACTAGAGGTAACTATCATCTAGAACTCAGTCTGAATAATAAACACACATGCGATGAGATTTAAAGTCACTTATCCATATATAATCGTATGACATAGGTGCATGTACCACCCTTCTTTAGATAAGGACACTGTGGCATAGAGATATTGGACAACTGACCAAGGTCAAGTAAGTCACGCAGTTAATTAGTGGTAGAGCTGGAAGCAGAGCAGTTTAATTCCCGAGTCTGCACTTAAAATCTCCATGTTTTCTTGCCGCTATAATCATTCACCATTCGTCAGTCACTTTCTCTTTTATATAGTTTTAACACATATAAATGTATTCCAAGGCTGGGCGCAGTGGCTCACGCCTGTAATCTCAGCACTTTGGGAGGTTGAGGCGGGCGGATCACCTGAGGTCAGGAGTTTGATACTAGCCTGGCCAACCTGATGAAACCCTGTCTCTATTAAAAATACAAAAATTAGCCGGGTATGGTGGCCCACGCCTGTAATCCCAGCTACTCGGGAGGCTGAGGTAGGAGAATCGCCTGAACCCAGGAGGCGGAGGTTGCAGTGACCCGAGATCCTGCCATTGCACATGGCTCACACCTATAATCCCAGCACTTTGGGAGGCCGTGGCGGGTGGATCACCTGAGGTCAGGAATTCAAGACCAGCCTGGCCAACATGGTGAAACCCCGTCTATACTAAAAATACAAAAATTAGCCGTGTGTAGTGGCACGTGCCAATAATCCCAGCTACTTGGGAGGCTGAGGTAGGAGAATCACTTGAACCCAGGAGGTGGAGGTTGTAGTGAGCCGAGATGGTTCCATTGCACTCCAGACTGGGCAACAAGAGCCAGACGCCATCCCAAACAAAAACGAACAAACAAAACAATAACAGAAACAAAAAAAGAAAATGTATTCCCAAACAAAATATTGTTTATTCTGGCCTATCTTTTATATTATGCAGATAGAGTCATGTTTAATGATTTTCTCTGTGACTTATTTTTATTCGTCAGTTTTTTTTTTCTGAGATTCATCAACTAGTTACTTGAAGCTCTAGCTCTTTAATTTTATTGCCAACTCTGATTCCATTGTATGAATAGTCTATTTTTTTCTATGTCCATTCTTTTGTTGATGTAGATTTTGAGCTGATTATAGTAATATTCTATTATGGACAATGCTGCCATACACATCCTTTTGTTTGAACATCACATAAGTTTATTTCAGGTATAAACACTGTTAAAATTGACAAGTTCAATTCTTTTTTTTTTTTTTTGAGACGGAGTCTCGCTCTGTCACCCAGGCTAGAGTGCAATGGCGCAATCTCGGCTCACTGCAACCTCCGCCTCCCGGGTTCACGCCATTCTCCTGCCTCAGCCTCCCGAGTACCTGGGACTACAGGTGCCTGCCACCACGCCCAGCTAATTTTTTGTATTTTTAGTAGAGGCGGGGTTTCACCATGTTAGCCAGGATGGTCTCGATCTCCTGACCTCGTGATCCGCTCACCTCAGCCTCCCAAAATGCTGGGATTATAGGCGTGAGCCACCGCGCCCGGCCGACAAGTTGAATTCTTAACTGTACCAAGTAAACAAAAGTTTAAGTGTTTTTTAAAGTTATTCCCTTCAAAAAACGGAGGGAGCTTTTCTTTTCCACTACCACACACCATGGTCCAATCATTCTCCTATTGGAGGACTTTTAAATTGATGAGTAAACTACTTTGGAGACATTTCAGAACTTCATTCCCCGAATGAAAACTAATCTGAACGAACTATATATTGCATAGATATCTCTACAGATTATTTTTTTAGAACCTAAATGCAATTTCCATAGAGTGTTACTTTAACCTATTTGCCATGCAGGAAAAAAACTATCTTTCTTGAAAAATATGATGAATATATCTTGTGATTTTCCAGTTAAAAAATTGTTTTACCTCAAAGATGTTAATCATCATATATCAAAATAACCAACTCAACATGGGACATTACTTCAGTCTTTACTGACTCACAGGCACATGAGCTTGTGTCCAGCTTATATGAACTCTTTCCCTCTTCCATACATAAATGGACCTATTTAATACAAGTTTGATGAAGGACAATTAACTATTTTTAAACACTTAAAATTTAGATTAAGTCATTAACTAATGTGCAAAGAGAAATTCTATAATGGTAAGAAGCCTACACATTCGATTCAACAATTTAATTTTTTTCCTCCTTAAATAACGTACTTAATTGCCATAAGGCAGTGAATTGGTTTTCATAGAAGCTGGGCACATGTAGGAATACACTCATAGGACTGATTAGATATTCCAGGTGAAATGGCTATAGAAACTGAGGCATATCATCTCAGAAAATGCATTTATATATCAAAATTTATTTCGATATCTGGAAAGTTTACAAAAAGGCTGCATACTTCAAACTAATTCTGCCTTCTTCTCTTGGCAAGAGTAAGCTGAAACTTACCCATGAAGGTGAAAGTGCTCAATGCTGAGCTTTTCTTCTAAGCTTAGGTTTGGACTGCTTAAGAAACTGATACCCAGAAAGCCATCAAGGTCTTTCTACATTTTTACCATCTTTGGATTAGGACTCTTTCAATTCATTTGTCAACTATTTTCTCTTTCTGAATTATTCCTGGCACTCAAGACTGTTGAAGTCTACTGCACCTTGTACTTTTACATGGCCAAATGAAAACTTAAGGTTATAAAGTGTGCATAAACATTTTATAAAGTAATTTTGTCATTTAATATATTCGGAGGTGAGATTTTTATACATAAATTTTATATAAGAGGATAATTATTATCAACAAACATTTCCTTCTAAAGTCAAATGACAGAAAACTGAAGCCTTGTGCATTGTTTTAAAGTCTGAGAACATTTCTAAATATTAGAGAAGGGACTAAGAGAGGAAAACATAAATATTTTAGATGTCTCCCATCTTAAAAAAAAAAGCTACCAATCTGTCAAAGCTATTCCCTGTGTGCCAGAAAAATGACCTGGCATAAACCAGTCCTGTCAGTGGAGGAGGTCACAGTGACACTGATATTATTAACACTTTATATTTCTAGTTTTCCAGGAATAGAAGGGATATGTTTCACAAGTCCCTTTTCCCAAAATCCTTCAACTCAATATTGAAGGCAGAGAATAAGCAAACCTGGGATGCTTTCCAAAAGATAAGCAATAGCACAGCCATGTTATTCTAAAAAATACTCTAGATATTCTTTCCTATAAAATCAAATGTTCAGTGGCCACACCTTCAATGGCTTGCATTAGTTGACATTAAATGCATTTGTTGTGCCACAAGTCAATCTAAGCTACCTTTTAGGTATTTTTAATACATCCAAGAGAAAACACCTGCTTTGGTTTTATTTAAAGATAATGACCTATAAGGACATCAACTCCATTTTTAAGGTTAGACTATTGCCAGGTTTACTGAAGAAATAGAACAGGAGGAAAAAATTAAATCACAACAAACTTCTTTGGGTCAGTTAAAGGCCTCATTAATATCCCAGTTAAAGGAAACTCCTCACTTCTCCAGTAAGTAATGTATACATGTATACAATACACATGAATGTATATATTACCATATGCTGTCTAGTTTCTTATAAATGACCCATGAGTTTGTGGATAGGCTGTGTGCATTTTATGTGTTTATTACATATGCCTATGTTTTTAAAGAAAAATGAGAGCTGGAGAGAAAAGTAGTAAAAACAGATTTTAATCAAGGACTGTCAAAACAGGGAAAAAGAGGCCTCAGTATAGAACTGGGCTCATTTCCTAATACAACGTGGGTAAGTAGGGATTTATAGCCAAGAAGCCAAGTTGGTGGTCAGTGGATGATGGAAAATTACTGAAATAAGACAGCGAGGTGAAGGATTTCTGGCTAAATGGACTTGACGGGATTCTTGCTGAATGCAAGCTGGGGTGATCAGATAATCACTTGGGGGATGGTGGAAAATAAGGACTTGGATCAGATCTCAAGGGTGGGAGATTCTGGCTAAACCAACTTGGCGGGAGTCTTACTAAAACTGGGCGCTGGAGAACACACCAAGGATGAGGCCTAGTCAAAAATGAGCTCAGAGGAGCCTGTCTAGAGTTTGGTTAGGGACAGCCTCTTTGTCGATGTATGTATACATACACAGATACACAAATAGATGCACATATATAAATAAAATTAGTTTATTCCAGTTGATATTTTTATTTAAAGTTGCATTGCTTTTTGAGTACCACAAATTTACCAGCTTAAAACAACACCAATATATTATCTCACAGTTCCCTGGGTCAGGAATCTGGGCACAGGTTGGCTTGGCCCTCTGCTCAGGGTGGCATCTCATTTCAGAATTGGGGTCATCTTTCAAGCCACTTAACTAGGTAAGTGGAGGCTCCTGATGAAATGTCCTACAGGGGCATGGATTAGGAGAAACCCCGTGAGCTTTAAACCCTGGGAGTCATGGCTAGATTAATTCCTAAAGAGCATACTTAAAGGGTGGAAGAGGCTCTCTCAAAAAAGGCTTTGGGACAAATACCAAAAAAGGCACTCTTTTTTGTTGCCAATAACAAAGACATGTCATCTGCCCCATCAGTACCTTGAAATAATGCAAGATAAGAACCTCCTTTCATCTAAGTCCTAAAAAATGTCATAACTTGCATGTCCTGCACAGTCTTGGTTTATAGCTGTTGAACCACTTCCTGTCCATTTAGCATGAATATTGATGTTTTCTCACTTAAAATAAACTATAATATTTAACTGCTGCCTTAAAATGCACTGGGGTGGATTTGGATACTGCCCCTTCTCACTTCTGGCTTCTGCCCCTCTTTTCCAAACAGACCTAGCATCTCAGTGTCACTGGCCTCATGTAGGGTGCCTGTGGCTGTAATGAGGTTGTGTGCTGACACCAATGCCTGGGATAGCAGAATCCTTCAACGCTTGGGTGGACGTGGGAAAGTCAGCTGCCGTCCCTGATGCTCCCATAGCTGAACATCAGCTCACCTCGGCTGTTGGTGCCATGGTCATTGCTAGGGCCTGGGAGATGCACAAGGCCAGGTGGACTGCTCAGAGGGACACCTGGGAAACTACAGGTTAAGTGCAAGAAAACAAATGCAGGCAAAGAAGACCTCGCTATAGTGACTCTGTGTAGAAAAAATCTGTAATTATTTATTTTATTGTTTGTAACATTTTTTGCAATAATCCTTGCAGTAGAAATGCAAAAAGTACATTTTGGTTTGAAAATAGACACATAACTGGATTTCCATTCTCAAGAAACCAGATGATAAATATATAACCTACATAAAATGTTTATAGCCTCATCAACTATGGGTCTATAGTGATATCACTGACCATATAAACACAGAAGACACATGTCTCCTAAAAAAGTATTATCATAAACTTGAACATTTGATAGTTATTTTAAGGAACCTATGCCTATAAACAATGTAAAACATGAAGATATGAAAAGTACATTTACCTATTACACTGCAAAAAATGTTTTACATTTATTTAGATTGACTGTTTCTCTAAATTAATTTTGTTCATTTTAGATTGTAAATTCTTTGCATATAAAAAATTAAGTGATAGCTGTAAGAGGTTGTCTGGGGTACCACAAAGAGAATTGTTCACACTGTTAAATAATGTCACTGCCATACTGGTGTCAGCAGATGCTTCAAATAAAAGAGCAGTTAATTCTAATAATAGATTACTTTTAATCCTTTTTATGGAATCAAAGTTTAGCTTTTCATCCTGTAAATGGTGAAACTCCTGACATTATTTTGGATGCCACTGTAAATTTAGTTTCCAAAAGTATCATGGTAAAAAACAGGCCAGGCGCAGTGGCTCACGCCTGTAATCCCAGCACTTTGGGAGGCCAAGGCGGGCGGATCACAAGGTCATGAGTTTGAGACCAGCCACGACAACATGGTGAAACCCCATCTCTACTAAAAAAATACAAAATTTAGCCAGGCTTGGTGGCGTGGGCCTGTAATCCCAGCTACTCAGAAGGCTGAGGCAGGAGAATCATTTGAACCTGGGAAGTGGAGGTTGCAGTGAGCCAAGATCGTGCCACTGCACTGCAGCCTGGGAGACAGAACAAGACTTCGTCTCAAAAAAAAAAACAAAAACAAAACACTTTTTTTTTTTAAATCAATCAAAAGAAACCCAGGGAGCAGAAGTGTTCATGGTATAAAACGGCTCATCATGGTGTTCAAAGAACTGGTGATATTCTAATGAAGATGGAACCTTTAATTGTCAAAGTTAAAAATATTTCTTGTATAAGCACTTGATGTACATTACTTTTTACGTGAATGTCTTATATTCTGTAAGGAAATGGAACGGACTTGAGAAGCCCTATGATTCTGAAGCATCTTAATTTAGTTTAGGAAAATTACAAAGTTGTATGAAACATACAACTTACTTGACAGATTTACTTGGAAGATATTTGAAGAAAAGTCGCTGAATGGAGGTAAAAATACAACACTTGTGAATGTATTTGCTCTTTTTGTGAACATATTTGTCATTATTACACATTTCAATACAATTGGGTATAATCTTCCTTTAGGATAATTTGCTCTGAACATACGGAACAATTCAGCCTTTATTTCGAGGGGAAAAAGGAATATTTTTTCAATTAAAAATTGATAATGTAGAAATAAGGGTATGTGGAAAGTATCTAGTTACAAATTTAGGAGCCATAAGATGTAACTTTGAAGGAGCTTACAGAAAGTTGTATTTAAAACAAATTTTAAAATATCATGCTGAGAAAAAATATATTTTTCAGAAAAATGCTTGTGATGTAAATATATATAATATCCATACATAGATTATGTATAATTCTTCTGTTATTTATTTATTTATTTATTTATTTATTTATTTATTTATTTATTTATTTTGAGACAGAGTATCGCTCTGTCGCCCAGGCTGGAGTGCAGTGGCGCAATCTCTGCTCACGGCAAGCTCTGCCTTCTGGGTTCACACCATTCTCCTGCCTCAGCCTCCTGAGTAGCCGGGACTACAGGCGCCCACCATCACTTCCGGCTAATTTTTTTGTATTTTTAGTAGAGATGGGGTTTCACCATGTTAGCCAAGATGGTCTCGATCTCCTTATCTCGTGATCCACATGCCTCGACCTCCCAAAGTGCTGGGATTACAGGCGTAAGCCACCATGCCTAGCCCTATTCTGTTTGTTATTTCTAATGCTCAAATAAAATAATGGCTGTTTGAAGTTTTTGCTTTTATATACGTATAGCTTATTTTTATGAATAATTTTATTTCTGAAAAGTTTTTGAATATATAATATTCAATATAACTAATGTCAGTCTGACAGTCATTTAATAATTATTTTATAAAATACACAATTTTAATTAATGTTTTTTTCACCCTCAAGTGACCCAGGCCAGACCCTACGTTAGGAGGTCCCCTCTCATCATGAATATGGTCTTCCTGAATGCTTTCATATGCTTTCACATGTACCGTGTGCTTTCGTTATCTATTCCCGTGAAACAAATCATCAATAAATGCTGTTTAATACGCCTTTATATGATATATCTGAAAGTTACCATTTATGTAAAGAAAGGGAAGTCTGCTGATGGAATAGACAGAAACTACATTGGAGTTGAGAAGTCCATGTTCCGCCGGGCGCGGTGGTTCATGCCTGTAATCCCAGCACTTTGGAAGGCCAAGGCGGGCAGATCACGAGGTCAGGAGATGGAGACGACCCTGGCGAACATGGTGAAACGCTATCTCTACTAAAAATACAAAAAAGAAAAAAAAAATTATCTGGGCGTGATGGCGGGCCCCTGTAGTCCCAGCTACTCGGGAAGCTGAGGCAGAAGAATCGCTTGAACCCTGAAGGCGGAGCTTGCAGTGAGCCGAGATAGCGTCACTGCACTCCAGCCTGGGCAACAGAGCGAGACTCCGTCTCAAAAAAAAAAAAAAATAAGTCCACGTTCTAGAAGCAATAACACTAAACTGTGTTATTTGCAGTTTAACACAATCAGCTTTCTAAGCCTCGCTTTTCTCATTAATGAAACATTAGTTTATACTTAATGACACTGGAAACTTCTGTGAGTTGTATTGTTCTAATTATAAGCAAGTAACTTACATGATCTATTCATTTGGAGAAACTGTGATTCGTTCATTGCTCTAATGAGCCTGTGGTCTGTGGTCTCTTTGCTTTCTGCAACTACTCAATTTATTTTTTCTTTTTGAGACAAAGTCTCACTCTGTTGCCCAGTCTGGAGTGCAGTGGCACGATTTCAGCTCACTGCAACTCCCGCCTCCCGGGTTCAAGCAATTCTTGCACCTCAGCCTCCAGAGTAGCTAGGATTACAGGCGTGCACCACCACACCCAGCTATTTTTTTTTATTTTTAGTAGAGAGGAGGTTTCACCATGTTGGTCAGGCTGGTCTCAAACTCCTGACCTCAGGTGATCCACCCACCTCGACCTCCCAAAGTGCTGGAATTACAGGCCTGAGCCACCGCGCCCAGCCTCAATATTTTAAAATATAACTCAAATTCACATTTTTATTGGAATACAGCACCCATTGTTAAAGGTGGGTGTTGGGCTTCGGATTGGGGGATGCCTAGACAGGAAAGAGTTTTGAAAAAATGAATATGCAAGTGGAACATGTTCTTCTTTGCCCTGGCCTTGTGGCTGTCTGAGGTATTAATTCCAACTCAAGTATTTGATTCACGTCAGAGTTTATTAGAGACCACTGCCATGTTTCCTGTGAGGACTTCTGATGCAGATTTTTTCATGTAAATTTCTTATGCATGTTGAAACCCAGATTCTGTGTGCAATATGTCAGCAGCCAGGGTGGAAGAACTCAGATGTGTTCCTTAAAAAATAGTGAGGTCTCAGAGCAGGCACAGTGGCTCATGTCTGGAATCCTAGCACTTTAGGAGGCCAAGGTGGGTGCTCTGGATTCGAGACCACCCTGGGCAAGCTTGGTAGATCAAAACCCCATCTCTACTAAAAATACAAAAAACTTGATGGGCACAGTGCCACACACCTGTGGTCCCAGCCACTTGAGAGGCTGAGGTGGGAGGATCACTTGAGCCCGAGGTCGAGGCTGCAGTGAACTATGATCACACCACTGCACTGCAGCCTGAGAGACAGAGTGAGACCCTGTCTTTAAAAAAAAAAAAAAAAAAAAAAAAAAAAAAAAAAAAAAAAAAAGATACTGAGGTTTCAATGTAGAGACAATACTCAAATTATGAATACTGAAATTATAAATGCATCCTTTGTGTGATTGGGAGACAAGACTCTTTGCAACTTAACCCCCTCTCTGTGAAAAACAGTCTCAACAGTATCTGAGATGCACATGATCTCCAGTGATGCCACTTTCCACACTTGAAGGGATTTCCTCGAAGATACATCCTTCTCCCCACTGCACTTGCCATCCACCCACTGGCTTCACTACCACGAGGATCTGACTGTGTGGGCCAGCTCTTGGGCCAGGAATCTTCTTTTGCAACTCTCTCTGCAAGTGATTACAACGTAAGTGGTGAATGGACCGTAATTTGAAAACTGCCACTAATCAAGTGTGGGTTAAGTACCATCCATTACTGTGGGCACTGTTCCAACACTGACACTGAGAACTAGTAATGATTTAAAAGATTCTTAATTTGAAGAGAAAATGTTTTTTCTGTTTAAAATAGCTAATTCAAATACAAAGGTTTATGTTGCAGCGCATTTCTAAGCGGGTGATTGCCTCTAAGCCACCTCTTTGATTCCTCTTTGGAGGGTCATTCACTGACTATACTGTAGTTATTTTAAATTGTATTTTTTATTTTAAAATGAGATAGGCATCTCACTATGTGGCCTGGGCTTCTCTTGAACTCCTGGGCTCAATCAGCCCTTCTGCCTCATATGCTGGAGTAGCTGGGATTATAGGTGCATGCCACCACACACAACTCTGCAATTATTTTTATTTCATTTCATTTCATTTTATTTTGAGACAGGGTTTCACTGCCATTCACCAGGTTAGAGTGCAGTGGCCTGATCCCTGGCTCAGGTAATTTTACCATTCCAGGTGATTCTCCCTCTTCAGCCTCCCAAGTAGATAAACTACAGGAATGCACCACCACACCTGGCTGATTTTTGCACTTTTTGTAGAGACAGGGTTTTGCCATGTTGCCCAGGTTGATCTCAAACTCCAGGGTTCCAGTGATCCTCCCACCTCAACCCCCAAGTACTGGGATTACAAGCATGAGGCACTGCACACAAGCCATCATGCCTTACCTGCAATTATTTTTAAATGGTGTATTTCTGCTCCTTTGGTCACTGACACTTCAGTGAGTCTTTCATTCAAGTGTAATGATGTACGCATTCATCAATGATCATTTCCCTTTAGGCATAAGTTTAAAAGCAGCAAGTGACACAGGGAAGGTGGCAGGAGGGTATGAAAAATACATCGTTTTGCTTTAATTTTTGTTGTTCTTGGTTCAGTTTGTTTTGACTATGATGCGTCAGTATCTAGAGCAATACAATAAAAGAAAACAAGTATATTTTTAAAAAGTGATATATAACTGCATTAGTTCTGCCCTTCTAGTACAGGGAGAAGAATGCAGAACATAGCAGAAAACCTGTGTTCAAATTCTGAGCATAAAATGTAGCGTTGGCTCTGTGACCTGGAGAGAACTATCACCTTCAGGAGTCTAAATGCCCCCTCTGTTTCTAGTGCTTTAATTGTTCCCAAAATATTGAAATAAAATGGTGAAATTTGAGGTAAAAGAAGAGTGTACTTATTTTTTAAAGATGAAATGAACTTCCAGTTGCAGTTAGCATCAGAGAGGGAGAGAATAAAGTGTGTCTTCCAGTGTTGCCCTTGTATAACCAGAAGGTTTCACCGGTCTGAGGATTTCAATACATTCAATTACAAGTAGTAACTTGGACGCTCATTCTCTCCCTCTTAAATGCCATATTTTCCCACTTGGCCTCGATGGTTTGCAGTGTTTATGATCTTTTTATAGGTTGTAAGTATTTGTTCCTCCATTTCTGAGAGGTTAAAAGTGACTTCTGGCACAGGAGCTATCCAAGGACTTACTGTGCTCTTCTAGCTCTCTTCAGGGGGGTGAAGAGAGACCAGGGTGGTAGGAGACTCAAGAGGGTGGAGTGGAAACTATCACATTTTCCCAGTGCAGCTTTAAGTTTATTTGCCAGAAGCTCATAAGGAAAAAAAAGTTTTGTTTTGTTTTGTTTTTTTCTCTGACCCTTTGTAAATATGCATAGTCTTTTTTTGCTTTGCTAATGTCATGGCCTGAGCTAAAATACTGCAATAAACAAGGAACACATGTAAGGACTCCATATTGTCCAGAAGAATAACAACAACCACCTTGGCAAGGATCAACAAATGTGAACTGCAAATCAGGCAAGAGCTAAAACTATGTAGGTCCCCTTTTTAGATATGTAGTTTTACAGGCCCCATTTCGTCTTTAATGTCCTGCTGGGTGTTGTGTTTGGTTATGGCTGGGTTTTTTTTTTTTTTTCATTTCTATTTTTTTGAGACAGGATCTTGCTCTATCACCCAGGCTGGAGTGCAGTGGTGCAATCATACTTCACTGCTGCCTTGAACCCCCTGAACTCGAGGGATCCTCTTAGCCTCCCAAGCAGCTATGACTATAGGTGCATGCCACCACTCCCAATTAATTGTTAATTTTTTTGTAGATACAAGGTCTGTGTTTTTCAGGCTGATCTCCAACCTCAAGTGATCCTCCTCAAGTGGATCCTCCGCCTTGGCCTCCCAAAGTGCTGTGATTACAGATGTGAGTCATCAAAACAAGCCATGGCTATTGTTCTTTAAGGAATGGCACCTGAACTGCAAAACTACTGAGATATATTTTTTTAAAAAAGTTGGAGATATAGCCAGGAGAATGATTAAATGGCTTTAGCATAGAATCTAAGAAATATAGGAAGTGATATACAGGCAGAAAGGCCAAAGGCCTAAAAATACCAATAATGTCAATGAAAAAGGGTCAGTCATAATGAGAGCCAAAAGGAGTGAGATTATGTCAGAAAGTGGAGCGTTTACTTCCATTTCAAAGGTAAATTTACTCCAGTGGAGACGAGGCCCAGGATGTGGCAAGGCAACAGATGACCAATGTGGCATGGAGGTAAAGGTCTGTAGATGAAGAGATTAAGACCTGAGAGGCTGGAGTGCCACATAGAGATCCCAAGTCAGCCATAATGATGGCTGGTGCTGGGGAAATGACATGGGTCATGATTCAAAGAAGAAAATCATTGCCTGAGGAGAGGACATCAGAAGATGAGAAAGAGTAAGAGCTTGCAAGCATGAATATGAGCCTTCATGTCTCTCTGTATCCATGTCTTTGACAATTAAAGCTCTTTAAATCTTCCCATCTAGGAGTCTATTTCCTGTGCCCCTGAATTTGTGTTCATCTCATAATTTGTCTCAGTGGATGTACTTATTATGTGGTGGAAAGGATGGAAGCCAATTTGGAGCCTAGGCTTCAAAAATCTTGAATGTTTCCACTTGCTTTCTTGTATAACCCTCCCAGCCATCATATGAATCAGTCTAGGCTACTCTGCTGGGGAATGACAGATGACATCAAGAAGAAATACATGGTCCCAGCTGTTATTGTCCTAGTCTAGTCACCTCTCAGTTAATCTAAAAGCAATAGTGATTCCAATTGAGACCAGATAACAGCCCAGCTGAGCACAGTCCAAATTGCTGTCCTGGAGAATTATGAGTTGAGCAAATGATTGTTTTTATAAGTCATTAGGTTTAAGGCAGTTTGTCATGCAGCAAAACTAAACAAATACAAAAATGACTATGACGGGAAAGTATAGAAAGTACAATAACTGAATGATATGAGCCTCCAAGAAGCAGTGTCTTTTAAATAAAGACACAGTTTACTCCATTAGGTCTAAAAAGTGGTTGTGATAATTGGAGGGGCACTAAAATATTGGATGTCATTTTTCTCCCCCTTTTATGTGGGACTCTGGGGGACAGTGTATGACAAATAATAATTTATGTGTTATATAGATTTGGGGAACTCCAAACACATGTTCAGTTACACAGTCACTTAAATGAATTTAAAACTAGTTCTTATATTTTTATATGTGATTATTACATCTTATGTCTTTATATGAGTGGTGTTTATAAGAAAAAATAATTTGTATGTTTAAAACCCAGTTCTTATCCCCTTAATCTGAACTGGCCTCTCTTTTTGGAAAAATTATTCCAATTCTGCTTTTCCTGCTAGGTTGAACTTCATGCTCATCTGATCCTATATTAGATTGCCTAGCTATTTCATTTTTTATTGATTACCTTATTCTATTACTAATGTTCAAAGTATCTGGTATCTGATAATACCATCAGATATGTTCTTCTCATATGTCATTGAGGATAAACATTTGTAACATAGTCTCAAACTCAGCCTTTATAAATTTTGACACCCTTTTTTTGTATTTACTGACCCTCTGACTTTGAGCCTCTGTGTAAAGAAATTCCAAATTTGCCATTCCTCTAATTAATTGTTCTTTTGATTCTGGCCACCCATACAGTGATCCTCTCTTCCATTGCAAAACACAGCATTGACCCTCCTTGGTATTAGAAAGTATGCCTTGTCATTATCTCCCCATAGTGCCTAGGGAAGTACTGCACAATATATAGAGCATGCTCAATGACATGTTCATGACTTATCTTTAAAATAAGCATTTGACATGTATTCATGTCAAGATTAGGCTAAAAATTAGAAGATTATAAAAATATTTGGAACAATAGACATCCAATAAACACGACGCTTTCAGTAATAGTCTTAAACAATATATTCTTTCCTGTTTGGTGGAAATATTTCAGCATCAATGACAAAATCTGATGATCTTGGGTATTATTTCTACTTGTATTTTCTTCTCTGGCATCTGTCATTCTTCATACAAGTACCATATCAAACCATTCTATTTTACCTCAATCTTCTTCAGACTGTCTGGCTATTAATGAATTAATTAAAATTGGCATAAATACGAACATTTTCCCTTTCAGTAAAAAAGTTCTCTTCTTTAATCCACCTCTTAAACTCTTGCCAATTTTTTTTTTATTATTATACTTTAAGTTTTAGGGTAAATGGGCACAACGTGCAGGTTTGTTACATATGTATACATGTGCCATGTTGGTGTGCTGCACCCATTAACTCGTCATTTAGCATTAGGTATATCTCCTAATGCTATCCCTCCCCCCTCCCCCCACCCACAACAGTCCCCAGAGTGTGATGTTCCCCTTCCTGTGTCCATGTGTTCTCATTGTTCAATTCCCATCTAAGAGTGAGAATATGGGGTGTCTGGTTTTTTGTCCTTGCGATAGTTTACTGAGAATGATGATTTCCAATTTCATCCATGTCCCTACAAAGGACATGAACTCATTAAATTTGATAGAACACATTAGCAGGAAGAAGGATAAAAGTTACATGATGACCTCAATAGATGAAGAAAAATGTTTTTAAAAATTCAATGACTTTGATATGTTTTGGCTTTGTGTCCCCACCAAAATGTCATCTTGAATTGTAATCCCCATAATCTCCATGTATCTAGGGAAATACCTGGCAGGAGGTGATTGGATCATGGGGCGGCGTCCCGCATGCTGTTCTCGTGATAGTGAGTGAGTTCTCATGAGGTCTGATAGTTTGATAAGGCAGTTTTCCCTGCTTTTGCTCACACTATCTCCTGTCATCTTGTAATAAAGTTACTTGTTTCCTCTTCTGCCATAATTGTAAATTTCCTGAGGGCTCCCCAGTCATGTGAAACTGTGAGTCAATTAAACCTCTTTCCTTTATAAATTACCCAGTCTTGGGTATTTCTCTACACCAGTATGAAAACGGACTAATACAAACTTTCACAATAAAAACCCTCAATAAATGAGACACAATGTGAAGAAATGTACCTCAACATAATAAAGGCTATATATGACAAGCCCACAGCTAACAGCATACTCATAAGTGAAAAGTTAAAAGCTTCTCCTCTAAGATGCAATACAAGGCAAGGATGCCTATATTTACCACCTTTATTCAACATAGTACTAAAAGTCCTAGCCAGAGCAATTAGACAAGAAAAAAATAAATGGCAAACACAAAAGAAAGAAATAAAATTATTTTTATTTTTTCAGATAACATAATCTTACATGTAGAAAATTAAATTATAAAGAATCCACTAGCACAAAATACTTAGAACCAATAAACTAATTTTTAAAGTTGTAATATACAAAATTAATGTACAAAAATTTGTTGCATTTCTGTACATTAGCAATGAAATATCTGAAAAGTAAATCAAGGGGAAAATCCTATTTACAATAGCATCTAAAGGAATGAGATATTTAGAAACAAACAATCAAAGAGGTGAAAAACTTGTACACTGAAAACTACAAAACACTAATGAAAGAAATTAAAGATGCAAATAAATGAAAAGACATACCACATTTGTGGACTGGAGAACCTCATATTGTTAAAATGTTTATACTACCCAAAGTGATCTACAAATTTAATCCTATCCCCATCAAAATCCCAATGGCAATCCTATAGATATACAAAAAAAATCTTAAAATTCATATGGAGCCACAAAAGACCCTAAATTGCCAAAGCAATCTTGAGAAAGAGCAAATATTGATACTCCCTGATTGAAATCAGAAAATATCACAAATCAGGGAGTACCACACTTCCTGATTTTAAAATATATTACAAAGATTGAAACAGTATGGTAATGTCATAAAAACAGACATGAAGGCCAATGGGAAAGAATAAAGAGCTCAGAAATAAACACAGGCACTTACACTCAACTGATCTTCCACAAGGTTCTCAAGAATACACAATGGGGAAGTGATAATCTCTTCAATAGGGTGGGGGAAACTGGATATCCACATCAAAAGAAATTGGACACTTATCTTCCACCACAAACAAAAATCAACTAAAATAGATTGAAGACTTAAAAGTAAGACCTAAAACTGTAAAACTTACAAAAAAAAAAAATAAGGGAAAATCGTTATGACATTGGTCTTGGCAATGATTTCTTGGATATGACACCAGAAGCAGTGGCAACAAAAGCAAGAATAGACCAGTGGAAAGACATCAGACTAAGAAGCTTCTGTACAGAAAAGAAAAAGAAACCTGACAGAGTGAAAAGAGAACCTATGAAATGACAGAAAATATTTGCTAATTATATATCTGATCAGTTTATATCCAAATATCCAAAATACATAAGAAATTCCTATAGCTATGTAGCAAAAAATCAGATAAGCTGATTTTTAAAAATTTGCAATTGGCATGAATAGACATTTTGCCAAAGAAGACATACAAATGAACAACATGTATATGAAAAGTTGTTAATTATCAGGGAAGTTAAAATCAAAACCACAATGACACTTCATATCTGTTAAAATGGCTGTTATTGAAAAATGTAACAAGTGTGGTGAAAATGTGAAAAAATTGGAACACTTGTACACGATGAGAATGTAAAATGGTACAGCCATTATGGAAGACAGTATAGATATTCATTGAAAAATTAAGAATAGAAATACCATACGATCCAGCTTCTGGATATATATCCAAAAATATTGAAATCATTATCGTTAAGAAATACGTGCACTCTCTGATTTATTGCGGTGTTATTCACAGTAGCCAAGACATGGAGACAACTTATATGTCTACTGATAGATGAAAATATGGTATATGCACACTGTGGATGTTATTCAGCCTTAAAAAAGGAAATTCTGTTATTTTTAACAACACTGATAAACCTAGAGAACACTATGCTAAGTGAAATAAGCCCATTACTGAAGTAGATATATTTCATGACTCTACTTACATAAGGTACCCTAAATAGTCAGACTCACCGAAACAGAGAGTAGAATGGTGGTAGGCAGGGGCTGGCACAAGTAGTTGAAAGTAAATGGAAGGAAAAAAACTTACCATGCAAATAGTAAGCACATTTGTGTAGGATTTGGCTACATCAAAATCAGGAAAAAATACATTTTAATACCAAAAGTATTAATAGAGACAAAACAAAACAATTCACAACTATAAAGGGGTCAAATAAAAGATAAGACATAACATCATAAGTGTTTGTGCAGCTAATAACAGAGTTGCAAAGTACAGAAAGCAAAAATGGACAGGAATAGAAAATTCTATCATTGTTAAGGGTGCTGACCCCCACACAGTCAAAAATATAGTATAACTTTTACTCCCCTAGAATGAACTAGTAGTAGCGTACTGCTGACCACAAGCTTTACTGATAGAAAACATAAGCAGTCAATTAAAACATACTTTGTATGTTATATGTGTTGTATGCTATATCCTACAGTAAAGCAAGCTAGAGAAAATAAAATGTTATTAAAACAATCACAAGGAAGACAAAATATATTATCAGCACTTACTTATCAATACCAGAAGTTTACAAAGTCTATTTACAAGATGAATTGGCTGTCTGAGATGATGGGCAACTAGAGCTTAAGAACTCAGTGTGTAGTACATATCAAGTAGCTCAACATTTTCCTGTAATGTCATGAGTTTTCTCTACCTCTTGGGAACGCTTACAGCAGCAATAGTTGCACTTCCTATGCTCCCATGGGGTTATTCAATATTCATGATATTGCATTAAACACAATGAAAAAGACATGAGAACTACAGGAGATTACATTTTTTTTTTTTTTTTGAGACAGTCGGTCACCCAGGCTGGAGTACAATGGTGTAATCTCGGCTCACTGCAACCTCTGCCTCCCAAGTTCAAGCAATTCTCCTGCCTCAGCCTCCTGGGTAGCTGGGATTATAGGCACCTGCCACCACACCAAGCTAATTTTTATATTTTTAGCAGAAACAAGGCTTCACCATCTTGGCCAGGCTGGTCTCAAACTCCTGACCTCAGGTGATCCGCCCACCTCGGCCTTCCAAAGTGCTAGGATTACAGGCCACCACACCCAGCCAAGAGATCACTTTTTACTGTGCAGATATGCAATTTGTTAGAAAGTTGAGCCACTCACCTGAAGATGACTAGCATCACAAAGCTTTTTATGGGAATACTCACATTTGAACTCACCACAAGAACAGGAGGTTGCTACAAAATTACTACAGTACTACAGTGAGTACTAAAGTTAATTGTATGCAGCTATGATTTAATATTGCATCTTCACATTTGTTTTCATTTTGCTTGACTGCAAATAGCACTTTGTACAGTCTGTGTGTGCATAAGTTTTGATGCATTTAACTTTTTACAATAGGTCCGTGTATATTTTATGATAGTAAATAATAAAATAGTCTGGTATCTACATATGTTTTATGCATTCATGACATACCTAAGTTTTCTTTTTTTTTAATATTTCTAGGCTATAGAGTTTTTTTAAATTTTTTCAAATTGTTGCGAATCTCCAAAAGTTTTTCCAATATATTTACTGAAATAAATCTGCACATAAGTGGACCAATGCCCTTCAAACTTGTGTTGTTCAGGGGTCAATTGCATTCGTTTGTTAGGGCTTCTGCAACAAATTAGTATAAATTTGTTAACTTAAAACCATATGATTTTATTTTTGCCAGTTCTGGAGACTAGGAGGCTGAAACTGAGCATCACCAGAGCCATGCTTCCTCTCAAGGCTGGGGGAAGAATCGATCCTTGTCTCCTCCAGCTCCTGGTGGCTCTTGGCTTGCCTTTCTTTTCTCTTACAAGGACATCTGTCTTTGGAATCAGGGATCTCTCTAGTCCAGGTTAATGTCATCTCTAGATTCTCACCTTAATTATATCTACAAAGACCCTTATTTCAAATAAGGTCACATTCTGAAGTTCTGGTTGATAGATCCTTTGCGGGGGGGTGGTGGAGTGTCACTATTCAACGCACTACGGATAGTTACCTTCTTCTCAGGAACTCACAGAAGAACTAGGAAAAAAAACCCCCACAAAGACATAAAGGATTTGAATCATCCTCTCCACAAACTTGAATTAATTTACGTTTATATAACGCTATACCCAACATAGGTAGATTATACATTCTTTTTAAGTGTACATAAAATATTTATTAAAATGGATTATATGGGCCTGGTGCAGTAGCTCATGCCTGTAATCCCAGCACTTTGGGAGGCCGAGGCAGGAGCTTCCAGGAGTTGGAGACCACTGTGTGCAACACGGCAAAACCCCATCCCAAACACAAAGAATACAAAAAATTAGCCAGACATGGTGGTGCATGCCTGTAGTCCCAGCTACTCAGGAGGTTGAGGAAGGAGGATTGCTTGCACCTGAGAGGCTGAGCCCGCAGTGAGCAGAGGTCACGCCACTGCACTCCAGCCTGGATGACAGAGCAATACCCTGTCTCAAAAAAAAAGAAAAAATTATGTGAAGGACCATAAAATTCCATTGATTTAAAAAGATTGAAATCATTTAAAGTATATATATATATATATATATATATATATATATATATATATATATATACACATATGCTCTGACAAAAATGAAGTTGCATTAAAAATCTACCACAAGATTGGGCACAGTGGCTCACGTCTGTAATCCCAGCACTTTGGGAGGCCATGGCAGGTGGATCACTTCAGGTCAGGAGTTTGAGACCAGCCTGGCCAACATGGGGAAACCCCGACTCTACTAAAAATACAAAAATTAGCTGGGTGTGGTGGTGCATGCCTGTAATCCTAGCTACTCAGGAGGTTGAGGCAGGAAAATCGCTTGAACCCAAGGGGTGAAGTTTGCAGTGAGCTGAGATTGAGCCCCTGCACTCCAGCCTGGCGAGCTAGGTCCGTCTCAAAAAAAAATAATAATAAAAATAAATAAATAAATAAATAAATAAATAAATAAATAAATAAAAATTTACCACAATAAGATAACTAGAAAATCCCAAATATTTCTACTGTTGTTTTTTATTTGTTAGTTTTTGAGACAGACTCTTGCTCTTTCATCCAGGCTGGAGTGCAGTGGTGTGATCTTGGCTCACTGCAACCTCCATCTTCTGTGCTCAAGCGATCATTCTACATCTGCCTCCCGAGTAGCTGGGACCACAGATGCACACCACCTTGCCTGGCTAACTTTTGTATTATTTGTAGAGACAGGGTTTCACCATGTTTCCCAGTCTGGTCTCAAACTCCAGGGTTCAAGTGACCCTCCAGCCTTGGCCTCCCAAATTTCTGGGGATTACAGACTTGAGCCACCTCACCCAGTCAAAACCCCAAATATTTGAAAACTAAACAAAACAGTTATAAATAACCCTTACATTAAATACATTTGAAAATTAAACAAAACAGTTGTAAATAGTCCTTAGGTTAAAGAAAAGAAATCACGGCTGGACTCAGTGGCTCATGCCTGTAATCCCAGAATTTTGGGAGACCAAAGCGGGTCAGTCATGAGGTCAGGAAATCAAAACCATCCTGGCAAACATGGTGAAACCCCATCTCTACTAAAAATACAAAAATTAGCTGGGCATGGTGGTGCGTGCCTGTAATCTCAGCTACTCAGGAGGCTGAGGCAAGAGAATAGCTTGAACCCTGGAGGCGGAGGTTGCGGTGAGCCAAGATCATGCCACTGCACTCCAGCCTGGCTACAGAGTGAGATGACGTCAAAAAAAAAAAAGAAAGGAAAGAAAGAAAGAAAAAGAAAGAAAGAAAGAAAGAAAGAAAGAAAGAAAGAAAGAAAGAGAAAGAAGGAAGGAAATCACCAGAAAGTTAAAGAATATTTTAAACTAGACAGTAATAAAAAATTATAACAAAAATTTTTGGACACAGGCAAAGCAGTGGTTAGAATGCAATTTATTGTTAAAAATGCAATGCATACATTAAAAAAAGGAGAATAAGGTAAAATCAAAGATCTGGATTTGAAAGAAGAATTAAACTTAATTAAAGTAGATAGACGAAAATAAAACATAAAATAATAAGAACCAATGAAATTAAAGAAAAAATAATAGAGAAAAATCACTGAAATCAAGGGTCATTTGATAGGATCAATATAATTATTAAGTTTCTAGATTGACTAGTTAAAAAAATAAAGAAGATACATTTTCCAACTTTAGAAATATCAAAGTCACATCACTATAAATCCTGTACATATTGAAAAATAATGAGCAAATACTATGAAAAATTCTTGCCAATAATTTTGACAATCTAGATTAAATGGAAAAATTATTTTTAAAAGACTAACTTAGTAGAATTGACAATAGAAGAAAAAGAAAATTGAACTGAAATAACTCTCTAATGAGTTAAAACAACAAATATATAATCTACTATTTTTTCTATGAAAAACAAAGATGGAAAGAAAACCCCAAAGACCAGATTTGTCTTCACTTATTGTCTTTGACCATTTTGTGCTTCTGTAACCAAATACCAGGGACTGGGTAATTTATAAAAACCAGAAGTTTATTTCTTATAGTTCTGGAAGCTGGGATGTCCAACATCAAGGTGCCAGCAGATTTGGTGTCTGGTAAGAGCCAGGTCTCTACTTCTAAGATGATGCCTTAACAGCTGCATCCTTCAAAGGGAAGAAACAATCTACCTTACATGACAGAGGAGTAGAAGAGAAAAGAGAAGAATCCACTCCTGAAACCCCCATTTAAAAGGCATTACACTCCCCCATGAACGTGGAGCACTCATGGCCTAATCACCTCTTAAAGGTCCCAGCTCCCAATACCATTACATTAGCAAAGAAATTTTAACATGAGTTTTGGAGGAGACAAACATTTAAACTATAGCATTGGTGAAGTCTAGTAAATATTAAAATAAGTAATCCCAATCTCACATCAGCTACTTCAAAAACAGAGACTAAGGGAACATTTCTCAACTTATTTTATGAAGCTAGTGTTATCCAGTCAAATCCTAAGAGGATTTTGGAAGAAATTGACAAGTTTCAATTTCTTGTGTGAAAACATATATGGAAAAAATAATATGGAACAGCCAAAACAATTTCAAAATAGACAAACAGTTGGAGGTTTTCTGAATCTGAATTCAGGAATCTGAATTCAAAACCTACTTTAAAGTTTTAATAATGAAGATGGTGGGGATGGACATTTAGATGGAGACAAACTGCAGTAGAACAATGTAAGCAATAGAGACAGTTTATTTCTGTGAGAAATAGACTCATGATTATATGAGCTATTGATTTTCAAAAATGTGCTAAAATAATTAAATTGGTGAACATTAATTTACAAGGTGGATATTTTTGTGGGAAGGTGAAATTTAAAACTGGGTGGTGAGTCTTGTTGACAAGGTGACAGTTGAGCAAAGCCTTGAAGAAGGTTTAACAGTTAACAGTGCAGATGCCTGGGGGGAAGAGCATTCTATAAAGAGGGAGTAGTTGGGCAGGCATCCCATGTAAGGCGTGTAGCTGGTGTTCAGAGACCCATGGGGAGGACTGTGAACTTAAGTGGTGTAAGCAGGGCAAGGTATTATGCACGAAGTCAGAGATATCGGGCTCCAGATCATGTACATCTTACACACTGGGCTAAAGTGATCCTCCAGCCGTGATACTGAGAGAAAAGGGGAGTCAGTTCCAGTCTTTAGCTTTGATACTGACAGAAAAGGGGAGTCAGTTCCAGTCTTGATCATGAACTTGAGCTTCATGAACTTGCACAAAATAGGTCATTATATCTTCAAATATAAAATCAGGAAATTGTACCAGAGAACTTCTGAGATTCCCACAGACTGTGATTCTAAGATATTTAAAATGCAAACAAAGATGATTTCTTTTGCTGTGCAGAAGCTCTTTAGTTTAATTAGATACCATTTGTCAATTTTGGCTTTTCTTGCAATTGCTTTTGGTGTTTTAGTCATGAAGTCTGTCCATGCCTATGTCCTGAATGGTATTGCCTAGGTTTTCTTCTAGGGTTTTGATGGTTTTGAGTTTTACTTTTTTTTTTTTTTTTTTTTTTGAGACAGAGTCTCGCTCTGTCCCCCAGGCTGGAGAGTGCAGTGGTGCGATCTTGGCTCACTGCAACCTCTGCCTCCCCAGTTCAAGTGATTCTCCTGCCTCAGCCCCTGGAGTAGCTGGGATTACAGGCTCACACTACCACGCCTGGCTAATTTAGTAGAGACGAGGTTTCACCGTATTGGTCAGGTTGGTCTCGAACTCCTGACCTCGTGATCCACCCGCCTCGGCCTCCCAAAGTGCTGGGATTACAGGCATGAGCCACCGTACCCAGCTGGGTTTTACATTTAAGATGTTAATCCATCTTGAGTTAATTTTTGTACAAGGTGTAAGAAGGGGGTCCAGTTTCTGCTTTCTGCATATCATCAGAATGAACAGGCAACCTACAGAATGGGAGAAAATTTTTGCAATCTATCCATCTGACAAAGGTCTAATATCCAGAATCTACAAGGAACTTAAAGAAATCTACAAGAAAAAAACAACTCCATCAAAATGTAGGCAAAGGATATGAACAGACACTTCTCAAAAGAAGACATTAATGCGGCCAACAAACATATGAAAAAAGCTCATCATCACTGGTCACTAGAGAAATGCAAATCAAAACCACAATGAGATACCATCTCAAGCCAGTTAGAATGGTGATTATTAAAAAGTCAAGAAACAACAGATACTGGTAAGGCTGTGGAGAAATAGGAATGCTTTTACACTGTTGGTGGGAGTGTAAATTAGTTCAACCCTTGTTGAAGACAGTGTGGCAATTCTTCAAGGATCTAGAACCAGAAACACCATTTGACCCAGCAATCCCATTACTGGATATATACCCAGAGGATTACAAATCATTCTACTATAAAGATACTAGCACATACATGCTTATTGCAGCACTATTTACAATACAAAGACTTGGAACCAACCCAAATGCCCATCAATGATAGACTGCATAAAGAAAATGTAGCGCATATAGGCCGGGCGCGGTGGCTCACGCCTGTAATCCCAGCACTTTGGGAGGCTAAGGCAGGCGGATCACGAGGTCAAGAGATCGAGAACATCCTGGCTAACACGGTGAAACCCCATCTTTACTAAAAATACAAAAAATTAGCCGTGCATTGTGGCAGGCGCCTGTAGTCCCAGCTACTTGGGAGGCTGAGGCAAGAGAATGGCATGAACCTGAGAGGCGGAGCTTGCAGTGAGCCGAGATCATGCCAGTGCACTCAGCCTGGGCAACAGAACGAGACTCTGTCTCAAAAAAAAAAAAAAGAAAGAAAGAAAATGTGACCCATGTATACCATGGAATACTATGCAGCCATGAAAAAGAATGAGTTCATGTCCTTTGCATGGACGTAAATGAAGCTGGAAGCCATCATTCTCAGCAAACTAACACAGGAACAGAAAACCAAACACCACATGTTCTCACTCTTAAGTGGGAGTTGAACAATGAGAACACACGAACACAGGGAGGGGAAGATCACACACCAGGGCCTGTTGGGGGTTGAGGGGCAAGGGGAAGGAGAGCTTTAGGACAAATACTTAATGCACCTGGGGCTTAAAACCTAGATGATGGGTTGATAGGTATAGCAAACCGCTGCGGCACATGTATACCTACAGAACAAACCTGCACATTCTGCACATGTATCCCAGAACTTAAAGTAAAAAAAAAAAAATCTTTATATATATATATATATATATATATATACATATATATATATATACATATATATATATATATACATACATATTTGAACACTAAAAAATAAATGCAAACAGAGAAATACAGAACAAACAAAAGCTACTATTAAATTATAAAACTGGCATTTCAGTTAGGATATATTTAAAAGATGATTGATTTTCTTAAGTGTGAAAATCCCAAAGACATAAAGTTGGCAAGTGATGGCACTGGAATTTAAATAGAAAAAAAAAATAAAGCCTAGTCTCTAAGGAAATAAACAAGAAGCAAATATATAATTGAGATGAATCTCAGAACACTGGATAATTTTGGCTCAGATCAGTGTTCCTGTTTGGGACAAGACCTTGTTTGTCTAGTTAAAGTTACTGATGAGGCTATCAGAACACATATGCTATTTATTTTTACTATAGGCAGAATATTATGTCTTAATCTTGTGTCTTTGTAGAAACCAGTAGCTGTGTAATATGGGGGAATTTACAAAACATATTTAAAGGCGTGTTTATCTGTCAAGACTTAACTGGCCTACAAAATAGTGGATTGTTGGCAAACTATTAAGTTTTTATCAGGGAATTTAGACAAGTCTGTTGGGTCACAGAAGAGGGTCTATAAATGACAGGATTGAAAGTGGATTTAGAGTTCATGATCAGACCAGTAACGCATCCTTGCTTTTAGATGCCTTGGCTTAAAGACCTCAGCTTCTGAGGATATATTATCACACTGGCTTCAGAAAAAGGCTTGAGGAGCTCCCCTTTCGAAGAACTGGCTTTTCTGGTGATTACTTAAGGATTAAGGGATAAAGGATGTCATTTAGTGTCCTTGCCTCTCCGGGTCCAATTTCAAAGAATTCTAAAGCCAAAGTGCAAGAGTCAGTGCTACCTCAAAAGAAAGGGAAGGTTACTTGGTGTCCTGGTACCAGATGCAGTGAAAAAGGTGTACCCCATGGCCAGGAAACTCAGGTCAGCGTCCTGGAAGGGATGGTTCACACTGAGGGCTGGAGTCAAAGCAGAATCCACTGGCCTGTCAAACAAATGCCCAGCACTCGTTTCTGGGCTCATTTAACTCCCACTAGCACACTTCTGTTTTCATGTGCTTCTAGAAGTGTCATTGGACAGGATGATTTTGGCCCAGATGAGTGCTCCCGTTTGAGACAAGAACTCTGCATGGTTAAAGCTACTCATAGATTCTCACTGATCTCATTGCCTTGAAATAACTAAAGATACGTTTAATTCAATACATTTTTTAATACTGAGTATCTCATGTGCCAAATGCTACTCATGGTATTATAGAAGATTCTAGGCCCGGCGCGGTGGCTCACGCCTGTAATCCCAGCACTTTGGGAGGCCAAGGCCGGTGGATCACCTGAGGTCAAGAGTTCAAGACAAGCCTGGCCAAGATGGTGAAACCCTGTCTCTACTAAAAATACAAAAATTAGCCAGGCATGGTGGCAGGCACCTGTAATCCCAGCTACTCTGGAGGCTGAGGCAGAGAATTGCTTGAACCCAGGAGGAGGAGGCTGCAGTGAGCCGAGATCGTGCCACTGCACTCCAGCCTAGGCCACAGAGTGAGACTCGGTCTCAAAAAAAAAAAAAGAAGATTCTAAAAATAATAATAGGGTACATTGTAGAGAAATAAGCTCTAGAGCTGTACTGTTCAAACCAGTAGCCACTTACCTATGTGTAGCTATTGAACACTTGATATGTGGTTAGTCCAAATTAAGATGTACCTGAACTGTTGAATGCACACTGGATTTCAAAGACTTAGTATGAAAAATATGTAATATTTCATTAATAATTTTACATTGGTTATATGTTGAAATAATTATATTTTAGATAAAATTAAAATATTACCAAACTTGATACCCCTGCATTTTTTACCTTTTCTAATATGGCTACTAGAAAATTTTAAATGACATAAGTGACTCACATTATATTTCTATTGCATACAATTGCTCTAGAGGGAAAAGACTATCATAAATTTTTAGGTGGGATTATAAACTAGATTATGCAAAATACTACAACTGAGACCTTTTTTAATGCACTAGAAGAATAGGAAGAAACTCATAAGTCATGGACAGGAAAAGAGGGGATTTGCTCTGTGCTCTAAAGCATGGGTAAATCTGAATATTAAACAACTATAAAAACTCTAAAAACTTAAGTAATTTATCTCAATCTTCCTTACACATAGCAGCTGCTGTCCTGCACTAAACTTTTCTCCTGTCAATACATCATACAATTTTCTCTTATGATTTGGAAAATTCTATTGCTGATTAAATTCTATTGCCATTATTTCAAGGGATCATATGCCTTGTGGCTTTATTTTTAAAACTTTTTTCAATAACATTGTCACCAATACCAATATGGTCATCACACTGTTTCATCTTCATTGGTTTTGGTTTTTTTGTTTGTTTTCTTTTTGAGACAGAGCCTAGCTCTGTCTCCGAGGCTGGAGTGCAGTGTCGGGATCTCGGCTCACTGCAACCTCCACCTCGCAGGTTCAAGCCATTCTCCTGCTTTGGCCTCCCTGGTAGCTAAGACTACAGGTGCACCCCACTACACCCAGCTAATTTTTATATTTTTAGGAGAGACGGGGTTTCACCATGTTAGCCAGGCTGGTCTCCAACTCCTGGCCTCATGTGATTGACCCACCTCGGCCTCCCAAAGTGCTGGGATTACAGGCATGAGCCGTCACCCCCAGTCATGATTGGAATTTAATACATAATCAACTTGTCTTGGATACTCAGTATCAGTGGAATACAAGCATTCTCTTGCTAAATCAAAGAAAAACTCCTTTAGTTAACAATCTAAAAATAGAATCTCTGATGCTATTTATAATAGGTATTTGAGCTCCCTTCCTCTGTAAAGATCATTGGGATCTAAAATTAACCACAACCTGCAGGAAAGACCACTCACTCTTAAATCCTACTCTAGGCCATCTACTTTCTCTATTAATTCTGACCACTTCACCATTTGCACCAGCTCATGTTAGCTTGATTGGTAATCACCTTAAAAATACCCCATAAAGGCCAGGCACGGTGGCTCATGCCTGTAATCTCAGCACTTTGGGAGGCCGAGGCAGGTGGATCACGAGGTCGGGAGATCGAAACCATCCTGGCTAACACAGTGAAATCCCGTCTCTATTAAAAATACAAAAAATTAGCCGAGCTTGGTGGCGGGCGCCTGTAGTCCCAGCTACTCGGGAGGCTGAGGCAGGAGAATGGCGTGAACCCGCGAGGCGGAGCTTGCAGTGAGCCGAGATGGCACCACTGCACTCCAGTCTGGGTGACAGAGCAAGAGTCCGTCTAAAAAAAAAAAAGAAAAAACCCATAAACCTTGGAATCCAAAATTGCTAGTCCTCATTTTCCATTTTCATTTTCAAAAACATATATTTTGATGCTCAGAAATTGAACACTTTGCTGAAAATTGCTACTTTTAACTGTGAAGGAGCTACAGAGAGTCAAGACCTTCCCTCTTTTGAATCTCCTCCCCATACCCCCAGCTCCCTCACCAGGCCCTAAAGCCAATCAAAGCCAATACTCGGCAAGTTTATACATGTAAATTTTTTTTAAAAAAACTAGAAATTCATGATATATCAAATGATCTCTAATTTCATTGAAATAGGAAGGGTCTTCCTCTACACCACATGTTTAATACATATATACTGATGTGTGCTCTTGTCGAAGATATGGTTCCTCATGTATAAAACTTTTAAGGCTTTCATGGTAGTCCACTTTTGTGCTCAGGTCTTCTTTCAGTATGGACCTTCTGGTTAATCTCCAGCTGGAGGTGGTAATCCATAATTCCTTTTTGCTTCAGTCTCATTAGGAGATGCCACCAGACTGCTTAGCAATGTAGAAGAGGCAGAATAGGAAGGAGAGGGGGAGGCAACAGTTTCTGAGAGCCTTGCTTCACGTCAGAAGCTGCCACTGCACAAAGCTGTATTTTATCAATTTGGAAATGAAATCTCAGAAAGGTCAAGTATGTGTCAGAGAGCAAATAAGTGGGAATGGGCTTCAAGCGTGGTTCCATCTAGCTCTTAACCACCCTCTTTCCTTTTATCATCTGTTAATATATGAAAGCACATATTTGTGTGTTTTTTGAAAATGTCTTCAGAATCAGTGATAGGAGGAAATTTGTGTAAATGGTAAACAAAGAACCTAGGCATGCCCTGGGACTTTGCATCCACAAGCCTGGTGCTGAGATAAGAAGGTGATTTTCCTCATTTCACAGCAGCCCTTGGAAGTGCAGGTGATGACGTCCTCGATGCCTTCCATCTCCAGGCTCTGCTTTGAATTTGTTCAAGGAGGCTAATTGGAGGCTAACATTAGGTCAAATTTCCAATCTTCAGACTTTCTATTTTTAGCAATAAAAACCAAGTTTTACAATATCTGTTTTGTTCAAACTCTTCTCTGAGGTGATTTAATACCTAAATACCTAGCACATCTGGAAAACTAAAATTTCTTTTCATTTTTTTTGAGATGGAGTCTCACTATGTTGTCCAGGCTGGAGTGCAGTGGTGCCATCTCGGCTCACTGCAAGCTCCGCCTCCCGGGTTCACGCCATTCTCCTGCCTCAGCCTCCCGAGTAGTTGGGACTACAGGCACCCACCACCACGCCCGGCTAATTTTTTGTATTTTTAGTAGAGACGGGGTTTCACCCTGTTAGCCAGGATGGTCTCAATCTCCTGACCTCGTGATCCACCTGCCTTGGGCTCTCAAAGTGCTAGGATTACAGGTGTGAGCCACCGCGTCCAGCCAAAAACTAAAATTTGTTAAACTAACTGATTAATTGAAACAAAAAAAACTAGTAATTTTTAGGCACCACCTGTTAATTTTTTGGTTTGGATGCCTTAGCATTGTTCTAATAAACTATTTGTTAGGTCTTGGTACACGTCTAAGTTGGAATACAAGTAAGATTACCTCTATACCAAAGGTCTAAAAAAATTAAGCAGATGGGTTCTTGGCTATTTTCCAAAACAACACAGTGGTGTGAACACATCAACAAATGTAACTTTTAAAAAACTTTTGAGCATATGTGGCCACCATGTAAACAGCACTTTGGGCACCATCTAAAGTCATCACATTGTGATAGTGTGGTACCAGCTGTGAACATGCATTTATATCAGGTGATTACTAATGTCTGATTAGAACTCTTGCTTACTAATAAGGTTTAGGGTAGAATGGAAAGTGAATTATAGAAAGAGAAGTACAAGTATACAAAATTTTGAGAAAATATCTTCACCGTTTCTAAGTTAAATTTAATTTTCTTGTTTTACAGATGAGAAAATCAAAGCCTGTATCATCTGCTTCATATCCCGTATTTACTTAATGCTGTAAGAGTAGAACATTGTTCCCAATGACTAGCCCTCCATCTCAGGTTCTGTTATTTCACAGAGAGTAGTAGTATCCTTGAGGATGGGCATTATTATTATTATTATTTTTACAATATTTAGCTTATTCCTAGTAGAGAGCAGTCAACGGATACATTTTCCAAATTGAATTGACTTCGCGTCAGTGAAATTTTTAATAAACACATAGCAAATTTACACAGTGAATATTACCTTTTCATGTCTGTCTATTATACTAATATTGATTTCTCACCATTATACCTCTATTAAAAACTCTTTGTAAATGAAGGATTTTGGCATTAAAAAATAAACTAATATACAGCATAGCACTGAACTTTAAGAGAAATATTGTATGGAACATTCAATAAAAGCAAGCACTTACTACCCTGTCAGTTCAAAATGTAATATTATGCAATAGCCTTTAAATTGTATTGTTATAAAAATGTTGCTTAACTGGGCCCTGAGGAATTAATAATGATTCTGAAAATAAACTAAATGGTTTATTTTCCTTGGCCTCCGTTTTATGTCCTAAATGGTATTTCTGCGTTCAGTAATCTTTTTTATTGAGAAAATTTGTCAAACATCCAGGAATTGCTTTGGGAAAAGACCTTCTACCCATAAAGTTGAATTTCTTTCTTTTTTTCTCAGAAGAGAGGAAACTAGGTTAGCCAAACCACCGCCATTCTCATTCCGGACCAGCCCTTCTTTTTCTTGAAGTGCTCTTTGAGCCTGCATTGTTCTAACATGAGCCTTCTTGTGGGGTGTGTTATGGGATCCTGTCAGAACAATGACTTCTTGAGAAGTCCAATGAACTGGCAGAAACCCCTAATGGAAAAGACGATCAACTCAGATACTGGTGCAGTGCAAAAGGATAGGCAAGGAGAAAGTGTGAGTTCTACACATGGTTGAGGCCAGCCAACTCAAGGTAACTTGAGTCTATCCATGCAAATACTAGCCACTTGCATTTTCACATAGTCCAAGAGTTGACTTGGGCTAGCAGAATTAAGCTTATTTACTACAAGGAGAAATCTACATTCTTAAAATCCATTTTGAACAAAAGTTTGAGTATAGCCAGGTTGGAGTGTACTCTTCAAGAGCAGGTATTAAGTCGTTTTAAGCTTATAGGCCATAAAGAGATCCACACAATATTTTCACATTAAATTCTACTGAGTTTTCCTAGAATGCTTTTTCTGACATTAAATTTGTAAATATGTTTTAAAGGTAAAAATATTGTTTGCTATTTCAAAACATAAACTATTTTTTAGAAATTTTAAAGATTGTATTTTCATGTTAGTAATTTATAGTTAAATCTCACCTCATTATCCTCATCTGTAAAATGGGATAATAAATTTTGGTTGTAAGATTATGAGTACTAAATGGTTGATGCCATTAGCACTTAGAACAGTGACTTGCAATGTAAGCCTTGATTGAATTTTAGTTTTTATTGTTGCTTCTCTTTTGCCTTTTATTGCTGTTACTGATTATTAAGGTCTCAAAGCAGTTCATGGCACACACTTAGATTAAATCATCCCATATCTGAAAGTAAAAAGATTTAAAATACACATTAAACAATCCTATAGAGGTGGGAGGATGGCTTGAGCCCAGGAGGCTTAGGTTGCAGTGAACTGACATCACACCACTGCACTCCAGCCTAGGGGACAGAGTGAGATCCTCTCTCAAAAAAAATATGTTTTTTTTTGTTTTGTTTTGAGATGGAGTCTCACTCTGTCACCCAGGCTGGAGTGCAGTGGTGTGATCTTGGCTCACTACAACCTCCGTCCTCCGAGTTCAAGCAATTCTCCTGCCTCAGCCTCCTGAGTAGCTGGGATTACAGGCACCTGCCACTGCACTGGCTAATTTTTTGTATTTTTTAGTAGAGATGGGGTTTCACCATCTTGGCCAGGCTGGTCTTGAAATCCTGACCTCATAATCCACCCGCCTTAGCCTCCCAAAGTGCTGGGATTACAGGCGTGAGCCACCACACCTGGCCAAAAAAAATTTTTTAATCATATTTATATGCATTCATTTAAATGGTTTGTTGTTAATTGATCAGTAACTGGTGAATTAGTGAGATCATAGTGAATTCTTGAAAAATGCTTTTTCTGGGCATGTTTACTAATCTCCTGAATCAAGTAAGAAGCCCATTTCACCAGCATCCCCTCACTAAGAGGATGGAGCAGAATGCAGTCCATTCCATAGCTGCAGTCGCCGCAGCCTAATGCACAGCTGCCTGCCTTCCTCACCAGCTCCAGGTTCAGAGCTGGGGTTGGTGCTCCTGGGAACAGTGGAAGCTCTGGGGTAAACTGAACAGTTCAAAGCTGATTTCTCTGAAAAAAACTCACATACTCACACACATATCCTTCCTCTCTCTCTCTTCCTCATTCACACTGACACACATATACACAAATTTGCTCACATGAAATTTCATTTGCATGCACTTGAAGAGATGGAGAGGGAATACAGCCACGTCTGTAGACTAGGAGAGCACAGTCTTTTGTCCCCCTCACTTTTCTTCTCACTTCCTCCTCTTCTGTCATCCTTTCCACTCACCTTGTTCATTACTTTCAGAGCTCTTATTTTATCTTTGGAAGACAGTCATCTTGTAAAGTCTGATGAAAATGCATTTAATGTGTGACTATTCATCTTGCTGTGTTGCACTCATCACATGATGGAGGACCGACTAGGACCTGGAGATGGCAACTCCTAATCCAAAAATAAACAGAATACAGATTCCTCGATATGGGGAAATATATTGAGGCAAGAGTTTGTTCCTATGATCTCTCATTACCAATCCTGTGTACAGCCACCTACTTCTCTTACATGTAAGATTGCCTTGCAACAAATTGAAAAGACTCTAAAGCGAGCCCAGATGTCTATGACATGTGACTAGACATGTATGCAGGATGGAGAAAGGTTTTGGCCCTGATATGACATGATATTAGTCCAAAGACATTGATTCTGGCAAGATACATCTAACCAGAAGTGGCAGCATGCATGCACTATTCACCTGGGCATTCATGCCAGGTGCATTCAGCCCCCTTTATCCCACGAAGCCTGTCCTTGGCAATGGATGTCACAGGGAATGTCTCATGATTAGGCACGTGGGCTCAGGGAGCCAGGAGAGTAAGAGAAACAACACAAGCCATGCTACTCACTACTACTTTTCAAATCTCAACCTAAGAAATATTATTGCTTGTGACCTCAGAATCTTCCTTTGTTTTCCTCTTACTAGGAACCTGCCAAGGCACAAGAGTGCTGCCATTTGCCCTTTGACAAACTATGAAACCTGTAGGAACCATCTGGAACACCTACAGTGCTTTCTGGACATCATATTTTTTTTTCAGTTACCCCTAGTTTGCCCTATGGAATCCAATAATCAGGTGTTTAATCAGGGACTTGCCAAAAGAAAACCTAGACAACTGACTCATCTACATAAAGGTCCTAGAAAACAGCCAATCCAAAGAAATAAGACAACGAATTGTCTTATGTGCTCAAACAACAGTTAAACACTTTCCTCAATTATTTTTGAACCAATAGCTTTCTTGTATTTTTTATAATACATGGTCATATCTGGTCTGTTGTAAACCATGGCTTTAGAATACAGGGTCATTGAAATGTTCTTTTGGTTTTTCTATGCAATGTTAGTCATTCTTAATCTTTTCTTTTTAATTCGAAATCTACTGGGTAATCAGTGATGATGGGGTTTTCTTGATCAACAAAATTGATCAATAAAAATGAAAAAAAACCCTTTGATTCTTTCTCTGCCATTATCTGATCATTTATTGAAAGAATATCTTTTCTTTCTCTCTCTCTTTCTCTCTCTCTGGCTTAGTTAAAGAGTTTGCTAGCAGCTTCTCAGGAAAAAATTCTAGTTTTATAGGAGCCTGGAAGCAAAATCTGTTTTGGCTTCATTCTCCATATGATCTCAGTCTCTTTTTTATCCTTTTTTTTTTTTTTGCATTTTCTTTTTCTGATAGCTGCTTTTCTTTTGAATTATCTTTTTATGCTTCTAGTTTTGTGTTGGCATGATCATTTTTGTACATTAAAGAGTGTTGAGTTGTGCTGTGAACTGCTAGGGAGGGCACTGTGATTTCTTTTCCTCCACTTTGAAGGCTAGATTCAAGGCTTGTCTACATATTCCTCATAGAAGTGTTTGTGAGGCCTCTGTTTCTTTCCCAAGATGGACCTGTTTCAATGCCTGCTCTCTTGCCAGACCCAGGCTGTGAGGGCCACTTCGAGTATGGCCCAGGTGAGTGCCAGGCAGGAGCAGGACCTGTGCGACCCTGAGATACCATCCTAAGTGAGGCAGCAAATGCCTAGGAGATTGGCAGCTTCTTATGAGGGGCCAGTTCAATCACATTTTCTTTATAACTTCTGAATCTATTTTCATTACATTAGTCAGTGGTTTTATTTTCTGGAAACATATTTATCTGGTTTGAGAATCAAAATTATTCACAATTTATAGATTAATCAAATAATATTCTCTGATTTTCCAGTGTATGGGTGCATTCTATGCATGTGAAATTAGCAGAATCTTGAAAAAATTTTAAACTTACCTCTTTAAGTGTTTAGCTCTTAAACACTTTAGCTTGAGGTTTTCTTTGTGGGATGATTTTTAACTACTGATTCAATTTCTTTAATGGTTATAGAATTATTTAAACTTGCCATCGTTTTCTTGTCAGTTTCAGTCATTTATGTTTTTCTGGAAGTTTGGTATATCAAAGAAAATTGCAAAATGTGTTCCCTAATATTTGAGGCAGATTAATTTTATTAGTGACCACAGTTTTCCATGCCTCTATGTACCTTGGGCATGTGATTTGGTTTGGCCCACAAGACAGAAAGGTTTGGCCAACAGGACAGTAGGTTTGGCCAACAGATGCAAGCAGAAGTTTGAAAAAACACTTGGACATTTCTGCAACCTTTCTGGGACTCTACCACTGCCACAGAAACATGTCAAGTCTGGTCTGTTTGAGAAATTTGACAAAAATGTTAAGGACATTTGAGTCCTCCTAGGTTAGGCTGGCATCTTAGGTCAGCCAGACTCTAGCCAAACCCCCCACAGATACATCAGCCAGTACAGGCAAGACCAGCCAAGTACAGATCACATTAGCAGAACTGCCCAGACCACCCATAGACACATGGGTAGCTTTATACACAGAAAATAAAAAGTAAAAATATTCTCATTTAAAAAATCTCTGTGCATCGATACTTCATAAATCATTCATTCTGAATATTATATACGTATTTTGTCATTCGCTTGCTCTATCTTGAAATTTATTTATTTTTATTTTTTTTTGAGACAGTCTCACTCAGTCCTGCCATTCTCCTGCCTCAGCCTCCAGAGTAGGTGGGACTACAGGCGCCCGCCACTACACCCGGCTAATTTTTTAGTATTTTTAGTAGAGACGGGGTTTCACCGTGTTAGCCAGGATGGTCTCGATCTCCTGACCCCATGATCTGCCCGCCTCGGCCTCCCAAAGTGCTGGGATTACAGGCGTGAGTCACCGCGTCCAGCCAAAAAGTTTACTTCTTTTATTGGTCTTTCCACAAAACTTCTGTTATAATCATATTCTCTACTACATCCTGTTTTTCTATTTATTTTTTCTCTTTATTAGCTATGTTTGTCTACTTTCCCTGATTTTATTTTGCTAGACTTCTTCCAATGTAAGTCTATTATCCTTCAAGCATTCTTGTAATATGAGCACTAATTATTATAAATATATATTTTAGTTGTCTCCTACAGTATTTAATATACAGCATTTTCATTATATTATCTTCTAATTATTATTTTAAAACATATTTTATTATTTTCTTGAACCAAAATAATTTTGAGGCACAATTAATTTTCCCAATATCTTTTTGAGTGTCATTTATTTTTATCTTAAATGCATTGCTATTAGAGAATATACTGTGTCATACCACTTTTTTGGAAATTGAGGCTTGCATAATGACCCAGACTGTGATAAATTTCAATAAATATTCTATTCTATTTGAGAAAAGTATGTATCCTCTAATTGCAGGGTGAAGGGTTCTGTAAGTGCCAATTAAATCTGGTTTTTCTTTTTGTTTTTGTTTTTTGAGACAAAGTCTCACTCTGTTGCCCAGGCTGGAGTGCAGTGGCATGATCTCGGCTCACTGCAACCTCTGTCTTCCGGGTTCAAGCTATTCTCCTGCCTGAGCCTCCCCAGTACCTGTAACTACAGGCGCTGCCACCAACACACCAGGCTAATTTTTGTATTTTTAGTAGAGACAAAATTTCACCATGTTGGCCAGGCTGGTCTCGAACTCCTGACCTCAAGTGATCTCCCAAAGTGCTGGGATTACAGGCATGAGCCACAGTGCTTGGCCTAAATCTGTTTTAAATTGGATTTTTAAAATATCCTCTACCTTCACAATCAGTAAGAGGTACAGTATGACATCTTCCCAGATGATAGTGGATTTCTACATTGTTTCTTTCTGCTGTTTCAATTAGTATTTTAAATATTTTTGGCAAGGTGCACTGGCTCACAGCCTGTAATCCCAGCACTTTTGGAAGCCAAGGCAGGGGGATCACGAGGTCCAGAGATCCAGACCATCCTGGCCAAAATGGTTAAACCCTGTCTCTACTAAAAATACAAAAATTAGCTGGGCATGGCGATGCATACCTGTAGTCCCAGCTACTTGGGAAGCTGAGACAGGAGAATTGCTTGAATCCAGGAGGTGGAGGTTGCAGTGAGCCAACATCATACTACTGCACTCCAGCCTGGTGACAGAGAGACTGTGTCTCAAAAAAAAAAAATTTATTTTTAAAAGTTATTTCTTCTCTTAACTAAAAATTAATCATTGTGCAGGGCATTACACATCCTACAACCAGCTTCTGACTTACAGTATATTTTGCCAGATATTAATATAGGTATGTCAGGGTTGTTTCTGTTATTTTCTGAATTTAAATTTCTTTCATTTTTAAATCTTTTGCTCTTTGTTTCAGAATGTCTCCTTTTCCATGATTTATCTTGTGTCCATACATATTATATGTATTTATGTAAATGTCTGTATGTGTTGTTTATTTGTTTGTTTGTTTGTTTTGAGACAGAGTCTCGCTCTGTCGCCCAGGCTGGAGTGCAGTGGTACAATCTCGGCTCACTGCAACCTCTGCCTCCCAGGTTCAAGTAATTCTCCTGCCTCAGCCTCCTGAGTAGCTGGGATTACAGGCGTGTGCCACCACGTCTGGCTAATTTTTGTATTTTTAGTACAGACGGGGTTTCACCATGTTGGTCAGGCTGGTCTTGAACTCCTGACTTTGTGATCCGCCCACCTCGGCCTCCCAAACTGCTGGGATTACAGGCGTGAGCCACCGCGCCCGGCCTGTCTGTATGTGTTTTAAACTGAGTTTAATCCAGTGATTATTTATATATTTGGATTTTTAAATATTTGGATTTTTAAATCATTTTACTTTTTTATTTCTCTATGTTCCACTTTCTCTTAATTTCCTCTCTTTTTTGGATGATTAATTTTTATTATGATGATTGTTATTATTATTTAGTTCTTTAATTTTCCAGCTATAGATTTATTTTTATTTATTTATTTTTTTATTTTGAGACGGAGTCTGGTTCTGTCTCCCAGGCTGGACCACTGCAACCTCCGCCTTCCAGGCTCCAGCAATTCTCCTGCCTCAGCCTTCAGAGTAGCTGGGATTATAGAGGTGTGCCACCATCCCCAGCTAATTTTTGTATTTTAGCCGGGGTTAAGGTAGAGACGGGGTTTCGTCATGTTGGCCAGACTACTCTCAAATACCTCAAGTGATCCGCCCGCCTCGGCCTCCCAAAGTGCTAGGATTACAGGCCTGAGCCACCGCGCCCGGCCTAGACTTAAAATTATACTGTATAAAGTTTGTAATAATGTTATAAATCTAGATTCTGGAAATTATATAACATATAGTCATTATCTTCAGTATTTTAGTGATTTGCCTTTACATTTTCCAATGCATACTTAATGAAGCCCAATGTCAATCAATAGCAGCTTTATTCTTCCCTTTAATGAAAGTACCTTGGAGCACTTGATCTTTAATTAACCCCAATAATTCATGCTTCTGTTTACCTGAATTTTAGATCTCTTATTATCTTTTGCTTTAATCCCATTAGTCATAGTTTAGTACTATTGTTTCAAACTAAAAATATTTGTTGCTTTTACACTTTTTAAAAAAATTAAACTGCTTTTGTGCTTCCTATTTCTTCTTGCATCATAAAAGCTGTCTTACTTAGTCCTTTTACTCCTTCCTGATACATATTTTTTTAAGTTGGTAGTGATTTTCATTTTTGCTACAAGCTAATTCTTGAAAAATATTTTTATTGGGTGCATAAGGCTAAGTTAACCTTTTTTTTTTGTCTCAGCGCTTTGAAGCAATTCTTCCATTATAGGTTTGCTTCCACTACTACTGCTAAGAAATATGTAGACATTTTATTTTAATTCGTTTTTTGAACTGAAACTTTTTTTTTTTTTTTTTGAGACGGAATCTCACTCTGTTGCCCAGGCTGGAGTGCAGTGGCACGATCTCGGCTCACTGCAAGCTCTGCCTTCCAGGCTCACACCATTCTCCTGCCTCAGCCTCCCAAGTAGCTGGGACTACAGGCGCCCGCCACCAGGCCTGGCTAATTTTTTTGTGATTTTAGTAGAGACGAGGTTTCACCGTGTTAGCCAGGATGGTTTCGATCTCCTGACCTTGTGATCCACCCACCTCGGCCTCCCAAAGTGCTGGGATTACAGGTGTGAGCCACTGCACCTGGCCTGAAACTTCTTTCTGGCAACTTTTGAGCTTTTTTTGTCATTATGTTTTTCAATTTTTTTTTTTAATGTCCACATTTTGATTTGTTTTTATTTGTCCTGCCTAGTGGATGCTTCCTACATTTATCGATTTTTTATCTTTCATAATATTTCTGCCTGGTTTTCTCTATTTTCTTCTTTAGAAATTCCAGTTTGTTTTATACTAGGAATTCTGAAAGTAACCAGTACGTCCCTAAAGGTCCATCCTATTTTCTATTTCTTTATTGTACTGTGCTTTGTCTTTGGTAACTTCTTCAGATTTGTCTTGATTCTCTAATTTTCTAATCCCCCCCCCTTTTTTTTTTTATCTGGAGTGCAGAGGCGCGGTATTGGCTCACAGCAACCTCTGATTGTCCTCCCTCAGCCTCCCAAGTAGCTGGGACTACAGAGGCATGACACCATGCCCAGCTAATTTTTGTACTTTTAGTAGAGACGGGGTTTCACATGTTGGCCAGGATGGTCTCAATCTCTTGACCTCGTGATCAGCCCGCCTTGACCTCCCAAAGTGCTGCAATTACAGGCATAAGCCACCGCGCCTGGCCTCATTTCATTTTTTTAAAATAATAAATTTAATTACAATTATTAGTTTTTATTTTCCATTTTTTTGTTCTTAAGTTCTATTTTGTTCAGTTATGTTTTCAGTTTTATTTTGCTCTATATTATCCAAAACTGTCTGATCAGCTTTATATTTATATTTTATAACCTCCTTGTTATTTTATCAGGAGTATTTTTATTTCAAAAACATATATACACACTTCTCTGAAATTCTGTTTTAATATCAGTAGTCATGGGAAGAGGATCTATTTATATTCTTTTATTCTCTACTGAGTTTTTTTTGTTTTGTTTTGAGATGGAGTCTTGCTCTGTCACCCAGGCTGGAGTGTAGTGGCAGGATTCCCGCTCACTGCAATCTCTGCCTCCCAGGTTCAAGTGATTTGCCTGCCTCAGCCTCCCGAGTAGCTGGGATTACAGGCACCCGCCACCATGCCCAGCTAATTTTTGTATTTTAGTAGAGAAGGGGTTTCCCCATGTTGGCCTGGCTGGTCTCAAACTCCTGATCTCAAGCGATCCTCCCGCCTCGGCCTCCCCAAATGCTTGGATTACAGTGTGAATCTCTGCGCCCAGCCTGCTGACTTTTATTTATACTGTCTTGGGTCCTCGTGTTTTTGTACTTTTGCTAATAAACTCATTAAGATGATGGTGGTGATATTGTCCTCATGGTAATTGTTACTGTAATACTAGATTTGTAGTAGTGTCTGTGGAAGTATTAGAGCAGTAGTTAGTAGTCAGACTCACTGCTGTAGCTGCAGTCATAGTAGTAAGAGCATTGATGGCAGTATTTATTTGCTTTATGTTAGGCCAGAGAGAACTTGAATTCCACTACTCTTTGTACAGATACTTTTCTCTCACCCCAACTCCACTGAGGATGTAGACATTTCAAGAATTTCAGCTTTATCCAGCATCCTCCAGGCCTGAGTTTCCAGGTTGCACATCTTGAGGTCTAGATTTCCATTTTCTTAAGTCTTTGTTAAGCCCTCACAGTAGTCATTTATGATACCAAATTTTGCACTTGAGGCAGCAATAGTTTTATTGTTTGTGCTTTTGTTTATGTCCTTTTGTGGTTTCAGTTTATTTTTATCTATTTTTGACCCTTAGACTCTTCCCCTACTTGTGAGCCCTAAAACTATATTTTAAAGTATTTATATTTAGAGTTATAAATATATTTAAAATATTTAAAGTATGCTTGGTGTAATTTATCAAACATCTAGCTAATTGGTGGTAGCACATTTTGCTTTGGGAATCTACCATTTTGCTGGATTCTTTATAAATCTAACATACTTTATATTAGAGAAGAACATTAGACTAAAAGGAAATTTATAAATATTTATGTAGGTTCTTTGATGGAATCAAAATTCATAAAATGTTACTATTATATCATAAAAAATATTATTACAGCAGAAGGCAGAAAACCTAAGAAACTTTTAAGGTCTACATAAAAATAATACACTGATTCTTATGTGTGGGAATGTGTATAAAGCACACAGAGAGAATATGATATGTAAACAACAACAACAGCATTTCTAATGTTTGGGAATGAGTACTTGTGAATCATCGTCCAACTTTTAGAAATAAGGCTATGCAGTGTTAGAAAAGTGTTATAGTTTAAACAGTGAATATAAAATTGCTGGTGTTGGAGCAGGTAAAACTATTAAATGACAAAAACCGACTGCATGTCAATGAGAACAGTGATACTAAAATGCATGTGAAAGGTTTGAAAACATTTGTTTCACACAATATAAGTGGAGAAGGCACTATTTTAATTAATTTACATAATATACTGTAAAATGTTTACATGTAGTTAAATTTATTAAATACATATTATAATTGAATAGTTGACTTTTTTCAACATATGAAATGGCTCGTATTTCCAAGTAGGCAAAACTCTCTTTCATTGATCATATCATTGGGATTGTTATATATTTGAAGATACATGGGAAAATTTACACTGTTATTTTCTATGAAATATAAGTAGAAAATGTAATTTTCCCAAATTAATATATTTGTGTAATATGTGATTTTAACTATGCATGGTGAAAATTAATTAATTGATTGACTATGAATAGACGATTTTTCAACATCCTTTAATGTTTGCCTATTCAGATTGGCCAAAACACTCCTTGATTTTTCTTTCTGTTGGGGATCTCCTTATGTCTGTGTATATATAGTATTTGTTTTAAGTAATGTTCAGGTTGTTTAATTAATTGCATATAATGAGAAGTGATTCTTCTCCTAATTGCTAATTTTCCTTTCTGTTAGTTTCTACCATGCACTTTAGGATTTTAGATTGAAATTCTTCTTTCAAATGAAAAAGAAGTGCTTCTTTTGCTACACATTCACCATTTCCTAATGAGGTTTTTGTTTCTTTACCTGGCCATCTATAGCACAGAAGGAGGCCAAAACAACAGACTTGGAGTTTCTGTGCAGTAGATATTTGGTGAATGTCACAGATATGGTCGCTGGGCTTGGAAGGTGCATGGCTCAAGTGTCGAGGGCTGAGTGACACTTCTGATTATCACAGCTTTATAATCCCTACAGTGTACAGGAGAAAGCACATAAATTTTTGTGTTTTGGGAGCCCAAGGCAGGCAATCACTTGAGGTCATGAGTTTGTGAACTGCCTGGCCAACATGGCAAAACCCCCTCTCTACTAAAAATACAAAACTTAGTGGGGCGTGGTGGTGCACTCCTGTAATCCCAGCTACTCGGGAGGCTGAGGCAGGAGAATCGCTTGAACCTGGGAAGCAGGTGTTGCAGTGAGCCAAGATCACGCCACTGTACTCCAGCCTGGGCAGGAGAGCGAGACCCTGTCTCAAAAAAAAAAAAAAAGTGTTTTTTCAAGGCCTGAAAAGTTCACTTGAAACTCCTTATTGTATGCAGTTGGTTTTCTTTGCCCCCTTCCCACCACAACTAGGGCACCTTTGGCTATGTTAGCCCTCCAGGAGGCACATTATTGGCCTGCCTTTCTTGTTTCTAATTAACTGCTCATCCTTAATGCCCCCTTGTCTCTGTGTAATCTCCCACTTTTGGTCCAAAGAGATACTAATCTTTATTTATTTATTTATTTATTTATTTTTTATTTTTTTATTTTTTTTGAGACAGAGTCTCACTCTGTCACCCAGGCTGCAGTGCAGTGGCGCGATCTCAGCTCACTGCACCTCTGCCTCCCAGGTTCAAGCGATTCTCTTGCCTCAGCCTCCCAAGTAGCTGGGACTACAGGTGCATGCCACCACACCTGGCTAATTTTTGTATTTTTAGTAGAGACAAGGTTTCACCATGTTGGCCAAGATGGTCTCAATCTCCTGACCCCATGATCTGCCCACCTCGCCTCCCAAAGTGCTGAGATTACAGGCGCGAGCCACCATGCTTGGCCATATTTATTTATTGTATGTCATTTAATTAAAAAATATTCTCCTTATCATTACTATGAATTCAGAGCACAGAGAAAGATTTAAAAAATAAATTTACACTCTTTTGACATGCTTATTTTTTTCTTTCAACAGAAAGGGAATTCTAAAATACATAGTATAATTTCCTGTTATATAATTTCCTATTAACTGGAAACTTTTTTCTTTAAAAACATTTTATATGCACATTTTTATTGTTCACTTTGTCAATAACATGTAGTAATATGAAGGAGTTTTTTTCTTACACACTAAAATATATCATCTGTATATGGATTGGTTTCTGTTTTGTCATATACTCTGAAGAAGAGAGAAAAAATTGCTTATGATGAAAACATTTATTGCATAAAACATACTGGGATTATGTTTTTAAGCAGTTCAATTCAACAGAAATGTAATGAAAATGTCTCATGTGCAAGGCATGACACCAGGTTTAGATCACAAAGGAGAGATCAAAAATGGTTTTTGTGAGAAAGCGACATTTTTACTAATATCCACTTTGAAAATAGTGATCTGATGTACTCCCAGACCAAATCTAAAAGGAAAACAGTTCATTTCACACCATTGTGTGAATCGCTTGAACCTGGGAGGCAGAGGTGCAGTGAGCCGAGATCGCGCCACCGCACTGCAGCCTGGGTGACAGAGTGAGACTCCGTCTCAAAAAATAAATAAATAAATAAATAAATAAATAAACAGTCATTTCACATCATTGACTTCAAGAGAAGTGATCCAAGTTTTGGTGTCAGGCAAAATAGTTTATTCTAATTATATGATAAAGACTCTTTAAAGTTACGCCAACTATAACTACCTTAAGGAAATGTTAAAGTATAAATTTGTTCTAATTAATTGCTGTTTCAAATGATAAAAATGTATTCTCTTAATGACTACTTTAGGTTGCCTATGGACAATATTATTCATGCCAAAATGCATTTTAATCCTCTGCTTCTAAATAATGATTCTCTAGAATGCCAACAGAGTTTTTTTTTTCTTCAAAGTTTATATTTTGGCAAGTCACTGCTCTGCTTAAAATTCTTCCAATATTTTTCTATTGTTTTCAAGACAATCTGAATTTCAAAGCCTTGCTAAATCCTGCATATTCCCACCTGTTACATGCATCCTTCACTCTCAGGAGCTGCTCTTTTCCCGAGCGGCTTCCTCCCAACACTGCATCTTTGCAAATCTAGACCCTTCACCTGATTTATACTTCATTTTTTCTCCCTCACGTACTTCCCCTAACATTACAATGGTGCTTTTATTTTTGCATTCCCAGCTGCCAATAATTCTTGGCGCACCTTGGGTCCTCAACAAATATTTCAGTAATTACTGGTTGACTGAATGAAGTTCAGATATTGAGCTCACATCGACCAACGATTAAGTTTTAAAATACACTGGAGCCTAAGAATGAAACTGAAGCTCTTTCACTTACCAGCAGGTGGGTTTTCAAATAAGTATATGAGTCACATTTTTATAATTCCAAGCACACCATTCAGAGCAGCGAATATATCACCTCTTTGTAAATGTAGATATTACGTGAGAATTTTATATATTGTTAGTATCACCTTTGACTCGTTGTATCTTATTTATTTATTTATTTATTTTTTTTTTGAGAAGGAGTCTCCCTCTGTCACCCAGGCTGGAGCACAATGGCGTTATCTCCGCTCACTGCAACCTCTGCCTCCCAGATTCAAGCAGTTCTCCTACCTCAGCCTCCTGAGTAGCTGGGATTACAGGTAGCCGCCATCATGCCCAGCTAATTTTAAAAAAAATCAAAGCTAGTGTGAAATTATGTGGATTATATGCTCTTCAAATATGTGTGATAACCCATTTGGTTATTTATTTATTTATTTTAAAGACAGTGTCTCACTCTGTCCCCCAGGCTGGAGTATAGTGTCTTAATCACAGCTCACTGCAGCCTTGACCTCCTGGGCTGAAGTAATCCTCCCACTTCAGCCTCCCAAGTAGCTGGGACTAAAGCTATGTGTCACCACACCTCCCTAATTTTTGTATTTTTTGTAGAGAAGAGATTTGGCTATGTTGCCCAGGCTGGTCTCAAATTCCTGGGCTCCAGACATCCTCCTGCCTCAGCCTCCCAGAGTGGTGCAATTCCAGGCATGAGCCACCACACCCAGCCCCATTAGGTTACTGCTGTTGCTGTGGATATGGTTCTTTTTATTGATGCAGTTTAAGTACTAAAATAGTATTCATTTTTTTCATTAAAATTTTATGTTAAAATTATTACCCATAGGAAAGTAAATTTCATACCTGACTGTAGCTAGTTCATTTGCTACTTATATAAAAAGTCCTTACTTTGTTTTTTCTCTAATGTTATTTTTGTACTATTGGGTACCAATTAGTATTTCTAGTTTAAAGTGAGTGAAAAAAAAAACAACAACAAATTTACAATCTCTTGTGCCTTGTGACAACTTTGTGTGTGTGTGTGTGTGTGTGTGGTTTGTTTTGTTTTGTTTTTGAGACAGTTTCACTCTGTAGCCCAGGCTGGAGTGCAGTGAGACAATCTTGGCTCACTGCAACCTCCGTCTCCCAGGCTCACACAATTCTCCCGCCTCAGCCTCCCGAGTAGCTGAGATTACAGTTGCCCACCACCATGTCTGGATAACTTTTGTATTTTTAGTAGAGATGGGGTTTCTCCGTGTTGGCCAGGCTAGTCTCGAACTCCTGACCTCAAGTGATTTGCCCACCTTGGCCTCCCAAAGCGCTGAGATTACAGGCATAAGCCACTGTGCCCAGCCTGTTTTTTGTTTTTGTTTGTTTGAGACAGGTCTTGCAATGTCACTCAGGCTGAAGTGCAGAGGTGTGATCACAGTTCACCGCAGCCTCAACCTCCCAGGCTCAAGGGATCCTCCACCTCAGCCCAGTAACTGAGACCAGGCATGTGCCACCATGCCCAGCTAATTTTTTACGTTTTAAATTTTTTTGTAGAGACTGGGTCTCACTATGTTGCTTAGGCTTTTCTTAAACTCCTAGACTCAAGCAATCTTCCTGGCTCAGCCTCCCAAAGTGCTGAGATTACAGGCATGAGCCACTGCGCCTGGCCTTTTTACAGCGGTGTGAGATATTTGAACCTTTGGACAAAAATAATGAGATTTTGAAAATTTAGTGAATATAATTAACTTGTGTAGCCCTAATCTCGAGATCATTTGGATTTGCAAAGCTTGTAATGGAAGGAGAATATTTGCCTCCCATTCTCAGAGAATGGCCTGCATTAAACTAAAATGGAGCGTTATTATTTCTTTCTTGAACAAATGTCTTCTGTGTATTAAACTTTTCTTTAGTAATTTCAAAATACTGCAAATCAAGAAGAAAGAAAAGAAATTCAGTATGTTCTTTATTGCATTTTATCTAACAATGAAGAAATGATGGCACTTCAAGTAGGAAGATGCCATATATTGGAAATAAGTATACTGAATTGTAAAATTCTCTACTTCAAGAGTTAATCGGCAAAATGGGTCATCAATCATGTTTTAAAATAGAATCTGGGCACTGAAAATGTCCTGGAAAAAAACTATTTTTCGGCCGGGCGCGGTGGCTCACGCCTGTAATCCCAGCACTTTGGGAGGCCGAGGCGGGCAGATCACGAGGTCAGGAGATCGAGACCATCCTGGCTAACACGGTGAAACCCCGTCTCTACTAAAAATACAAAAAATTAGCCGGGCGTGGTAGCGGGAGCCTGTAGTCCCAGCTACTCGGGAGGCTGAGGCAGGAGAATGGCGTGAACCCGGGAGGCGGAGCTTGCAGTGAGCCGAGATCGCGCCACTGCACTCCAGCCTGGGCGACAGAGCGAGACTCCGTCTCAAAAAAAAAAAAACAAAAAAACAAAAAAAAAACTATTTTTCCACATTATTGTTTTCTGTTTTACTGGTGGCACAGTGCCTTTTCTTCACTTTCATTTATAACCACAAAATTTATCCTGCTAAAAGCAGGACCACTCTATTTTAAACAAGCATACCTTGGATATCAGCTAGCAAACTACCAAGAACTCTGTCCAATATCTGGATAGATAAAGAGGATAATGTTTGTTCCCTATAGATTGCATTTTATGTATTTGTTTATTCATCCACTCATTTGCTTATTTAGTTTTCAGTGTAACAAGTATTTTCAGCTTTTACTCTGTGCCAGACTCTTGGTTAGGTACTGAGTATTGAAAGACGAATAAAATGCTATACTTTCTCCAAGGAGATTAAATATTCCAATCCCAGTCACTCCTCACACAAAGGGCTATGCCAAATGCCAAATGAAAAAGTTACCACTGTTCCAATTATCCATAAAGAACAACACATTGCTATTCCCACAATGTGTCTAGCTTAATCAGCACTGACGTCTTAAACCTGACAGGCAATATTAAATTCAATGAGATCTAAAAGGAGAGCAGACCCAAAATCCTGCTTGAATATTAAAAACCTCTGTGTTTTGCCACTCTACTGTTGGAAACTTCTTTGTTATTGTTGGAAAATGTATCAGCCTCATAAGAAACCAAGTATCTATTGCCATCATGAAGCCATAATGGACTTTCCATTAATCCTCACTATGGGCTAGTAATAAAATTAGGGGAAAAAGGACAGAGGTAAGTGGATGAGAATTGGGTTTTTGTTTTCTGATCAACTGTAGTCAAGGAGAAATGCTGTATTTTTATTGGGGAACTATTTATAAATCATAGGGCTATTTTGAAAGTATAACTGAGGTTGCAGCATGAGGGTGATGCCAAGATTCTATGTTGGGCACACAGAGAAGAGTGACTTAGGTGGTTCTGTAGATTTTTATTTCCTGGCTATCGTGCATATGTTTGGGACATTTCAGCAGATTTATTCTGAAGTATTGGGATACCCAGAAAAAAAGGCCTTAGCACTACACAAGATGGCCTACTTAATTGTAGGTATACTTTGAAATTGTGTCAAATATTTCTCTTTAACAAGCTGTGTTTTCTCTTGTGGGAGTGCCATCAAGTCCTAATTATTGTCTACAAATAAAAGAGTAATGGCATTTAAAACCTGCTATCCCTAGGCTGATAAACAGCTTTGGTCAAATGTGTTCAAGTCTAACTTTTGAACAGGTTGAAGTGTACAACATTTTTTTTAATGAAGGATTGTAGGAAGATGGTGCATATTAACAGAGAGGGAAAGAGCAATGACAGAATCGAAAACCTGCAAATAACATTTCCAACAAAATAAAACCCAGGTCACAAGAGTTCTCCTTAACCCCAAATTACAAACCACCAACAGCCACAAGACTCATTTAGTGTCACCATTTCTATGTGTGGGGAAAAAAGTAGAAAAATTTTCTAAAGATATGTGTGTTTCCAATAGATCTGGGAGTACTAGGACAATAAAATTGTGAATAAATGTCACTGGAAAGTACAAAAGGCCAATCTGAAAACACAGCCAGAAGCAGAAGGGGCTTCAGTGGTATCCAAATTTCAAGTTAGGGTAAGGGGGCAACGACAGGATACCTGATGCTGCTGGAGCAGTATGGATTTAGAAACCCTCAAACTCAATCTCCTTTCCAAGACAAAGCTGTGCATTGAGTAGAAACTGCTGAGAGCTGAATACAAATTGGGCAGGATGGGAATAATATTGTCACAGGTAACAAAAGTTTCAGATAAAAGTGCGACAATGGGAGTCAAATTTCACAAAGCCTGGTGACATATTTTCAACGCGTTTTTATAGAGGGAGCATTTGAAACATAAAGGTAGAAAATATCTCTTGGTTCATTCCTGCTTTCCAAAAGTAGAGAAGAACTCATTTCATTGAAACAATGGTTCACAGTAAATTATCTCAGTTAAGTTCCAAATAAATTTATTACATAAGAAAAGAAAATAAGGAGCAAAATTATATCTCTGTAGATGAACTAGAAAAGCATACTTTTTAAATGGTGAAAATTGTAACCAAATATTTTACAGTGATCTCAAAGAAATCAATAAAATGTTGGGCTATTAAAAACATAAATTATAATGAGACATACTTACAAATAATCTGCTTGAAAAAAAAAGGAAACCTGTAAAAACTGGTAACAAAACTAAGAAGTCCCAAGAATGGAAGATAAAAATAATTTTGGAAACACTGACTAAACAAGAAAGGACATATCAACAAACAATATAACAGATAATTCATTAAGAGATATAAAAAAAGAAGGAAAAGTTTAAAAATTAAAATAAAGAGGTGGCTATAAGATTAGACGTATAAGTTAGATGAAGAGGATTTTTCACATTAAGCAAGCAAGGGCTTCAAAGATGACCTGTGATGGAACAGCTTATGTAAACTAGCAAAGTAACATAGGAAAAGAACATAAGTTACTCAGTGAGTGTGAATGTGGCAGCAGAAAGAGACCATCATTGCTGCTGGAGTAGATGAGTCAAGATGACAAAAGGAGTTGAGGATATTAAACACCAGGCGCAGTGGCTCATGCCTGTAACTCCAGTGATTCAGGAGGCTGAGACAGGAGAATCTCTTGAGGCCAGGAGTTCAAGATCAGCCTGGGCAAATAGTGAGACCCAGTCTCTAAAATAGTAATACTGATTTTTAAAATGTTTAGCTGGGCGAGGCTCCAGTGAGCCATGATGGTGCCACTGCACTCCAGCCTGGGTGACAGAGGGAGATTCTGACTCTTAAAAAACAAAAGATAATAACCAAAATGCTTTGGAATGTTTCCAAGCAGGGCTGCTCAATCTATGGTGATCTTTTCAGGAAGATCTTGACAACAGCATAAATGTCTATCTTCAGGGATGCTAGTGATTTTCAAATCTATAATTCAATATTAGACCCTAGACCTCCCCTAAATTCTAGATCCACATGTCCCAAATCTCTACAAGCATCTCCACTGGAATGTCCTGCAGGTGTGTTTGTGCTCGTTTTCTCCTATTCTGTCAAAAAAACCACACAAGTTTCCTTATGTTTTAAGACAGAAAACTGTTAACAAATTCTCAAATATACTTGCTTAACATCTTCAAAATCTGTGCCTTCCTCTATGCATAGTTTTCTGCACTAAAACAAAAAATTAGAACTCTTGCTTAAGATATTGTGAGTTTTCTTCCTGGCTTGTCTATGTCTAGTTTTATCATTGTCAAGAAGTCACCAGAGTGATCCATCTGAAATCAAATGTGATGATGTACTCTTCTGTTTAAAAGTGTTTCAGAGTTCCCCACTATAGGATAAAGTCCAAATTTTAAGTAATCATAAGATAGGAAATGGCCCCTTCCAACATGTTCAAATCCGTCTGTCATCACAGACCCTCAAGTACTTTGATGGTTTAGTCGTTTTGAACTATATGCTGCTCTATTTGGTTTATGCATCCTGCTTCCCAAATCCAAGCTTGCACTGATATTCTCTCTGAATCCTCTTTATTCCACCCCGTGATTTTTTTATACATCCTTTAACACCTAGATCAATTATGTACTGTTCTGTGCCAATGGAGGAGGGTTGATTGTTTTCTACTTGGGATCACATATAATTAATGCATCTTTAAAATACTACATTGTACTTCTATAACACTGAATTATACTTCCTTTTGCATACTTCTCCCCATCTATAGTAGAAGGATCTCAGTGCAGAAATCACATTTTTTATATTTTTAGTATGATCCTCGTGTCCAGAATTGGTGGGTTCTTGGTCTCGCTGACTTCAAGAACGAAGCCGCGGACCCTCACTGTTAGTGTTACAGTTCTTAAAGGAGGTGTGTCTGGAGTTCTTTCCTTCTGATGTTCGGCTGTGTTCAGAGTTTCTTCTTTCTGATGGGTTCGTGATCTCACTAGCTCATGAGTGAAGCTGCAGACCTTCGTGGTGAGTGTTACAGCTCATAAACGCAGTGTGGACCCAAAGAGTAAGCAGCAGCAAGATTTATTTCAAAAAGCCAAAGAACAAAGCTTCCACAGTGTGGAAGGTGACCCCAGCAGGTCGCCATTGCTGGCCGGGCAGCCAGCTTTTATTCCCTTATCTGGCCCCACCCACATCCTGCTGACTGGTCCATTTTACAGAGAGCTCATTGGTCTGTTTTACAGAGAGCTGATTGGTCCATTTTGACAGGGTGCTGATTGGTGTGTTTACAATCCCTGAGCTAGACACAAAAGTTCTCCAAGTCCCCACAGAGCGCTGATTGGTGCATTTACAAACCTTGAGCTAGACACAGAGTGCTGATTGGTGTGTTTACAAACCTTGAGCTAGACACAGAGTGCTGATTGGTGTATTTACAATCCCTTAGCTAGACATAAAGATTCTCCAAGTCTACACCAGATTAGCTAGACACAGAGTGCTGATTGGTGCATTTACAAACCTTGAGCTAGACACAGGGTGCTGATTGGTGTATTTACAATCCCTTAGCTAGACATAAAGGTTCTCCAAGTCCCCACTAGACTCAGGAGCCCAGCTGCCTTCACCTAGCAGATCCTGCACCAGGGCAGCAGGTGAAGCTGCCCGCCACTCCTGCACCATGCGCCCGCATTCCTCAGCCCTTGGGCATTCAGTCGATGGGACTGGGTGCCACGGAGCAGGGGGTGGCACTCGTTGGGGAGGCTCGGACATGCAGAAGCCCAGGGTGGAGTGAGGGAGGCTCAGGCATGGCGGGCTGCAGGTCCTGAGCCCTGCCCCGCGGGGAAGCAGCTGAGGCCCGGCAAGAATTTGAGTGCAGCGCTGGTGGGCTAGCACTGCTGGGGGACCTGGTGCACCCTCCACAGCTGCTGGCTAGGATGCTAAGCTCCTCACTGCCTGGGGCCAGCAGCACCGGCCGGCCGCTCCGGGTGCTAGGCCCGCGGACCCCATGCCCAACCCGAACTTGCGCTGGCCCTGAAGCGCTGCGCGCAGCCCCCAGTCCCACCTGCGCCTCTCCTTCCACACCTCCCTGCAAGCTGAAGGAGCTGGCTCCGGCCTCAGCCACCCCAGAGAGGGGCCCTCACAGTGCAGCGGTGGGCTGAAGGGCCCCTCAAGAGCAGCCAGAGTGGGCGCCAAATGCTGAGGAGGTGCCCAGAGCATGCGAGGGCTGCCAGCACGCCGTCACCTCTCACTCTTAAATACCACTGTATAAGATCACTTATGTAAAATGTAAAACCATAAAAATAACATTAAAATTTGAGTCATTTTTATATTGGTGCTTATTAATATTTATATTTTTAATTATGCTTAAAATATTTTTGAATACATTATTTAAAGGAATGTGAATGAAAACATATTAAAGTGATAATGTAATATAAATATCATTGTAATAATAACTTCAACTTCACAGTATTTTTCTGCCTATGCTATATATGAAACCATATAAAACATCATATAATTTAACCACTGAAGTTTACATACAATAAAACCTCACTTAATATCAATAGGTTTTTGGAAACTGTGACTTTAAGAGAAATGACTTACTCTATAATGAAACTAATTTTATCATAGGCTAGTTGATATAAATAGGAGTTCAGTTCCTACTGCATAGAATACTTCGTTTTGCTTCAAGTGGCAGTTATCAAGAACATATTGATGACATTAAGTGAGATCTTACTGTATAACTGGTAAAAGAAGATCCTTGGCTTAAGAAAATATAGTATCCTTTTTATACAGTCTCCAAAGTGGAGGACTTCTAATAACATTATAATAATGGTAATGTTAACTATTACTATTACAAATGCATACATTACTACCACTGTCACACTTCTAATTCACACATGTATGTTGGTGAATTATTTACAGGAAATTGAATATATTGGGAGCTATAAGAAAGTTTGTTACTATAAAAATTTGTGTGTGTGTGTGTGTGTGTGTGTGTTGGCTATAATACGGAGTTCTATAAATGTGCAGACCACACATGGACACCATCACCTCCTAGAATTGACTGTCATTAAGTTTATGTAAAGTTGAAAAGGATATAGTTGCTTTAAGCCTGGCCTCTTGTACAATGGCTAGATCATTTGTTCTTTTGAACTTAAGCAGAGAAGTCGGTGGCTCACCCTTGTAATCCCAGAACTTTGGGAGGTCAAGACGGGCAGATTGCTTGAGCCCTTAAGTACCAGACCAGCCTGGACATCATGGCCAAACCCCAACATGGCCAAACCCCATCGCTACAAAAAAAAAAAAAATTGCAAAGAAAAAAAAAAAAACCATTAGCTGTGGTGGTGTACCCGTGGTCCTAGCTACTTGGAAGGCTGACATGGGAGGATCAAATGAACCTGGGAGGTCGAGGCTGCAGTGAGCCCAGATCGCGCCACTGCATTCCAGCCTGGGCTGTTTACGGAGTGAGACTTTGTCTCCCCCCTCAAAAAAGGAAGAAAAAGAAAGTGCAGATGTTGCTGTACCTTATGTCTCCAGGTTCACGTGTTTATTTGAGCAGCCTCAGCCACAGATTCAAGTTCCTAATTTGTGGAAGGAGTTCATTTCAAGAGAGTCAGGCGCAAAGTGCAGACCTTCATTCTCTCAGCCCCTCTGGGCACCAGGAGCCAGTGTAACACGGTAGATTGATAGCTCTTTGGAAGACCTAGAAATCTTTGTGGGAAAATGTCAGTGTTGAGACTGCCCCGTACTGCACTGTTTTCCCTGTTAAAACCCAAAACAGAGGTGATTCTATAGCCAAAAGGCGGGAAAACACTATGGTGGGGAAAAGATGAGCGCTGCGTGCACAATCCCCCTGCATCCCTGTCAGGAGGCTGCGGCCACCATTGCCTGGCGGGTGAGGCGCCCCCCGCCTCGGGTCACTGCTCTGCAGCCGCAGCTTCTCCAGCACCCTCTGGAGGCTTTGCTTCGGGTTCCTCTAATACAACACAGGGGGAAGCATTCGATCACGAACGTTTCACATTTCTTTTTCTTCAAAAATGAAGAGGACATTTTGTAAAATTATTACACAAAGATGAGAAATAAAAGATTCGAGAACCAACTTTGGGTTGTAAATACTACATAATTCCAAATGGTAATGTATGAGTGGCTAAAAAGCAGTGACATTTATCTAACGTGTATTATTTTATTCCATAAAAGGAACAAACCTAAATTGAAGGAATATTCATTTCCCCCTTGTTGGATTTAATAGAATCCTTTTCATTTTTATTTATTTATTTATTGAGATGGAGTCTCGCTCTATCGCCCAGGCTGGAGTGCAGTGGTGTGATCTCGGCTCGCTGCAAGCTCCGCCTCCCGGGTTCCCGCCATTCTCCTGCCTCAGCCTCCAGAGTAGCTGGGACTACAGGCGCCCGCCACCACGCCCGGCTAATTTTGTTTTTGTATTTTTAGTAGACACGGGATTTCACTGTGTTAGCCAGGATGGTCTGGATCTCCTGACCTCGTGATCTGCCCGCCTCGGCCTCCCAAAGTGCTGGGATTACAGGCGTGAGCCACCGCGTCTGGCCAATCCTTTTCATTTTTAATGGGAAGTAATAAATGTGACCTATAGATATTTCAGTTTTTTAAAAATAAGTCGCCCTCCTCTCCAGGGCGATTTCTGGTGGGTTTGAGGAAAATGAGTGGGTGTGGGGTTATCTTGGCCCAAAGTCCAGTTTGGCTTTGCCGCTGGTTCACTGTGTGACTCCGTTAAGAAACAAGCTCTGAAAAATTTGGTTTTCTCCAATAAAGTATGTGAAATTACCCAGCACGTAGTAGCCTTCAAGATTTTTGTATTTCCTCTTTTGTGATACTTAGCTGGGCAATAAATATTGGACAGCATCTCCAGGGAATAATCTGAATCAGGGAGGGAGGACCGGCACTGCCCAGGAGGAGAGAGAATGAAGTTTCTTGCTGTCTCTTAAGTGATGTATGAGTGGATGGACAGATTGTCCTCAGCTTTAAGGGCAATTCAGGATGATTTGACTTAAAATCGAGGCTCTGTGGAATGAGAAAAATGCGTTCTGCAGGGCCTGCCCATTGCGTGTGCTGGGAGGCTCTGCTACATCAAATAGCAGAGTCGCATTCTCCACAGGGGCCCCAAACCTCGGTGTGAGCCAGGGCTGCTTCACACATGTCCTCTATCTAAGGTGCGTCTTAGTAGGTGTTATTTATTTAAGGACTGTTGTGCTTTCCATGGCTGATTTGCTGGTAAATGACAGGTGTGAGTATAGAGAACATGTCTTGCCTCCACCCACTGCACCCACCATCCTGTGCATCATGGGAAGTTCTCTCCATGATCAGCAGCCATGTGTAGAAAGGACAGTCTCTAGAGTCAGAATCCTGGGACCATCCCTGAATTTGCAACTTACTAGCTTTCTTGCCACATTTTTTAGTTTTTTCAAGCCGTAATTTCCTTAAAATGGGGAATATTATCAATCCCTATTCCACAGGAAATTTGGAGCACATGAGTTCATTCAAGTAAAGTATACCATTAGCAGGCCATAACGCAGGCAAGAAGGAAATACAATAATTTGCTTGTGTGTGTGTGGTGGGGTGTCACATATTCATAAAATTCAACCCTACCCCCATTCCAAGAGTTTAGTGTGACATCAGTGTCTAGGTCATATAACTATGGCCATCTTTCTGCCATACCTGATCTAAGTCCTGTAACGATTAACACAGCAGAGCTATATTCGCATAAGGAACTTTATAGTCTCTGTGTATATGCTGAGCAGAGCTAATTTCATTTCACACATCATTTGCAACTTGTTATGGAGCTCCTTCAATACTAATACCCAAACATGTTGGACAAAGAAAAGAAGACAGACACTTTTGTTTGGTTGCTTGTTTTCTACTGATTTCTTATTACTATATTTTCAACTTCTTAGCGATATTGGCCCCATATTAAAGGTCTATGTCACACACCCTGTTGTGAATAAAAAAGTTATTTTACAGTAGCCCTTGAAATGATAAACTTCTATTTGCATTGAAAGTAATGGTATTGCCCTTTCCATATAAAATTGTACTCATAGATCATTTTAAAGTAACACATTTTTTCGTAAAGAGATGAAATTGGAAAATAAAGTGGTAATAGTGTGTTTAATTTATAAGTAAACCCTAGGAACACAATTTATTTTGTTTTGTTATCACAAACAGTAAAAATTTATCTGGTTTTGAACAGATTCCAATTATTAACAAATCCTATTTGTATCCTATTTATTTGTCACATATGTGAAAGTACTCCTTTTCTTCATGCTAGAGACCTAAATTGTGATGATCAAATTGAACAGTATAAACAAGCAATTAGATGATTAATTTGCTACAACCTATTCCGAAATATGAGTCATATTTTATCCACTTATATATATTCAACGCCAAGGTTATCAGTAAAATATAGGCAGAAATTCTGCAAAATGATAAATAAGACATACACCTGTGTAATCCCAAGTCTGTTTTTTTCTTCTTGTTTTCTCACATCATTCAAGTCACCAAAATTTTATTGCTTATTACATGACAAGAAATATAATGTTAGACATAAAATGAATAAAGGAAATTATCCTTAAGAAATTTACAATGTGGAGAGAAAGATGCAGTAATATAACACTATAATGCAATCCAATCCAATGAATACCATATAATGCAATGAATTCTATGAAAGATTTGTTAACAAAATGCTTGGGAAAACAGAGGAGGCGTACTGACTTCTGATCCTGGCTTCTGGAGATGACCAGAAAAGGCTAGAGAGGAGGAAGCATATTTACTGACCTTGAGGAACAAGGAGGATACATTATGTGGGAAACAGGTGGCCTGGGCGCAGTGACTCACACCTGTAATCTCAGCACTTTGGGAGGCCAAGGCAGGAGGATTGCTTGCACCCAGGACTTTGAGGCTACAGTGAGTTATGATCACATCACTGAACTCCAGCCTGGCCAGTAGAGCAAGACTCCACCACTTAAAAAAAAAAAAAGTTGGGCATTCCACATAGACAACATGCAAAGGCAAAGGCAGAACTGAGTTTTGGGAGATAAAGAGGATTTGGAAGGAGCATAAAATATGACAAAAATTAGTGAGATAAGAATTTAGAATAAGAATTGGAGCCACCTTGTCAGAAATTCAGATATTATCATGGAGGCTTTAGGGAGCCATTGCATAAATTTAAACAGGGCTGTGGTGATAATTTTTTTCTAAAAAAAGCAATGCAACAAGATTGAGAGCACTTAGGAGGAAGAATTCGGAAATGGCAGAATAACCGTAAAGGTGGAAAATATTTACTTTTGACTAAATTGCTAAATTGAACCATGTTAAATAGAGAATTCATGAGTGTGTGTTTTTTATATTTTTTATTTTTATTTATTTGTTTATTTTTGAGACGGAGTCTCGCTCTGTCGTCCAGGCTGGAGTGCAGTGGCGTGATCTTGGCTCACTACAAGCTCCACCTCCCGGATTCACGCCATTCTCCTGCCTCAGCCTCCAGAATAGCTGGGACTACAGGTGCCCGCCACCACGCCCAGCTAATTTTGTGTATTTTTTAGTAGAGACGGGGTTTCACCGTGTTGGCCAGGATGGTCTGGATTTCCTGACCTCGTGATCCGCCCATCTCAGCCTCACAAAGTGCTGGGATTACAGGCGTGAGCCACCACGCCCAGGTGAGTGTGTGTGTTTTTTAATAAAGCCTAAGCTTCTTGAATTATTATTCACTTTAGTTAGAATCACTGAAGATCTATGCATACAATTAATACATAAAAACAAAACAGATATGTTGAAAGTTAAGAGTATTGAACAAGTAGATTAGCCTATTCTTCTAGTGTCTTGTAGACTTCTCAGGATGATCAAGAAGTCTACTATGTCACTGTCAGTGCACAATATATAATATACCAATGATTCTTGAATCCATGTAGATTTCAAGAAAAAAATATATAGTCTTAATTCATTTACAATTAACTCATAAACTCTGGTCTTGTAAGAAGTAACTAATATTTAATATTCAGGATAGTTTTTTATATAGTCTTAATTCATTTACAATTAACTCATAAATTCTGGTCTTGTAAGAAGTAACTAATATTCAGGATAGTTTCTGAACATTAATTCAGGAAATAGCCTTTTTTTTTTTTTTTTTGAGGTGGAGTCTCACTCTGTCACCCAGGCTGGAGTGCAGTGGCACCATCTCGACTCACTGCAACCTCTGTCTCCTGGGTTCAAGCAATTCTCCTGCCTCAGCCTCCTGAGTAGCTGGGACTACAGGTGCATGCCACCATGTCGGCCTAATTTTTTTTTTTTTTTTTTTTTTGGCAGAGACGGGGTTTCACCATGTTGGCCAGGATGGTCTGGATCTCCTGACCTTGTGATCCACCCGCCTCGGCCTCCCAAAGTGCTGGGATTACAGGCGTGAGCCCCTGCGCCTGGCCAGGAAATATCCTTTATTATTTTTTTATAGTTAGATTTTAATATAAAGCAAATGTTTCAAAGAGCAAAAGAGGCATATGTTGCTGCGGAAAGATTTGAACTTAATTCAGATCCTTAAATCCATTGTCATCAAACTTGGCAATAAGTGTCTTTGAATCCTTCCTCGTAGGATCTAGAAAAGGTGCTTAAGAGTACATTAAAGGCTGGGCACAGTGGCTCACGCCTGTAATCCTAGCACTTTGAGAGGCTGAGGCAGGCGGATCACGAGGTCAGGAGATTGAGACCATCCTAGCTAACATGGTGAAACCCCGTCTCTACCAAAAAAATACAAAAAATTAGCCAGGCGTGGTGGCAGGCGCCTGTAGTCCCAGCTACTGGGGAGGCTGAGGCAGGAGAATGGCGTGAACCCTGGAGGCGGAGCTTTCAGTGAGCCGAGATCGCGACACTGCACTCTAGCCTGGGCGACAGAGCGAGACTCTGTCTCAAAAAAAAAAAAAAAAAATCGAGACCATCCTGGCCAACATGGTGAAACCCCATCTCTACTAAAAATACAAAAATTAGCTGGGCGTGGTGCCCGCCTATAGTCCCAGCTACTCGCCAGGCTGAGGCAGGAGAATTGCTTGAACCCAGGAGGCGGAGGTTCTAATAAGCTGAGATTGTGCCACTACACTCCAGCCTAGCAACAGAGTGAGACTCCGTCTAAACACACACACACACACACACACACACACACACACACACACACTAAATACACTAAAATACACTAAATGGAGAAATTGTTTGGAATAGGTTATTCTTTCTTTAATGTGGTGAGATCATAATGTCTAGAATACCATGTGCTTCCAATGTTCAAATTATGTTGCCCAAGTTATGTTGCATTGAAAATTATTAACAAGTGAAGTTTAATGCAACGTTTTGTTTGTTTGTTTTTTGAGACGAAGTCTCTCTCTGTCATCCAGACTGGAGTGCAGTGGCGAGATCTCGGCTCACTGCAACCTCCGCCTCCCAGGTTCAAGTGTTTCTCTTGCCTCAGCCTCCCGAGGAGCTGGGATTACAGGCACCCGCCATCATGTCCGGCTAATTTTTGTATTTTTAGGAGAGATGGGGTTTCACCATATTGGTCAGGCTGGTCTCGACACCCTGACCTCAAGTGATCTGCCCACCTCGGCCTCCCAGAGTGCCGAGATTACAGGCATGAGCCACCGGTGACACCAGGCCAATCCAATGGTTTTGACAGAAAGAAAAAGAATAAAAAGGTGCTGCTGCAGGGTAGAGGTAAAATGGAAATAATAAAATATTTTAATGAACAAAAGCTCTTACAGAAGACACAGATTTCATTGTATTTAGAAAGTAAAAAAAAAAATTGAGAATTTGGAATAAAAGTTATAAAGTCATATGAGCAAGTACTTTGTGCATGCATGAGATTTTCCACCTATTTAACAAATCTATCTGACTTTTGAAATAAGCATGAGTTTTAAATTTCAAGTGTAGCTGAAACAAAACACACAAATGATTTTGAAGCTGTTTTAATCCAAAGAAAGTTAACTGATTTTTAAACCACTCGTTATTTGTGTTGTCCATTAAACTGTTCTGTTAAATGTATCGATTTTCTAACACCAGTGTGTTCATATAGTTATTTACTCATCTGTGTACTCAAAAGCTGTGTATGAAGCATTTATTAGGTGCCAGGCATTGTGCAACTTACCAGATACAATGGCAGCAGGGAAGGCAAACTCTAATCTTTCCTTCATGGATTTCAGTCAACTAAGAGAGGGAACCTGGCAATGAAAATAAAGAAAACAGCCTGGATGAGCACGTTATGACACCAATATTTACAGAATGGAGCGAAGTTGGATATGATTAAGTTATAGCTTGCGGAGGAGACTGGTAGGACATGAAACCAAAAAGCTAGAGTAATTCATATATATTAAATGAGTGGTTCTTATGTCCTGGGCACTGTGCTGAGATTATAGTGTATACCAATTAGGTTATATTATTGATCCTTGAGAGAACTAAAGGTAACTTGAGTGGTGGATAATGGTGTGGAAAACAGAAGAGAAAGCAAACGATTTTGATCATGGTCTAGATTAAGAAATAATTTTTACATTTCAACCCAGTGCAAACTTTGTATGGGCACACAACACACACACACACATTTATAATGAAAATAAATATTTCATGACTCAAAATATACCATGTGTAATACACTTTTATCTCTTTCAGTTTCACTTTTATTAAATTTATTTTATTTTATTTTATTTTATTTTTGAGAAGAAGTCTGGCTCTGTCTCCCAGGCTGGAGCACAGTGGCTTGATCTCGGCTCACTGCAAGCTCCAGCCCCCAGGTTCACACCATTCTCCTGCCTCAGCCTCCCGAGTAGCTGGGACTGCAGGCGCGCACCACCATGCCCGGCTAATTTTTTTTTATTTTTAGTAGAGTCGTGGTTTCACTACGTTGGCCAGGCTTGTCTCAAATTCCTGACCTCCAGTGATCCACCCACCTGGGCCTCCCAAAGTGCTGGGATTACAGGCGTGAGCCACCGCCCCCGGCCCCTTTTTGTTCTCTCTGTTTGATCCTGCTCCTCTCATGGGAAAATCTCAGCAGCAGCAAGCACCCTTCTCCAACTCTCACTGACTGTGTGCTGCTGAGGCGCTACTGTCAGCTTCTGTTCTTGGTGGCCTGGCATGACTTAGGATAACGTGGAAAACTTCAATAGCTTCTGTGGAAAACCTAAGATCTCCCCAACTGGCTCCTTTAAGACCTTTCCCTCCCAACCCCTCTGCTTCTTTCCCCTCTCACTGCCTTGATCTTCCCTCCGAGCTCGGGGGCATCCTTTCACGTGTGCCCCTTCAAGCCCCTGCCTCTTCTCCCTTGTGCTGATTCCTGCCAGACAGTTTTCTTCTTACTCCAGCTCCTCACACCCCGCAGTCACTGGAACTTTAATTTCCCTGGCCTATCGGGGCTCTCAAGGGACTCAGGAACCCCACCCCCCTCCCAAAAAAAAACTACCTGAGGCTTCAATGGAAGAAGGCTGATTTGAAACAAACTGGATATTTTATCCCCTCAGATGAGCTCTGGAGACATTCCGACAGCTTCTTGATGTCCCCTCAGTCTCTTGTCTCCGTAAGATTACATATCAGGACAAAAGAAAATCTTCAAAGTCTCCTTCAAATATGTTGGTAAAATGCACTAACCTTACATTCAGTAGGCAACCTTAACTACGCTATAATTTTTTAAGTGAAAACCATAAAATCTTTATTTGCATCTGTCTTCCTGTTCAAGAATACACATATATACACAAAATACACATATATAAATGTATAATAATAATTCCCTGTGATACAGTACTTCCCATATGTTATCATATGTTATATGATAATGGCTGGATAGAATTACCAAATCAATTTATAGTAATAAAATTACTTTTTAAAGTTTTCTGTCCTAATTGGCCTAGAAAGAAATAAGCACACGCATAAATTAAATCTTCCTAAATTTCCACTCAGCTGTCTTTCACATTCACGTGGGTTGGATAAATCTTTGATAAAATGCCTGCCTGAGAAAACTCAGGGCTGCAAAAATAATTCATTGTTTGTTCTAGCCAACACTTGAAGATAGAGCCCCTGTCTTCCAGTCTCTGTGGGAGGGTAGGAGCCCTAGTTAACTTTAATAAGTGCTAGTTAGGCAAGATGGGTTTAACATGAACTCCACCTTCCTGCTTTTAGTCACTTTTCACTTCCCAGATTCCACTGAGCCTGGAATTCTCCCTTCCTTCATTCTCCCTTTAAAACACCCACTCACCTCTGTACAAATTGTAGTTGGGGTCAGTTCATGCTGGACTCTTCAAAATAGTATATTACTGCCCTTACCATTCTAACTAGCGTTCAGCTTTATCTTTCACAATCCTATCCTATTTAAGTGATATTAAAACTTATTAATGTCTTGGGACTTGCTGATTATAAAGCCATGGATAATTAATTAAGCACAATTTTAAAATTCCTGATTTACTGGGGAAGGAAGTAGGAAATAATGAGGAAGTGTTTCAAGATTGACTGTGAAACATTTTGCTTCTTCAAATGCAAATGTAACATTTATTGGGCAGACCAGGTTTTTGGGAGAAGTTTATGAGTTTGATTGTATGCAAGTTGAGTTTGAGGTTCTTTTTAGATATTCAAGGATATGTGTCGAGGGGACAGTTGGATTCATAGGGCTCAGTGCTGGGTGCAATGGCCTAATGTGTAGATAGTAATTTATAAGTCATCCGGGTAAACCTGGTCACTGCATTGTACATGTGGACACAATCACCTAGGAAGAGACTAGAGAATACCACGGGGAGAAGGCTTAGCACTAAGCTCCTGAAAAGCTCTTGACAGTTAAAGGTTGTTTGGAACTGGATCAACCTTCAGGAGTCATAGAAAAAACATTCAAAGGGGGTAGGAGAAAAATCAGACTAAGCTGAGTCAATAAAGTCAGCAGCAGAAGAAAGTGCTCTAGGAAGGAAAACTGTTCATTCTATTAAATGACAAGGAGGTCACTGGTGACACTGGGGGTAGGGTGATGAAGGTGAAAGCCTCATTGGAAAAGGGCAATGAGGCAGGAGGCTGTTAGGAATACATTGTCCAGGGCCTTACTTGTTTCACTAGGAAAACTGGAATTGGTCCCATCAGCATTGGGAGCTAACAAATTTCCACCTACTGGCATGATATAATTGTTTTTGTAATACAGAAACTTAACTTGGCAGCAGTGTGTGAGGTAGATGGGCTGTGCAGAACATGTCTGGCAGTAGGAATGCAATTTAGAAGTCTGTGGCCATAATCCAGGTAATAGAGGGCCATCACTGAATACCATTTAAGCAAGATATATAAAGGAAACTGACCCAGCCTCTTCCTCTCATGCTTCCACCCCCACATGTACATTAAATCATCATCTTTCTTCATTTCCACTTTATATAAGTTACCACATTAAAAAAAAATCCCTATAGAGGAGAAGGTTCATTCCACCCTCAACAGCTTCTAAAATAAAATATAATGTTCCCAGGAAAATAACTGTGGAAAGAAGTCTAGCCATTTTAAAAAGAACTACTAGGAAATAAAAATATTCAACTTTTCAAAACTCGAGGCAGGAAAACAACTGACAGGTTCACAATCTACTCAGTATTGAAGTTCATTTCCTATTACTAAGACATTTACTGAAGAAACACAATTATGATGCATTTTAATATATTCTAAAATTAATTTTATCATGCAATTAATTAGGATAATAAAATGTTTTCTTTTAATTGATATAGGAAGAAAATGAGAACCTTTAGGATGGATGCTTCAAGTATTACTCATTTTTTAAAAAAGTGGAGCAACAGAAACCATAGACTAGATAAAATCATGCTTTCCTGTTGGATGAACGTGTTAAAACTTTGAAATGATTAACCGTAATAAGTAATAAAAATATCCACTCCAGTATATGTTTTCTGTTTTTTTTTAGCTTTCCTCTAGACAATTTTCTATAACAGGAGGATGTGTCAAAAACACTTCTGAAAATTGACAGTGCTTTAGAATTAATGAACAACATTCCAGAAATATAAATTTGACCAAAGGGCATAAAAATAAAACTTTCAAGACAAGCCTAAATGATCTACAATGTTGTTAAAACAAAAGCAGATAATAAATATATACATTATCAATTAAAATATGCAGGTTATTATAAATTTAATAGTTTTACCTTTTAATATAAATACATGATGCCAGCCCCTGTCAACAAGGTAATTAATTTTATGCCAGTAGCAGAAATGGACTTTTGCTGACACTAATTAAAAAGGTAGAGGGAAAAAATAAACATTATCATATTACTCAAGAGACAAAGATGGCTTAAGAGTAAGTGGAGGTGTGATGGGAAATGAATAGACTTTATGTGTTTTTTATGCTTAATAAGATCTTAGGCCATAACACTGAAATGAATTTTGATTTAAAAAAAATCTACTGCTTCCCTTGGGAGTCATTAAAAATGAAATAAATCCATCATACGAAAGTAGATGCTGGCATATTTGGATGGTTCCTTCAGCTGATTGACAGCTGTGAAATAGGCAAGAGCAAAAAATAATAAGTACTAGAACAAATTTTCATGTGTTAATATGGTTAAATGTTCTATTTTATATTTTTGTTTGTTTGAATGTTCTATACATGCATGATGTTAAGAAGAGTAGAAGATGGGGAATAAGGCCTATAAATCTGGACATGTTGAAATTAAAATTGTAATCATATCTATAAACACCGCTGCTCTGCTTATGTTTATTTTATTTTTTTATTTTTATTTTTATTATTTTTGTGTGTGTCACGGAGTTTCAGTCTCGTTGCCCAGGCTGGAGTGCAATGGTGCGATCTCGGCTCACTGCAATCTCCGCCTCCTGGGTTCAAGTGATTCTCCTGCCTCAGCCTCCCGAGTAGCTGGGATTACAGGCATGTGCCACCATGCCCAGCTAATTTTTTGTATTTTTAGTAGAGACAGAGTTTCTCCATGTTGGTCAGGCTGGTCTCAAACTCCTGTCCTCAGGTGATCCGCCCGCCTCGGCCTCCCAAAGTGCTGGGATTACAGGCGAGAGCCACCGCGCCCGGCATGTTTATTTGTTTTTTAAAAAAGAGTTCGGCCAGGCACGGTGGCTCATGGCTATAATCCCAGCACTTTGGGAGGCCGAGGCAGATGGATCCCTGAGGTCAGGAGTTCGAGACCAGCCTGACCAACAAGGTGAAACCCTGTCTATACTAAACATACAAAAATTAGCCAGGCATGGTGGCAGGTGCCTGTAGTCCCAGCTACTCAGGAGGCTGCAACAGGAAAATTGCTTGAACCCGGGAGGTGGAGGTTGCAGTGAGCCGAGATCACGCCACTGCACTACAGCCTGGGCGACTGAGTGAGTCTCCATCTCAAGAATAAATAAATAAATAAAATAAAAAAGAGTTCATACCATGCAGTATAAAAATGAAGTAGGGGCCAAACGCGGTGGCTCATACTTGTAATCCCAGCACTTTGGAGGCTGCACTTTGGAGGCTGAGGCGGGCAGATCACCTGATATCAGGAGTTCAAGACCAGCCTGGCCAACATGGTGAAACCCTGTCTCTACTAAAAATACAAAAAATTAGCTGAGCACGGTGGCAGGTGCCTGTAATCCCAGCTACTCAGGAGGCTGAGGCAGGAGAATCACTTGAACCTCGGAGGCAGAGATTGCAGTGAGCCGAGATAGAGCCATTGCACTCCAGCCTGGGCAACAAGAGTGAAACTCCGTCTCAAAAAAAAAAAAAGAAAAGAAAAGGAAAGGAAAGAAAAGAAATAGTGCAAAATGGCTGAGGAAAGCAACAATTTATTCCACCCCCCTCAATATAGAATGAGTTCTTGGGGCCAATTACTTTTAAATATTTCTGTAATTGGTAATTTGTGATTACCTTCCAAGTACAAAAATATGACTACTTATTGATGGTGGTCATATATTCCTCTTCTAATAGAAAATAATTTTTGTTTACTTAAACCCCTGGATTCCTTCTTCTTATACTCATGCATTTCGATTGTTATTTTAATTGATTTTAGTTCCTTTAATAGATATCTTTGTAACTATCGATTGTACATTTAAAGTTAATTCATCTGCTGGGCACGGTGGCTCATGGCTATTATCCCAGCACTTTGGGAGGCTGAGGCAGGCAGATCACTTGAGCTCGAGAGTTTGAGACCAGCCTGAGAAACATGAGGAAACCCCATCTTTACTAAAAATTCAAAACTTAGCCCCACGTTATGGTGGGCACCTCTAGTCCCAGCTGCTCATGAGGCTGAGGCATGAGAATTGCTCGAGCCAGGGAAGCGGAGGTTGCAGTGAGCTGAGATCCTGCCACTGCACTCCAGCCTTAGTAATAAAGCCAGAGCTTGTCTCAAAATAATAATAATAATAATTATTATTATAATTAAAGTTAATTCATCCATATTCTACAGTGTCTTTTGCCTTGCTGTTTCTTAGGGTGAGAACATTAACTTTCTGAGTATAACCTGCGCACTTCTATTTTAAAAATTTAAACTTCTAATTTAAACTCCTATTTAAAAACTTCTGTCACATTCTATTTCTGTTCTATAACTAAAATTAAGTACTTCATCCTTGAGCTTTAAATTTGACAGCTGATAAACAGTGTTCACGTAATTGTGTGCAGGTGGATATTGTTCACCAAGGAGTAAAGCAGTTTACTCTTGTTATCTTTTCTTCTCTTCATTTCCACTGATATTATTCCATCTTTCACACACAAAAACTGGTATTTTTAATTTCAAAGAAAATTACATTTCCCATTCTTTCTTGCCTACTAATTGCTTATGATAAGCCACATTCTACTTTGTTTTATAATTAAATCACATCTTACTTCAGCATGTTTTTGTTTTTCCTGGAATTTGGGATTGCTATTTTTCTAATTGAGATATAAAATCAATACCATATTTATTTCTAAAATCTTCTAAGTTCTTACAAAATGTAACCTTTCTTTGTACTATTATCCTCTACTCTTATGTTGAAAACCTTCTTCTTGGAAGCAATTGGCTTTGAGCTCAAATTTGGAAAGATTAAGATGTAGGCCTCCTGCATAGCTTTTTTTTTTTTTTAATGAGACTTTTGGGCAGTTCTAGAATTTCTTGTATCCAACATCTCTTCCTTTCTTGGTTTTCACCCTTGTTTTGCTGGAGTACAACTTAAAACCTTTCTCATACAGTATGCTTGCTTGGAAGATAAAATTTATGAATCTTTAATCTGAAATGACTTTATGTGTACTAATCCATAACACTTTCAGTTTCTAAAATATATCCCTTGGTCCTTTAAAAATTTATATCCCCATCTTCTAGGATGCATCGTTGTTGTGAAAAAAATTAGATGCAAGACTGATTCTTGTTTCTTTATAGGAAAATTTTTGTCTTGTTTTTTTTATATGAAACTTTTTAGAATCATGTTTTGATATATTTATTGCATTAATAACTGACAGTATTTTTCTATGTGTGGGAGTTTCCCCAAATTCTTACTACTTGGCAATTAGGGGGGTCTTTTTAAATACGGTAGCATATGTCTTCTCTCAATTTTGGAAAAATTGATTTCATTATTTATTTGATAATTTCTTCTTCAATTTTTGTTCCTTTTCTTGAGAATTAGCTATTCAGATATTGCATTTCCTTTATTCACACATTATGTCTTTTAACTCAAGTTCTTGAAGATGTTCTTAATCTTTTCTCAGTGTCTTTTTTTTGTAATTTAATCAATCGTATTTTAAAAACTTCCTAAGACTCTAAGATCCTTTTTTTAATTATAGATTTCTTTTGGTCAGTTCTTATTGCTGATTTTTCTTTGCACTTTCTAACTTTTCTAACACTTATTGAAACTTTCTGATACTAAGTAGGGGTGCAGTTTTATTGAGTTTTTTAAAGTCCTTTCATTTTTGTGAATATTTGGTTTTTGGGGGGCCAATTTTACCTGGATTTTTATCTTTCATGTGGAGGCTTTCTTCAAATATCTAGTGTCTTTAATTGTTCCTTTTCTATTTCATATGGAGAGATTCAAATGACTGATGAAGGGCTTAGAGGCAGGCAAGAGATGTCGAGTGAGCCTGGAGTTGGGCATGGTCCTAGAGGCTTATATGTAACAAACCTGCACGTTGTGCACATGTACCCTAAAACTTAAAGTATAATAATAATAAAATTAAAAAAAATTCCACAAGCATTAGTGCTTTGCTCTAGGATGACACTATCCATCTTATCTCCCCTAGTTTTCCCAAAATAGTTAGAAGTTTTTATAGAGAAAGACTCTCCAAGGTATTACCTGGTCTGCACAGGAGTTGGGATGAGAGATGAGGTGATCTGTGATTCCCTGATTCACTTTCTATATTAAGGGAACTAAATCTGCCCGCCTTGGCCTTCCAGAGTGCTGGGATTACAGACATGAGCCACCGCGCCCAGCCTGATGCTGCCTTTTCCATCTCCATCATTTTATCCACTTTCCACCTTCTCCACAGATCTCTTCTTTCGTGGGTTTTATCGTTGTTCTTGTTATGCGTGTATAACTTTTAATTCACTGACTGTCACTTTAATAGGCTCTCAAAAGAGTTGAGAAAAAGGAATGTGCTGATTCAAACATCTTGAGCCAGAACACTTCAACTCTATAGCTACTTGGGGCATTTTGTTTAAACAACTTTTAATCTCATAATGTCTTTCTATTTCTCGTGGTCCTCATATCTTAATTTCATCTGAGAGCATAAATTCAATCTGCTCTTATTAGACTCTATTCACTCAACCATTTCTTACTTGGCTAGTTAGCCTGCTTCAAGTTTAGCTTTTATTTGCAGAAATTTGGAGGAGAGAAAGGCATTCCAAACCCAGTGACGCTAGAATAGGTAAGATTCTTAGTTAATTCCTATGAACATAATCTAGTTCCGCAGGCCTGGAGGGAAGTCATTCCTCAGCTGCGGGGCCCACTACAGCTCCTAAGCCAAGCAAGATCCAGGAGTATTGGGTTTCCAGACAGCAGCAGCTATGCCCAGAGCGGATGGTCTGGAATTGAAATGTAATTGCTCATGGCTGCATGGTTGACGGTGGAAGAGACGCTATCTGTGGTGTTTCCACTGTGTCCACACAAGCCTACCCCAGCGGCTGTCAGCCCTGGAGGACATAGCCCCCTTTTAGACTGGCCCTCATCCAATTGTAATCATCCACACCAGAAGGAGAGGAGGAAGGCTTGGTGGAAAGAGGTAATCAGATTGGCTTTCTCTGCCTGGCTGCTTCTTAAAGTAACATATGTTCAGCACATTTACTAAAGCAGTAAATAAGTAAGCAAGTGCACAGAGGACTTTGCCTCCACCCCTCCCTCCCAGCCCCTTTCTCGTGAAGGGAGAGTTGCATGCACAGAAGTGTGTGGCTGGACAGAGGCCCAGAAATCTGGAAAGTGTATTCTGTGGGATCCCCGCAGAGGAGCGCTTGGCTGCCGGCAGCTCTGGCGCTGGCTTTCCACATGCCATCAATCTGGGGTCTGGCACTCACTGCCCCCCTCTTCACCTCGCCTCATGCAGCGAGCAGAGGCAGTGCAACTATGTTTCTCACGTTGCAGCAGCCAGGCCATTTGAGGAAGGGGGAAAAGGGGTAGAGGAAGGATGGTGGGGGCAGGGAAAAATAACAACCTTCCCATCAAACTTACAACTCCATTTTACTGTCAGATTTCTCATCACCAGCTTTAACAGGAACCTTTGGATGGAAACCCTGGGAGGGAGAAATCAGAGCTGACCCAAGTAGAATTAAGTGAAACTTCTGCCATCTCACGAAGGAGGGTGGGTTTGGAAAACAGTGACTGAGAGTCCTTTGCAAGTGAGAACAGGAGCTAAGTCTCCCACTAAACCCCTGTGGGCTTGATTTACACCCTTCATCCAGAACAGGAAACTGAGGCATACAGAGGTCAATTCAGCCATGCTCACACTATCAGGCCTGGTGAAATATATGTCAGATATCCCGCAGTTAGAATAAAATGTATGTGTTTTCTTAGCCTTCTGAAGCCAGCTCGACATTCTCCAAAAAAGCAGTAGGGAGAATGGTATTTCTGTAAGAGACAGAACTTTCTCAGACTTTGTGTTGTCTATGATCTGAAAAGTTCTTACGTCTGGTTTTTCCAGAATAGTACTCTTAGCCCTGAGTCTTTTTGACCACTCCATCAACAGTGACAGGAAAAATGCCAGGCTGTGACTCAGAGGTCGTGGGGATGGCAAAACCTTCACTCTCTCTAGCTTCAACTTTGACCTCAGCCACAGGACTTATATTTTACTGTAATAAGAAGGGACTCCAATGTGCTTGATCAATTTTTCTACATCTGGTTTAAGGTCTGAGACAAGAATAATATTTGATTAGTGAGTAGAATTTTTTGTCTACCATAATACATGAGTGAAAATTAGCATAAGAAAAATTTGTAATAAATGCCAGATCTTTTAATAATGAAGTATAAACATTTCTACATTTTTAAATTTTCTTTATCCAAATTGGAGGGTTGTATAGAGAGGATAAAATACTTTTAATGATTGTAAGAAATACACAGAAACACAGATTTATCATTTAAAAAATACTGTCTCATGTCAATGGATACCGTAATATATTTTGTTTGTTTGTTTTTCTAAAACTCTATAGAGTTTGAGGTTTCTGCGCACAGCCTGAGTGTTTATTCCCTCCTCAAAACACTCATGACACCCACTCAGGTATTCTTACTCTTCTATGAATCCAAACGCCACCTTCCACCCTGGAGACTCTCACTTTATATTGATAAGACTTGGGTAAAATTTCACTTTTAGCAGAAAACAGCTTTATTCAGCCCATGGTTATTTAACATCTCATGAGATTAAGAGAATTGCAATACCTGGCTTAAACATATAAATGCTCGACTCCCTGAGTTCACAGTGTCTTTGGTCTCCAAGAATATTACAGAAGGTTTATTATACTTTCAAGCTTGGCAATGCTTTATGCACAGGAGCTTTCAAACTGGCAGTGGATCTGGAGCAAATGAAATGGTAAGAATAACACATAGCAGGCAACGGTTCACTTGTTTTGAGGCTTCATTTATTCCAAAGAAAAGAGCAATGTTATTGTAAAAGTTTAGCAGTATTTGTGTTAGAGCAATTGTAAAAAATATATCTTTCACATATGCATAAAATGAGGATGAAAATGAGTTTAACTCTTAAAGGGAAAAAAAAGTCATTTAACCAGTAAGTTTGTTGTACTTCTTTAATAAAGATATTTTAACGCGACCATTTTATAGTTTCTTTACCCTGAATAATCATAGTCTAAATGTTTAACCTTAATCAGCTAAAGACAGTAATACAGGCCGGGTGCGGTGGCTCCCTCCAATAATCCTAGCACTTTGGGAGGCTGAGGCGAGAGGATCACGAGGTCAGGAGTTCAAGACCAGCATGGCCAATATGGTGAAACCCCATCTCTACTAAAAATACAAAAAATTAGCTGGGCGTGGTGGCGGGCACCTGTAGTCCCAGCTACTCAGGAGACTGAGGCAGGAGAATGGCGTGAACCCAGGAGGTGGAGCCTGCAGTGAGCAGAGATCACGCCACTGCACTCCAGCCTGGGCAACAGAGCAAGACTGTCTCAAACAAACAAACAAAACAAAACCAAAAAAACCTGCCCAAACTTAACCTTTTGAGTTGATAAAGTTGATGTGGTTGTCTTAAGAGAAGCAGTTGAATCACAAAATGGTGTGGGTTTTTTTTGGAATTTCTACCTCAAATAAATTCCGTTTCAGAGGACAGGAAAAAAGAAAAAATATTTGTGTTTAAGAAGTTTAGTGCAAGTGTTTAGATTGATTTAAGGTGGTTTAGTGGTTAAAGCTTTTCATTGATCCCTAAATGAAGCAACTTGATCTTTAGAATGCATCATACAATTAATTGCTTTTTATTATTCGTTTAAATCATTTATTTGAGGCAATTGCATTTTCCAAGCACAAGTTTGTTCTTTGGCTAATTGCTGAATTTAGCACAGAAAAGATGAATGACATCACCCAGCCTGCCTGATATGCAGGTGTTAGCATTCGTCAATAGAAATACCTGCTTTGATTTGGCATAATAGGTTCTTTTATTTGGAGGATCTAGCAAAGAAAGTTGGAACTCTTTCCTCAGTTGCATTCAATATCCTTTTTATTAAAGCAAAATTTCAATTTTTGAGCACTTAAGCTTGACATTGAATGTTTACAGAGTGGTTATTCTAGGTGACATGGAGAAGAGGTCTTGGAATATACTGCAAGACTTTAAATTAGTTTTATTGGTTTATGTGGAAGCCTGTGAAATAAAGAATTTCAGTGGTGATATTTGTACTTAATACAATGATATCTGTACTTAATATTTGTACCAAATTTGTGTATTGAAAGTTTGAAAATAAGGACAGAAGAGATTCCTGTGAGATAAGTGTTGCTATTGCCTTGCAATATTATCCAAATTCTCCATTTGGCCAGAAAATCAGTCTTAGAGTTGTATGTATACTCACAGAAGGTTGGGCTGTCATATGGAGATATTTAGCTCTTAAAAAAAAATTTTTTTTTGAGATGGTGTCTTGCTCTGTTGCCTAGGCTGGAGTGTAGTGGTGTGATCTCGGCTCACCACAACCTCCGCCTCCCCAGCTCAAGCAATCCTCCTGCCTCAGCCTCCTGAGTAGCTGGGACTGCAGGCACAAGCCACCACGCCCAGCTAATTTTTGTATTTTTAGTAGAGACGCAGTTTCACTACGTTGGCCAGGCTAGTCTTGAACTCCTGACGTCATGATCTGCCTGCCTCAGCCTCCCAAAGTGCTAGGATTATAGGCGTGAGCCACCACACCTGGCCTAAAAATTTTTTAATAAGTCAAAGCAAGAAGAAAACTTCGTATCAACTCTAAGGGAACAAAGTTTTTATCAAGCTTCGTTCATAAGCCTTCCATGAATAGATCCAGTGGTCCTCAAGTGGTTAGACCTAGGGCTTTTCAAACTCCCCTGAGAAGATGTGACTCACCATTTTAGACTTAGGGTAGCCTCAACTTCCATATAGTTCAACTTTTGAAATTTGAAATCAGAAATAAATATGTATGTTTCACTCATTCAGTCTCTCCCTCATTCATTCATTTATTCATTCATTCACTCTATTGTCTCTTTGACTCATAGTTATTGAATATGCAAATATTGTGTCAGATACTCTGACAGGCACTGGAGACATACATGTGAATATCATGACATCTTTCTTCAAGGATATTCTAGTGAAAGGAACAAGAAAACAAATAAAAAACTATAGAGGGATAAATGAAATGGAGAATACATTTTAACTCTCCTGTTTTATATGATCGAGGAGGTCTGTTCTGACAGTGGCAACATTTGATGTGATTTTTGAAGAATTTGCAGAAATTGTTTAGGCTTTCACGGCTAGAAGGGCCTTTTGAGCAGAGGGAGGAAGTATTTAGTGTTGATTAATTTGCAAGATGATATATTCGAAAAAATACAAACAGTTTGATTTGCATTCAGTGCACAATTGTTGAGTCTGAATATGACTCTGAAGATGTGTCTGGAAAGGTAAAAATAAGCCAAAGGAAGTCCATATACATCAAAATATAGGTTAATATTATGTCCTCCCTCTTGAGGAAGAGAGTGAGTTATAAAATCTTTTAAGTTAGGGAGGGAGCACAGGAGGTTTTTAGGTGGATAAACTATCTTTATGGTACCTTATTTTTGAATACATGTCATTATGCATTTGTCAAAATGCACTGACACTGATAATAAACCTTAATGAATGCAAATTTTGAGAATTATTTAGCAGCTCATGAAGAAAGTTAGAATGTAACAAAACAATCTAACTGTATTAAAAACCTGTGAAGCAACCTCACCAACAACAGTGGGGAAAAGTTGCTCACTAAAGTAATTTAAGAAATGAGTGAGGTTTGTAAAACTCAAGGGAAAAGGAACAGTAGGTAACACTGTATTCTAGTTGATAAAGGTGTTTCTTACAGGAGTACAGGCTAACAATTCTGATACTGCTATGCATGTACACTAGAATCAAACAATTAAATCATTGATTGGATGATGACTGAAGCCAGGTTTTTCACTGTTGGAGTAAGAGACTACAGAAACATAAGAGGAGAAGGCTAGAATGATCCATATGTAATAGATCAGAATTGGAAATATCAGCATGAAATCATGTTTAGCTTAATACAGATGTAGAGTATAAAATATATATGTAATTACGTACATACAAATGACTTTGTATTCACATATGTAGTTATTTTCTTTGTCAGCTGAGAAGGGCTAGAAGCAACAACATCCAGGTAGAAATGAGTATGCCTAGTACCCAGATCTTGGTTGCTAACACAGTTCTCCAATAAAATGATTCAGTGATCTTTGGATAAATGGCTGCAATGAACAGAATGTTTGTTTACCCCCAAAATTGATATGTTGAAGGCTAATCTCCAATGTCATGGCATTAGAAGGTGGAATCTTTGGGAGGTAACCATGTCATGAAGGTGGAGAACTCATTTATAAGATCAGTGCTCGTATAAGAAGAGATGTGAGAGGGCTTTCTCTCTCTCTGTTTCCCACCATGTGGTAATACAAACCTCACCATACACCAGATCTGCTGGCACCTTGATTTTGGACTTCCCAGCCTCCAAAATTGTGAGAAATGAATATTTGTTTAGGCCACCTAGTCGATGACATAATTGTTATAGAAGCCCCAACTGACTGAAACAATGGCTGATTCTAGGACTGGTACAGAAAATAGACAAGGTGAGCCTGGAGCATGTAGTAGTGCCAGAAAGTGAAGAAAGCTGGCAAATCAAATTAAAAAAAAAAACCTGCAATAATGAACATATGACAAAGGCACACTGGAGCCAACTGAAAGTGTTTCTAATGACCAAAACTGAAACAACAGTTTTTCACATGTAAAGTGTATGGAAGATCTTATAGTAAGCAACTTAAAAAGCTGTGAACTGTCACCAAATTTGTCATCAATGGCTCACATCCCAACAAATGCACAGAAATCTATTCACCTAGAAGTTATCGTGCCTCATTCCATCCAAGTAAAGGACTGCCCTCATTACACCCTTTACAAAACAGATGCTACTCTTCATTACAATTCAATAAAGCACATTTAGCTTTAAAACAAAAAATAAAAATAAAAACAGGTTCATTTATTTCTTTTGATCTTTCATTATAACTTTCACATACTTAATATTTGAAAAAATGAGATTAATTTTCTTTGAGATTTCTTTCAGATATGTTTGTAGAAAATTCAAATGAATGTTATTTGACAAAGTTCATTCAAATTCAGTATTAAATATTACATTCCATAAGGCATATAGTTCTTTAAAAAATATATACAGATAACATGTCAGACAGATGTCACTGATATCATGTATCGAAAACAGAAACTATTGTGATGACCTCCTCCCTTACCTTTTCCAGATGCTGAACTTGATGGAAGCATGTGTCTTTATCCCAGCATATATGAAGTCCTTCTATGTGCTATTTTAAAAGAAGACTAGGGCTGGGCACGGTGGCTGACACCTATAATCCCAGCACTTTGGGAGGCTGAGGTGGGCGGATCCTTTGAGGTCTGGAGTTCGAGAGCAAACTGACCAACATGGTGAAACCCCATCTCTACTAAAAATACAAAAAAAATTAGCTGGGCGTAGTGGTTCACACCTGTAATCCCAGCTACTCAGAAGGCTGAGGCAGAAGAATTGCTTGAACCCGGGAGGCGGAGGTTGCAGTGAGCCCAGATCGCACCACTGCACTCCAGCCTAGGCAACAGAGCGAGACTCCGTCTCAAAAATAAATAAATAAATAATAAATAATAAATAAAAGAAGACTATATATCTTGTATGTATGCAGAAAGTACTCTCAATCAAATATCAAGGGAGAATTTTGTACATTTGTAATCTTTTTCAATAGTTTTTCTCTCACAGGATTTTCAGAACATAAAAAAATTACTAAAACTTAAAGCTTAGAAACAAAAATGAAAACAAGCAAACAGAAAACCCACAAAGACAAAGACAAGACCAGGACCTGCACGCTAAACACTAAAGGTATTCTTAGGAAATTTAGGTGGATTCATAAACACGAATCTGAGTCATAAATTTTTTATCAATTAACCTTTCTTAATTCAGATTTCAATGTTTACTAAGATTTTAAAGCACTCAATAATCTTCTGATAAATTTCAGGTGGATTTTAAATTAAAAATCTGTTTTAAACTGAAAAGCTTTATCACTATTTTTGATTAGGGAGTTGGTAGATAGGAGGAAAAAGCCAAACACAGCTAATTTTCTTATTTAGAAGGTATTAAGAGGTAGTGAGAAATTTCACATGCATATACAACAAATTTAGTCAGATATGAGAGATCATGTCAGTATATTAGGAAAATACACCCACCTTCTATGGATCTAACTAGTATTTTTACTATGTTTCCTTTTCAACTAGATTTTCTTATGCCTTCTGCTGTATTTAGCAGAGATTTTATGTTTAGCCTTAGATGTGACTCAAGTATCAAAACAAATGCTATAAAATGGTAATAGTATATTTTGTATGTTTTATTTTTCACAGTTCTTCTACATATTCATTAGAAGATAAATTCTTTATATATTCTTTTTGAGATAAAAAAGTACATGAGTTGACACACTTGGTCTAATTATTAGGGAATCCTCAAACATGGTCATACCAGTTGGCATAAAAATCTAGTAGAAGACAGGAGATGCAGGAAAGGGTGAACTTAGAAAGAGTGAACTGATCAAATAGAGCAATGTATAGATGGAAACATAGGATTTCCACTGAGAGATGACCCTTGTCGCCCACTGGATTATCTTAGACCAACGAATCATAGATTACCTCATGAGAATGATGTCATTTCTTAAGGAAAATTAATCAATTTCAGTGAAGAAAGTATGGCTTAGAGAATTTGTCCCACTGAGCCTCATAAGTTTCATTCTTCATTTATCATTTTTCAGCATTCTTAGAGGATATTTAAATAACAGGTAGTGACATTCTCTTCACTGTGTGGTGTTTCGTGAATTAGGGCTTTACTGTGGCTCATTAGGCCTGTTATGATAATGGAATCCTCTCTTTATCTCATGTCCTGTATCTTCACACTACTGTCATTTGTGTTCTTCTCCTTCTTGCTGCAGAAACTGTGCCAACTCTTATAGCCTAGCCCTATGGCCACTTTTCAGCCCATCCCAATGAGATGTCATTATAGCACCCAGCACTTTTGGCTACCCTCTGAGTTTGGATTCTGAAATTAGGGTAGGCATCCCTAAAGTCCTCATTCAACCACATACTAACAACAGCCCTTGTGACTTGAAAACCCTTGAAAAAATGACTTAAGCTGCATAAGCCTCAGTTCTGTTGTCTGTAAAATGGATGGAATAATAATAATAGTGCCTGCCTCATGAGATTGTTTCAATATTAAACAAAATGATGCCTATATACTTCCTATCAGGCAGATAGTAACTGCTTAATCAGTTCAGTCATCATCAATGTTATACATACTTAACAGCACTCTTTAAGGTCCTTCTCCTTGCTTCCTCTTCACCTCTCTCTGCTCCATTAGTGGCTCGTGTTTATTCCCAGGTTTCACTTTTCACCATTCTGCAAATTCTTACCAGAAACCCTGCAAATTCCACCTGCTTGCTGATTACTTCCAAGTGTGTATCTCAACCCAGGTATGAAGAGACTTGTTTATTCAATTTGCACAACATGTTTATTGCTTCTTCAAATATAGAAGTTATATTTTCTTTCTTTTTGTATTTCCATGCAAAGCACTTCATGCAGGACTGGCTACTCAGAAGTGTTAACTAAATATCTATTGAGTGAGAAGGACCATCAAACTCATTGCTTTTCTATTTTCTCTCTAGCTTTTGTCTTTACTTGGGCTTATTGTTCTGGGTAAAATCTTAGGGAAGAAAACCTATTTCTGGATTAATATTTTGTTTCCTACCCAATTTAGAACTGGTAGAAGATCCTTAATAAATATCTGTTGCCAAAGAGAAAAGCACTTTTTTATCAAAAAATAAGTATTTAATAGGAAGTTGTGAAAAGAAGTGATATCCCTGGTGGCTGAGAGATGGTGGATCCCTGTACCCACCCTCTAGAAAGTACCCTTTAGATAGCAAGCTCTTAAGAGTACCAACATGTGCATCTGGTCATGCCTCAGATGTTCTTGTAAGGCTTGTGACCCCTGGGGAGGTTAGATAAGCATCTTTATGAGAGGCAGAATATGCTATAGGAATTGTTTCAAGACCTTGCCACATGTGAAGTTGCACCATGCAAGGGTGTAACATTGTTCATCATGGTGGTTTCACTTCAAATGGCATTGGTCTTGCCATGCAACAGGCTGCTTTTCTACTCTCACCCCTTGAAACTGGGCCACACAATCTCACACACGCATCTCTTCTATGATAGTCCCTGGGTCTAGAGGGAGGGTGCTTGATACTGGATAGCTTCAGCAGCAGTGCACTGGCAAAGGAGAACAGATCTGGTCCCAGCGGGATTCTAAATGAGGGAGATTCACAGGCTTGGTTGAATCATCTCTAGTCTTCTGAATACCATGATTTTGATTTTATCAGAAGATGTAAAACATTGAGAGGTACACAACGTTAATAACTTGAATAGTAGAGGCCGGGCGCAGTGGCTCACGCCTGTAATCCCAGCACTTTGGGAGGCCAAGGCAGGCAGATCACCTGAGGTTGGGAGTTTGAGACCAGCTTGACTAACATGGAGAAACCCCATCTCTACTAAAAATATAAAATTAGCCAGGCATGGTGGCACATGCCTATAATCCCAGGGAGACTGAGGCAGGAGAATTGCTTAAACCTGGGAGGCGGAGGTTGCGGTGAGCCGAGATCACACCATTGCATTCCAGCCTGGGCGACAAGAGTGAAACTCTGACTCAAAAGAAAACAAAAAAAAAAAAATTGAATAGTGCACAAGGATTACAGAATGAAAAAAAAAAGACTTATTCCATTAGAGAACATCATGAAGATTAAAACCCCTTTTTTTCATTGGAGACTTTTTTGTTGCCAAGAAGTAACTCAGGATTCAGTTCAAATTGTAGGAAAAGTATAAAACCTCAAAAACAATGGTCTGGACTAGAACCTGGTAACAGGTGTGCTACAGTTGTCTTCTCAACAATTTTTTTCTCTCTCCCAGCCCCCTTTTCTACAAAAGAAAATTCAGAGTAAGACCAATTTATTTGCGAAATAAGCTTTAGTCTTATTATACTTGGCCTGATTATTTGCATAAAGTGCAGCAAGAATAGTGATTGGCAATATAGGCTCCTTTCAAATTACCTTTGCTGGAACTTTGATAAAGAAGTTCAGATTAGACCTTTAAAAACTTCTAGGCCAAGAAGCTCAGCCAAAGACCTGCCATCAGATTGTGCCTGCAATGTCTGTACAAATTGGGTGAATTTACTCTAGATCTCAAAATATCTTCTTCTTTTTCCTTTTTTTTTTTTTTTTTTGAGACAGACTCTTACTCTGTCACTGAGGCTAGAGTGCAGTGACACCATGTTGGCTCACTGCAACCTCCATCTCCTGGGTTCAAGCAATTTTCCAGCCTCAGCCTGAGTAGCTGGGATTACAGGCGCCCACCACCATGCCCAGCTAATTTTTACATTTTTGGTAGAGATGGGGTTTCACCATTTTGACCAGGTTGGTCTCGAACTCCTGGCCTCAGATGATCCACCCGCCTCGGCCTCCCAAAGTGCTGGGATTACAGGCATGAGCCACTGCGCCTGGCCAATCCCCAAATATCTTAACGTTCCTGGGCATGCCAGAAAGTGACATCCTTTACTTACCACAAGGACAGGAAGTTTGTAAGGGAATCATATAGACAAGGTACGAGGCTAGTCTTTCCAAGGCGCTTTAAATTAAAATATATATATATTAAAATATATATATGATGGGTACATAATAGTTGTATATATTTACGGGGTACATGCGATGTTTTGATACAGGCATATAATATGTAACGCAGTAATCAGGGTAATTGGAATATCCATTCCTTTATGCATTTATCATTTCTTTGTGTTAGGAACATTCCAATCTATTCTTTTCATTGTTTTAAAATATGCAATGGGCCGGGTGTAGTTGCTCACGCCTGTAATCTCAGCACTTTGGGAGACCGAGGCAGGTGGATCACTTGACATAAGGAGTTTGAGACCAGCCTGGCCAACATAGTGAAACTCTGTCTCTACTAAAAATACAAAAATTAGCCGGGTGTGGTTGTGCACACCTGTGGTCCCAGCTACTCAGGAGGCTGAGGCAGGGGAATCGGTTGAACCCAGGAGGCGGAGGCTGCAGTGAGATCGTGCCACTGCACTCCAGCCTGAGCGACAGAGCAAGACTCCATCTCAAAATAAATGAATAAATAAGTTAATTAATTACATAAAATATACAATGAATTGTTAACTGTAGTCACCCTATTGTGCTACTTAATACTCGATCTAATTGATTCTATGTAACTGTATTTTTGAACCCAATAACCGTTTTCACTTTGTCCCCTCCTCTCTGCTACCCTTCCCAGTCTCTGAAAACCATTATTCTACTCTTCATGTGTTCACTTTTTTCCTTTTAGCTCCCACATTTGAGTGAGACTATATGGTATTAAAAACAAAAGCATTTTAATCTGGAAGTTTTTTTTTTTTTTTTGAGACAAAGTCTTGCTCTTGTTGCCCAGGCTGGAGTGCAATGGCGAGATCTCGTCTCACTGCAACCTCCGCCTCTTGGGTTCAAGCGATTCTCTTGCCTCAGCCTCCCGAGTAGCTGGGACTACAGGCGCCTGCCACCATGCTCGGCTAATTTTTATATTTTTTTTAGTAGAGGCGGGGTTTCACGATGTTGGCCAGGCTGGTCTCAAACTCCTGACCTCAGGCCATCCGCCCGCCTGGGCCTCCCAAGGTGCTGGGATTACAGGTGTGAGCCACTGCGCTCGGCCTTTTTGTTTTTGTTTTTGTTTTTCTGAGACGGAGTTTTGCTCTTGTTACCTAGGCTGGAGTGCAATGGTGCCATCTCGGCTCACCACAACCTCCACTTCCCAGGTTCAAGCAATTCTCCTGGCTCAGCCTTCCCGAGTAGCTGGGATTACAGGCATGCGCCACCACGCCAGGCTAATTTTGTATTTTTAGTAGAGACAGGGTTTCTCAACGTTGATCAGGCTGGTCTCGAACTCCCGACCTCAGGTGATTCGCCTGCCTTGGCCTGCCAAAGTGCTGGGATTACAGGCGTGAGCCACTGCACCCAGCCTAATCTGGAAGTTTATCCAGAGCTTCTGAGATGTATACTGAGATGGAACATAAAAGGTTAATGTTCAGAAATATAAACTGTCAATAAATATGAGAAAAGGAGCAAAAACCACAAAATGATTGAATTTGAGACGAGCCAAATTAAACTGAAAGTTAGACTTCCTTGAAATAGTAGTGTTAGTGTCAATGGGAAAAATAGCAAAATATGCAAATTTAAAAAATAGAAAAGAACAAAAAGAAATGAATCAGAAGAAATAACTTCCTTACATTCTCCACCTGAATCCACAAATAATTAATATTACAATCTTTCCCCTTCATTTTGAAATGTTCATACAGAAATATAGTAAGATTGCAAACAAAGGTGTTGACATTTCGAATCCTTGGCTAGGAAGTTCATACATCCATGGAGAATCTCACAAAACTGAAGCAGAATAATACCTCCTACATAAACATTTACATTCTCATTTATTTCTGAATTCCTAATTAAACATTTTTGGACTCGTAGAAGATCATCATCTCACTGCACATGTGTGCAGGTGTTCCTGTTATATTGCTCAAGGGACATTGTGTCCTGACATCCCCTGGCATTACAGTCTCAGGCAAAGAAATGAATGTTGTGACTTCTTGCCAAAAGGCTTAAAAATAAACTGAAAATGACGACTTGGTCTTGGGTTTTAGGTCTTGGTGCCAAGTTTCAGCACCAAAACCAATTTTGTAGCCAATTTCTAAACCTCTAAAAATTAGGGTCGATGGAAGGGCAAGAAACTAAAATGTGAATTCAGTTTTAATCCTCCCTGCGAAAGCTACTCATGTAGATTGAAAGTCAAAAGCTCTTATTTGTTTATTACCTTCCTTCAGAAAATATTTTTAAATAATTAGGCCTGCAAAATATAATCTCAGGATACTTAAACAATGTAGCCTGCCTAACCCCATACTCTTTAAATCTTTTAAAATAATTTTAAAAAATAAAGCAGGCTTCTTCAGGGATACGTAGATAAGTAATTTTTCTTTTTCTTTTTCTTTCTTTTTTTTTTTTTTTTTTTGAGACGAAGTCTCGCTCTGTTGCCTCCGCCTCCCAGGGCAAGTAATTCTCCTGCCTCAGCCTCCCAAGTAGCTAGGACCACAGGCACATGCCACCACACCCAGCTAATTTTTTGTATTTTTTTTTTTTTGAGATGGAGTCTCCCTCAGCCGCCCAGGCTAGAGTGCAGTGGCACAATCCTGACTCACCACAACCACCATCTCCTGGGTTCAAGGAATTCTCCTGTCTCAGCTTCCCAAGTAGCTGCGATTACAGGCACCCGCCATCATGCCCAGCTAATTTTTGTATTTTAGTAGAGACAGGGTTTCACCATGTTGGCCAGGTTGGTCTTGAACTCCTCACCTCAGGTGATCTGCCCACCTCGGCCTCCCAAAGTGCTGGCATTACAGGTGTGAGGCATCACGCCAAGCCTAATTTTTTGTATTTTTAGTAGAGTCAGGGTTTCACCATATTAGCCAGGATGGTCTCGATCGCCTGACCTCGTGATCCACCTGTCTCAGCCTCCCAAAGTGCTGGGATTACAGGCCTGACCCACCGCACCCGGCCCAATTTTTCTTTAATTGTAATTTAAATATTTAAATATGACTGTAAAAAACGTTAAACATAAAAAAAGTAAACAATTTTTCAATGAATTTGCAATATTTACTTCCTAAATTCTACCAATGCCATTGAACTGTACTTGCTTTAGCATCCTTTTCTATCCATCAATTGATCCATCTTCATTTATTCATTTCTGATACAAATAATCTGCAAACAGTAGTACATATTCCCCTAAATATTTAACATATATATCATTAAGAAGTATTCTAGGCCTGGTGCAGTGGCTTATGTAATCCCAGCACTTTCAGGGGGCTGAGGTGGGTGGATCATGAGGTCAAGAGATCAAGACCATCTTGGCCAACATGGTAAAACTCCCCTCTCTACTAAAAATACAAAAATTAGCTGGGAGTGGTGGCGCGCCTGTAGTCCCAGCTACTTGGAAGACTGAGGCAGGAAAATCGCTTGAACCCAGGAGGCAGAGGTTGCAGTGAGCCGAGATCGCGTCTCTGCACTCCAGCCTGGCAACAGTGCTAGACTCTGTCTTAAAAGAAAAAAAAAAGCATTCTATAATTGTTTGCAGTTCATTTTTTAGCTTAAGTTTACATACAATAAAATACATGAATCTCATTTGATGAGTCTGACGTATGCATATGCCTAAACCCAAATCATATCAGGGTATAAGAATATAATATATATAATATTACTCCAGAACGTCCTGTTATAAGTTAACTTTAAATTGATGAGATTTTAAGTAAATGTTTCATATAGAGAGATCAGAATTCCTTCTCTTGCTAACTTACTGACATTGTTAAAATAGCAATTCAAAAATCGTTTTACTGATTCAGCAAATAACACTAGCTGTGCTTAAGGAAGACATTATTGAACAAGAAAGCTCAATTCACTTTCTGTGCTGGGAATAGAGAAAATGTAATTGAACAAAGTAGGGAAAGTATCCTTTTTTCTAAAGAGAAATGCTTGATATCAGATAATCATCAGATAAGGAATTACCTATTATTTTTCCACAGACTTTATCCTGCTTTTAAAAGATGAACAAAATAGGCCGGGTGCGGTGGCTCACGCCTGTAATCCCAGAACTTGGGAAGCCGAGGCGGGCGGATTGTCTGAGCTCAGGAGTTCGTGACTAGCCTGGGCAACACGGTGAAATCCCGTCTCTACTAACATACAAAAAAAATTGGCCGGGAGTGGCCGTATGCACTTGTAGTCCCAGCTACTCGGGAGGCTGAGGCAGGAGAATTGCTTGAACCGGGGAGGCTGGGGTTGCAGTGAGCCGAGATCACGCCACTGCACTCCAGTCTGGGCGACAGAAAAAAAAAAAAAAAAAAGAAAGAAAAATAGGTCAGGTACGGTGGCTTATGTCTCAAATCCTAGCACTTTGGGAGGCCAACGCAGGTGGATCAGCTCAGCCCAGGAGTCTGAGATCCCTGGACATCATGGAGAAACCCCATCTCTACTAAAAATACAAAAATTAGCGAGGAGGTGTGGCGCATGCCTGTAGTCTCAACTACTCGGGAGGCTAAAGCAGGAGGGTGGTTTGAGCTGGGGAGGTGGAGGCTGCAGTGAGCCGAGATCATGCCACTGCACTCCAGCCTGGGTGACAGAGTAAAACCCTGTCTCAAGAAAAAATAAATAAATAAATAAATAAATAAATAAATAAATAAATAGAAGAAAAAAGAAAAAAATTATTGGTTATTCACGAAAAAGTATTTAAAGTATTTTGTATTCGTCATTGTCCATAAATTCAAAATTGAAAGCATTCTTCCCTGACTTGGAAAATTAGACATAGATAATATCTTGCCAACAGCTAGCCAGTGTTTTAAAATGTATCACAATTCATGACATACTACTAATTCATACATGCACTTCAAAATCAAAGGCTCCATTAGATTTAATTCAAATACTAGAAATGCTCTTGCAAAGGGAAAGCCAGGTACTTTTGGCCGGGCATGGTGGCTCACGCCTGTAATCTCAGCACTTTGGGAGGCCGAGGCAGGCGAATCACGAGGTCAGGAGATCGAGACCATCCTGGCTAACACGGTGAAACCCCGTGTCTACTAAAAATACAAAAACAAAATTAGCTGGGCATGGTGGTGGGCGCCAGTAGTCCTAGCTACTCTGGAGGCTGAGGCAGGAGAATGGCATGAACCCAGGAAGTGGAGCTTGCAGTGAGCCGAGATCGCACCACTGCACTCCAGCCTGGGCCACAGAGTGAGACTCTGTCAAAAAAAAAAAAAAAAAGGAAGCTGGGTACTTTTACTAGAACAAGTTTTAAATCTATTGGAGGGTAAAGTGTGATGTTACTGAGTAGGTACCAATTTTACAAGTTTTATGAAATTTATTCAGGCTTAAGAATGGTGAGTAACAACTTTTAGGTTTGGAGATACTTAGCCATTTGGCTCTAACTCCCAGTATCTGTTAAGGAAGACAATGTACCAATACTGTCAAGTTTGTTAGTGGGATACCCTTTAAGAAAAATTGGCTGATTCTTCCTATATCTCAACAATGGTTTGAAGAACAAAGTTTTCACCTTGATGTTCTCTGTATTGTCAGATACCTAGAAATTTTAGTAGATATTAATTGTTCCTGCCAAATTCTGTATCACTTCACTACAGATATTAAATCCCTGCTCTTACAATTATAGTAAATGCATATGCAAATGCTGTAAATCACTGTTCAGTTTTCCTTGAGCTTTGCATTTCCATTCCAAAAACAAAATTAGCTGGGCGTGGTGGCGGGCACCTGTAGTCCCAGCTACTCTGGAGGCTGAGGCGGGAGAATGGCATTGCAGAAAGAGACCATTCAGTTAGAAACACATAAATCTGAGTATTATTTTTTCTGGCAATTGGAGATGGCTTGAAATAAAAGAAAGAAATTTTCCCCTAAAAAACAAGTTCTATAACTCAGACTTTCTTTATTAACTACTATTGAGGATTATATTATTTTTGAAAAAAATCAAAATACTCAAATTTAAGGCAGAAGAATTAATAGACTGACATAATTCAAATGTGCGTTTGTTAACAGAAATTGCAAACATTCATTTAGTTCATCTGTTCCTCTATAGTATATAGAATTTCTTTGGGCTAAGCTTAAATTCAGGATTAACTTTTCTCAGATTTCAGGCTATTTGTATGTCTTCACTGAAATTCCTGGGTCACTAAAGTCAAGAATGGAAAGCTCAGGTGATGTTGAAACAAAACCTTGTCAATACTCCATTTCATACTGGTTTTCAGAATTGTGAATTTGTTTTATATATATAAATTTTATATACGTAAAATTATATATATATTTTTTAGATGGAGTTTTGCTCTGTCATCCAGGCTGGAGTGCAGTGCCATGATCTCCACTCACTGCAGACTCTGCCTCCCGGGTTCAAGTGATTCTTATGCCTTAGCCTCCCAAGTAGCTGGAATTACAAGCGTGTGCCACACCAACCGGGGCTAATTTTTGTATTTTTAGTAGAGATGGGGTTTCACCATGTTGGCCCGGCTGGTCTCAAACTCTTGACCTCAAGTGATCTGCCCACCTCAGCCTCCCAAAATGCTGGGATTACAGGTGTGAGACACCATGCCCAACATAGAGAACCTACTTTTTATGAATAAATTCCATGACTTAAGTGGCAAAAACAAAAGGTTCCATATACCCACTTATATAAAAGTTAAATTTACCAAACTTTTCTTCATAATTTTTTCCACATTTGGTTCCCCACACCTTGTCCTCAGACTATCCCCCAACCAAGGACAAAATAAGAAAGAGGACAGGCTGGAAGTATCAGAAGTGAATTATAGTATTTAATAACCATTCATTAACTTTGAGTGTTTAAAATACATGCTTTCATGATTTTTGATCTGTAGAGATAAATTATTATTATATTTATTTATTTTTTTTTTTGAGACAGAGTCTCGCACTGTCACCCAGGCTGGAGTGCAGTGGCGCGATCTCGGCTCACTGCAAGCTCTGCCTCCCGGGTTCACGCCATTCTCCTGCCTCAGCCTCTGGAGTAGCTGGGACTACAGGCACCCACCATCATGCCTGGCTCATTTTTTTGTATTTTTTTTAGTAGAGACAGGGTTTCACCGTGTTAGCCAGGATGGTCTCGATCTCTTGACCATCTCGTGATCCGCTTGCCTCGGCCTCCCAAAGTGCTAGGATTACAGGCGTGAACCACCGCGCCCGGCTAGAGATAAATTATTTTAAGATTACCCTCTTGAATGTAAAGTTTATACAGATCTGGTATGTAGACTTCATCTACCTCTTGAAGTAACAACTTAGCAACTTTAACAAATCTTGGTTCCACAACTATGACCTGTAAATAAATGCAAGCTCCTATTTTGAGCACTGTGCCTAGGTAGTTTCAAATTTATGGACTCCTAAGCTATATAGTCTAATTTTACAACTACTTAAAGGCAACTCATTTCAAACGATTTCCGTCCACTTTCATTTACATCTACTAATTTGTCTACAAAAGTCTCTAAAACACACAGAGGCAGAAATTAATCGCTACAGTCAGGCTCAAGTTACATGCCGGCCAAATAGGTGTTTCATTATATTTGTGTAGGAATATGAAACCCAAGACATGTCCAGATTAATGCTGCAATTGTTATTTCCTATCTCTGAGACTAAGGAAGAACAGAGAGTCTCCCTTCATAGCAACTCAAACTTTCGAAGGATCCATTCACTTTCTGCAGCTGATTGACTCCCTGTAGACGTAATACCATTCTAAGCAAAAAAAATAGGTAACTTCACAGGTTATCCATAGGACATTCTATGTATAGTGCACTTGAATACTTCTTCGATCACGGCCCTTTTAATTACTGCATTACATAAAGGGAACACCTGGGAAAGGGCTTTAGTATCTGTCAAGATCCATTAAAGAAAATTGAAACCGGCCGGGCGCAGTGGCTCACGCCTGTAATCCCAGCACTTTGGGCGGCCGAGGCGGGTGGATCACGAGGTCAAGAAATCGAGACCATCCTGGCTAATACGGTGAAACCCCGTCTGTACTAAAAATACAAAAAATGAGCCGGGCGTGGTGGCGGGCGAAGTTGAGGCAGAAGAATCCCTTGAACCCGGGAGGCGGAGGTTGCAGTGAGCCGAGATCAGGCCACTGCACTCCAGCCTCAGCGACAGAGCAAGACTCCATCTCAAAATAAATACATAAATAAATAAATAAAATGAAAATTGAAACCACACTAGGTATTTCATTCAACAGAAGTAATTTAATTCAGGGAGCTGCTTCCATAGGTGGTAGAAAAGCGGGGAGTCAATCTTTCAGTTGTGAAGCAGTCCAGAGATGAGAGCTGCAAGGACTCAGACAGGAAACAGCATGACGAGAGCCAGAAGCCGCTGCTATCTACCCAAAGGGAAATCTACCATAGGTGCTGCCTGGTGGGAGCAAAGCTCGGACCACAATGTGAGAAGATGTTTCAGAGACCCCAGGCAGAAGAGAAGTGATAAACATTATTAGAAAATGCCCCCTGGTGCAGAGAGAAAGAGTGAGCAATACCCACGATCCTGCTCTCCTGCAGCTTCCAGGAGCTTCCCAAGTCTCTCCTGTCTCCTGTGACTGCACACCTGGAGCCCTGGCACCCTACGCTTAGCCTGGCTCCAATTTCCCGATATGTCGAGCACACTAACTTAGAGATCAAATTTGCTTTCTTTATCTGCTAAAAGACTGTATGGTTAAATTTAAATTCTTCAAATGTATTGGCTTAAATAATTATATTCATTACATATTAATGACAGTCTCAGTAAACTAACTTTCTAGCAGGAGATTCCAGGAACTCACTGACATAGAGGTGTGATGAAGGAACTAGACTACATAATGAAAAATCCCAATTTTAGGATTTAATTCGAAAGGTAAAAAACGGCTGGGCACGGTGGCTCACGGCTGTAATCTCAGCACTTTAGGAGTCTGAGGCAGGCAGATCACGAGATGCTCAAGAGATCGAGACCATCCTGGCTAACATGGTGAAACCCTCTCTCTACTAAAAATACAAAAATTGGCTGGACATGGTGGCGCACGCCTGTAGTCCCAGCTACTCAGGAGGCTGAGGTAGGAGAATCGCTTGAACCCGGGAAGCAGAGGTTGCAGTGAGCCAAGATCACACCACTGCACTACAGCCTGGCAACAGAGCAAGTTTCCGTCTCAAAAAAAAAAAAAAGAAAGAAAGAAAAGAAAGTAAAAAAAATCCTGTTTCTACTGAAATCTATTTGTTCATGATTAATAACATGTCCAGAACACAGTGTATTACAGTGCCCAGTAGTTGTGTTTCAGAATCAAACAGAAGTGGGTTTGAATCTCAGCACTACCACTTAAAAACCATCTGAACATGGGGAAGTTTCTCTACCATGCTGAGCTTCAATTTCCTTACTTGTTATCTGTCTCGGAATAATTTTATAAGGATTAAATAAATAATTCATTCTCTAAGTACAATGTTTGTATGATGCTGAGTAGACCTGGTGCAAGACATTCAGTAAATTAAACAATTACTATCATGAATATTTTAGTGATAGCAACAGTAAGTTACTTATCAACCATTCTAATATTTTTCTCACTGTGTCTTTGTTTTATAAGTATGTCCCCACTATGTAAAGGGTACTAAAATGATATCAACAATTATCTAAAATTTCTTGCAAAGATGAAAGCAAATCTCTTAGATATTAAAGAATTTACAATTTTTTTTTTTTTTTTTGAGATGGAGTTTTGCTCGTCACCCAGGCTGGAGTGCAATGCATGATCTTGGCTCACTGCAACCTCCTTCTCCCAGGTTCATCCGATTCTCCTGCCTCAGCCTCCCAACTAGCTGGGATTACAGGCATGTGCCACCACGCTCGGCTAATTTTTTTTTTTTTTTTTTGTATTTTTAATAGAGACAGGGTTTCACCATGTTGGTCAGGCTGGTCTCGAACTCGTGACCTCAGGTGATCTGCCCGCCTCACCCTCCCAAAGTGGTGGGATTACAGGCGTGAGCCACCATACACGGTCTCGCTTTGAAACTATTTTCTATCTCTCTTTCCACCATGATAAACTAAAAACTTGAATAAAAGCTTAAAAATAAAATTGGAAAATAAATAAAATGGACGTGGGAGGCTGAGGCATGAGAATCACTTGAACCTGGGAGGTGGAGTCTGCAGTGAGCCGAGATTGTGTCACTGCTCTCAAGCCTGAGCAACAGAGCGAGACTCTGTCTCAAAAAGGAGAAAAAGGAAAAGAGAAAGGATGACATGTATCAGTGCACTTGTAATGTCTTTTCCCCTCCATACCAACCCTGTGCTACCTAGCTTCAACAATATAGTATGCACATACGATAAGTACTCTGCCCTTAACTTTCTTCTGTTTTTCTCTCCCCACCTCTATATTGCTGGTGCCTGACAGCAGGTCCCCAAACACATTGTTCCAGCATTACACAACTGTAGGAAGGCTGATAAGGTCTCAAAATAGTCTCTCCTGAGTTCCTCTCATATAAAAGGTGCCAGTTGCAATTACGGGAGAACTGATAGAAATATCTGCACCTCTACAGTTGTTCTTTTAAAAAAATGTTTTTGGCCGGGCGCAGTGGCTCACTCCTGTAATCCCAGCACCTTGGGAGGCCAAGGCGGGCAGATCTTGAGGTCAGGAGATCGCAACCATCCTGGCTAACACGGTGAAACCCTGTCTCTACTAAAAAATACAAAAAATATTAGCCAGGCATGGTGGCGGGTGCCTGTAGTCCCAGCTACTCGGGAGGCTGAGGTAGGAGAATGGCATGAACCCGGGAGGCGGAGCTTGCAGTGAGCTGAGATCGCGCCACTGCACTCCAGCCTGGGTGACAGAGTGAGACTCCATCTCAAAAAAAAAAACAAATTTCTTAATAAAAACATGTTTTCCAATTTCAGATCAGAAAAGACATATAGATATAGATCGTTTTGCATTCATCAAAAAATTAGGGGAATTGATCTGAGCTTTGTGTGGTAACTGAAATAATTAATTTAATCATATATTTTATTTTATATTTTCTTCTCCAAATATCTTCTTCATGCCAGTGCAACAGAAAAGCTTCTGATAGAAAACCTAGGAAAAAGTCTTTTAATATTTTATCATATCATGTTCTCCTTACTCATTATGTCCTCGGTGAATCACATTCTACCTCCCATATATTTCACAATAGCAATTTCATTCTCTGGGATTATCAGTTATTTCCAATTATCAAGTCCCCATCATTTTAGTCTTTTTCCTTCATGGTCCTCTGCAGCATTTTATAATATTGACCATTCTCTTGAAACTTTCTTCTGATGGCTTCTCTAATACTATAATGTTGTGGTTCCATTTTTCCTTCTTAGATCTCTTCATCTTTATTTATTACAAAATTTTTACCTATGCCTAATAACCATAAGCATACAAGAAAATCACTGTAATTCAAAGAGAAAGTAGAATTTACTTTTAGAAAATGTATGTTAAAGGTATGATCCCAATTAACAAAAAAAAAAGAACAAGGGAGTAATGATAGTTATCACTTATTAGTACATATCACAAGATCGTTTATAAGCATTTCTGCATTAGTTGCTTTAGACACGTTATTTTACATCTTAAATGTCCATAACAACCATATAAAGATTATTGCGCTATGCTTAGAGATGAAGAAAATAGGCTTGGAAAATTTACACAATGTACGTGGCCAAGCTAAAACTGAAGCTATTCTGTCCCTTAGTTTTTCCACTGAAGCCCATTTCTATCAAGTATTCTCTCGGCCAGAAAGGGTAACACCCGATATATACGCCCCAATTCCTTCACCTTTGTGCACAAGCCAGCCTTACTATTCAAATATAGAACTACCCACTGAGCCAGAACATGACCTCAGATCCTTAGAGGCATAGTACTCAAGGCAGCTATTAGCAATTAATTAGAGTTGGCATTGGATGGAGCAGACCACTTAAATTTCACACAGGTCTTCTTCGTGTGTAAAATTTACTTCTTGTAACTTGCTAAAATGTTTCACCCCCATAAGTACTATCTGTTAATCACAGAATAAATCGACCCTCTTTTTTATTAAAGGCCTGAAAACGTTAATAAAAACATAACATAACTAAAATGTATTGACACTTTTCTGTGTCAAACATCTCTTGTTCCTCCAACGACTCATACTATGACAAAATATATTAAATAATTGTGCAAACCTTATTGGTATGCATCTGTTAGCTTTGCTGTTTATGGCAGTGGCTCATCATGTTATCTAGTTCCAGGCACTCTTCTTTAAAGAATCGAGTTAAAGACATTTGAATTGCCATTGAGTTGTAAGTTTTTTTTTAGAGCCTCATAAGGTAAAGAAAGAAGGAAGGAAGGAAGGAAAGAAGGGAGGGAGGGAGGAAGGAAGGGAGGGAGGGAAACCTCTTCTTTGGAAATGGTTTATATAATGAATAAACAAATAACAAACCATTTTTTATTCGATTAATATTTGGTAAGCCCATTTAAATGAACAAGCATCTTTCTAAAAGATAAGATATACAGCAAATAAATAAGCTTATTTTTAATGTAGAATATAAAATACTTCTTATAAAATGTTATGAATTCCACTCTAATTGCATGTGCCATCTTGGTGAGCTTTTTCTCTTTGCTGCTGGTTCACATTTTCAATAAGTAATTTAAGGCAAATTTAGGAAAAAAATAGGTGAGTTACTTGAAAAGCTGGTTTGTTTCCAGTTGTGCTCTTCTGGGGAGAGCATGTGTTGCCTCATGGGGTAGCTCTGTTCTGTTTTATTCCACACGGTGTCACTCTGTCCCTACCAAGGACACAATTATCTCCCAGTTTCTGAACTTCCACTGGATCTTAGGAAGAGAAGCATTTCTGAAGCACAGTAATAGGAAAAAAAGAGCCAATTTTCACAGTAAGTTTGTTGAGTAATTGTTCCCAATTGCCTCTTTTTTCAAACTTTAAATCAAATAGCACATTGTAACATAAACAGGATTGCATTACGTTGTCATCAAATTAATAGAGTAAAAATGTAATATTTCCAAAATGCTTTTACCACAAACTCACTACAAATATTCATACATTCATGTGTGCGCGTGCACACACACACACACACAATTACATATGATCATTAGAAACCAATAAAATATTTTTGTGAGTGAGAACAGACAAAAATCCCAGAAGAAAAAAATTATTGTGGAGATAAATACACTTGTATATGATTCCAAAAAGCCAACCCTATAAATGGACTAATCCCTGTCTACATCAGGGATTTTTAAATAGCAGTAAAAAGCAAAGATTCAGAGGTAACAAAATAGCAAGCTTCAGACAGTCACTGGTCAATAAGGGAAGAAGAATTGCACTTATTCTTGACAATGTGATTGGAAAACACAGGAGAGGCACAAAGTGGGAAACTCTTGAGAAGCACTGACTTCCTGTAACTGAAAGAGTTCAAGTCTGGAAAATGTAGCCACTTAGTGATAATGTTGAAGGAGACCTTCAGGCAAACAATGGTTTATTACCTCCCTAAAGTCCTTTCAGGCTCTTTTTAAGTGTGGGATTATATGCCCCAAAATATCTACATTACATCAGAAGAAACTGCTGCAGGGTCAGAAGCAGAATGGGAGAGGCATTAAAAATATATGAAGTCCAACTTCTTAATATTTTACATAAAACTGCATGCAGCTCCTGGTAGAAAAATTCTAAATTTTATCTATCTATTAATATTATTTCTCTCCGAAAGTTTGCAAGCAATTCAAAAACAGTTGTAAAATCATCTCTTTTTACTGCAGCACCTAGTCAAGTGCTAAGAACATGATAGTAACCTAACATGTAATTGTAGAATGTAAATTATGAAATCAAATTAAGGCTCAAATCCCAGTAGTACAATGCCACTTCAGAAAGTGATATGCAAAAGCATGTGAAACTCCAGGTAATGTAAAATTAGAATATGGTATAGATACCAATGTGATTGTGAGCAGGATTAATCTACTTCATTTGATTGATTGATTGAATGGTACAGTTGACTTATATTTTTAGTATAACTATAATAACTAGTGTGCTATATAGTCTTCCAATTCTCTTGTATTTATGTATGTGTTCATGTATGTGCTTGTTGCAGATTTTTTGCATATAATTAGGTCACACTATGAGTATTTTGCTGCACATTTATTTTCATACCACTCATTTAATAGTCATTTACCAAATAAACAATCAATGAAGGTCCTCTACATGTCATGCTAATTGTGAGGTATAATGGTGAATGAGATACGAGTGAAGTAAATGGGAAAGAAGACAACACCCAATGAGCTGGGTGATATGGACTGCACAGAGATCTAGGGCAGCCTGTAGAAAGGTTACCCAATCTTGCCTTTGGTTATTAGGAAAACCTTCTTGGAAGAGGTCATGCCTAAGTTGGTATTAAAAATAGAAGACATTACCCAAGATAGAACAGGAAAAGGTAAATACCTTCCAGTTCTAGAGAGAGAACAGTATGTAAAAATACAAAATACAATTAGGAAGATGACAGGGCACTATTGAAAATGTGCAGAAAGCGTAACAGGAGAGATGGGGTAGGCCGTGATGTGCCTTCAGGGCCCTGGTAAGTGTTACCATGAGGGATACGTAAAACCACTGAATTGGCACACAGGTGACATCACGCAAGTTTTGCCTTTTAGAAAGATTAATTTGACTGCAGTTGGGAGAATGGATTGGGGTTGGGCAAAACTGCAGATGGGGACACATTTAGAAGGCTGATGTAGTTCCAAACAAACGATAATGGCAGTTAAACTAAAGTAGGCGAAGAGAGGATGGCAAAAAGTGGACAAATACATGGTAAATTGGGAAAGTAGGATATGAGAGAGAGAGGGACATGTGAAACGGCTCTTACTGGAGAAGGGTTGATGGTGGGCCAGACATTGAACTGTGTAGCACATCTGGCCTCCCTTTTCCTGATTCATCAGACTGCCCGAGGATCATCACAGGGCCACCCCATGCGCTATTCTGGCTAGTCAGAGTCTAGGCTGAAAATGTCTTCAGACCACACCTTTTCCTTAACTGTTATAAAGAAACGGGAAAAAAAAAAAGGAAGGGAAAGGGAAGGAGGGACTGAAACACTGAGAGAAGAGACAAAGTGAAAAAGAAAAAAGACTAGAGAGAATTAATATAAAAAAGAAAATAAAATAATCACGTTCTGGTTTTTAATCTCAGGTATCCTATTTGAACACAAGCAAATTTCGATGAGTTGCTTGTAGTCTCCATGTTTATTTTCCTCGTTTGTAATTTTAATTTCAGAGGGGTTTTACTAAATAATATGATAATAAATGTAAGGTACCAGCACAGAGTAGACAACGAATACATTGTGAAAGAAAGAGGAAAGAGGCTGGGCTTGGTGGCTCATGCCTGTAATCCCAGCACTTTGGGAGGCCAAGGCGGGCGGATCACAAGGTCAGGAGATCAAGACCATCCTGGCTAACACGGTGAAACCCCGTCTCTACTAAAAATACAAAAAATTAGCCAAGCGTGGTGGTGGGCGTCTGTAGTCGCAGCTCCGGCGGAGGCAGGAGAATGGTGTGAACCCAGAAGGCGGAGCTTGCAGTGAGCCGAGATCGCGCCACTGCACTCCAGCCTGGGCAACAGAGCGAGACTGTCTCAAAAAAAAAAAAAAAAAAAAAAAAATTCCAACGCCCTGCTATGGATCAGCCCTGATTAGCATTGAGGCTACCTGCCCCTACTCTAACTGCTCGCCAGAAGTAACAGTAAATTCTCTTTGGAAGAAGACAACGTTACTGAGATCTGCATATTATGGTTTCTTATATGCAATGTCCAGGATTTAATCAATGTCCAGGATTTAATCATGTCCAAATTTTAATCATATCAGGACATGACTTCACACAACTGAAAACCAAGAAAAAAAATATATAATAGAAACAAACCTAAAACAGACCCACAGGAAATTCATGTGTTAGAATGTATTGCAGAGACTTGAAAATAACTATGCCTAATATGTTGAAGGAATTATTTGCCAAGGTAAAGAGATGTAGAAAACTACAGTGTTAAAAAGAATCAAATGGACATTTTGGATTTTGAACATGCAGTAACTGAACTTAATAACTCAGTAGGCAAATTTAATAGGAAATTGTATACAGTTAAAGAATAAGATTAGTCAAGTTGAAGATAGCTTAGAAAAAAAAATCTAAACTGAGATACAGAAAGCCTAAAAGATCAAAACATTTAGAAAACACCTAAGAGATACATGAGACATGGGGAAAAGTTTTAGCACATGTTTTCATGGAGCTAAAGAAAAAAGGAATGAGAAAAAAGAATGAGTCAGAAAAAATATCTGAAAAAATAGTGGCCAAGTAATTTGCAATATAAATTAAAGCAAGAATCCACAAGTTCAAGGAGAACTTCACAACTGAACTGGAATAAATACAAAGAAAACCATACCTAGACACATCATACTGATGTTACATTAATTAACTTGAGTTCCTCTTGTATAAAATAACCGAATAATCTGGTGAACTAATTTAGAAAGTGCATGATGCTGTATCATTCTTCTAAAATATTAATTTTAAATAATAGCCTCTTACACTTACATATTGTTACATGTTGTTCAGATTTTCATTCAGGTCATGTATATCTTTTTGAAGTTCTTTAAAACAAACAACTTAATTAGATTCTTCCTTTCTTTTTTTTTTTTTTTTTTTGAGACGGAGTCGTCTCGCTCTGCAGCCCAGGCAGGAGTGCAGTGGCACGATCTCGGCTCACTGCAAGCTCCGCCCCCTGGGTTCCTGCCATTCTCCTGCCTCAGCCTCCCGAGTAGCTGGGACTACAGGCATCCGCCACCCCATCCGGCTATTTTGTTTTTGTATTGCTAGTAGAGACAGGGTTTCAGCGTGTTAGCCAGGATGGTCTTGATCTCCTGACCTCGTGATCCACCCGCCTCGGCCGCCCAGAGTGCTGGGATTACAGGCGTGAGCCACCACATCTGGCCAATTAGATTCTTTTAAGTGGAAAAAAAATGTCATTATTCTCCTTACATAGATTAGGCAATAGAGCTCAAAGCATGCAAATGCTGTCTGTTGGAAAGCATTTCCAAATGTGTCACCTCTCAACTCCATGGATTAGGATTAACTAAATATGAGCCACCCACCGATCCCCAACACAAGGAAAAGTACCACTGTGTGTGAAAGAAGGCAGAAGCAACAAACAGCAGATTTAGAACTCTAAATACTCCATATATTGGAAATATTAGGTAGAGAATATAAATAACCATGTAGTAAATGTTTTTTTGAAAACTATAATTTTCAAGAGTGAGAAACCATCAACAACAAGAACTATTCAGTCAGATAAGGTTTATTTCTAGAAACACAATTTCTAGAAATAAAAAATAAAAGTTGAAATGGATAACTTGGTGGTTGGATAAATAGCAGATTAGATTCTACTTGATAGAGAATTAGTGAACCGATTTTATATCTAAAGACAGTATCCAGAATACAGCACAAATGGTCAAAGAGATGGTAGAGAGATGAAAGACAGATTAAGGGCTATGAAGGAGAGAATGAGAAGGGCTAGTATGTCTCCCAGAATGAGAAGGCAAATAGAATGGAAGTCAGACAATGTGAAAAAGAAAATGCCTGAGAATTTTCTGAACTAAAAAAAAGTCACAGGTAGGCTGGGCGCAGTGGCTCACGCCTGTAATCCCAGCAGTTTGGGAGGCCGAGGCTGGCTGATCACTTGAGGTCAGGAGTTCTTGACCAGCTTGGCCAACATGGTGAAACCCTGTCTCTACAAAAATACAAAAATTAGCCAGGCGTGATGGCGGGTGCCTATAATCCCAATTACTCGGGAGGCTGAGGCAGGAGAATCACTTCAACCAGGAGGTGGAGGTTGCAGTGAGCCGAGATCACGCCACTGCACTCCAGTCTGGGCAACTGAGTAAGACTCCAGTTCCCCGCCAAAAAAAGTCACAGGTAAAGAAAATTCAACCTATATTAAGTAGCATAAATTTAAAAATATATACACCTGAACACATTTTAATGAAAGTGCCGAATCCAAAATAAGAAAATATATTATAAAAATACAAAAGAAAAAGATAAATTGCTTACAGAGGAACAATTGGACTGAAAGCATGCTTCTCTATAAGAGCAATACAAATGAGAACATGGTGGAATAGTAAAACTGAGTGTGTTTATCATCCACACACAAACACTACCAGAAATACTGAATGAGGTATTTCAGAAAGAAAGAAACTTGGAAGGAAGGTCTGAGATGTAAGGCGGAATAGAGAGCAAAGCAAATGGTAAACATATATAAATCCAAATAAATATTATTCACATAAAATTAAAAAACGCAATGCCTACATAGCTGATGATGCAATCTTATCTGGAAAAACCTAGAAACTCCCATCAAAAAAGCTTAGATTTTACAAATGAATTCAGTCAAGTTTCAGGATACAAAATCTACCTACAAATTCAGTAGCATTTCTATAACCCAATAATAATCTGAGAAAGAAATCAAGAAGGTAATCCTGCTTACAATAGCTACAAAAGACAAATTAAAAAGCCCAAAGTAATCTTATTTAAACAAACAAACAAACAAAACCTACGAATAAATTTAAACAAAGAGGTGAAAAGCCTCTACAAGGAAAACCACAAAACACTGAAGAAAGAAATTGAAGATGACACACATAAATCGTTAGGTTTTTAAAGACAATGAAATACAAAAACAAGCAAAACAGAGTTCAAGAAATAACAAAGCAAGAATAAAACAAGAAATAACAAGCTAAGAAAAGTAAGACATATGTTAAGCTTAAAGTAAGATGGTAAAAAAATCATAATATATCAGTAATCAGTAATCACCAAAACTGTTAATGACTGAATTTGCCAGCTCAAATACAAACACTATCAGATTTGTTTTTAAAGATCATGTAATTACTATTTATAAAAGATATATATAAAACAAGAACAAAGAAATGTTGAATATTAAAGGATGAAAAAGACAGAGCAATTACAAATAAAATAAAACTCACGGAAGGCAGAGGCAGGTGGATCACGAGGTCAGGAGATCAAGACCATCATGGCCAACATGGTGAAACCCCGTCTCTACTAAAAATACAAAAATTAGGCCAGGTGCAGTGGCTTAAGCCTGTAATCCCAGCACTTTGGGAGGCTGAGGCAGGTGGATCACGAGGTGAGGCGGTTGAGACCAGCCTGGCCAACATAGTGAAACCCCATCTGTACTAAAAATACAAAAAATTAGCCAGGCGTGGTGGCTGGTGCCTGTAATCCCAGCTACTTGGGAAGCTGAGGGAGGAGAAACGCTTGAACCTGGAAGGTGGAGGTTGCAGTGAGCCGAGATCGTGCCATTGTATTCCAGCCTGGTGACAGAGTGAGACTCTGTCTCAAAAAAAAAAAAAAAAAAAAAAAAAAAAAAAATCTGGGTTAAAACCTCCAAATATTTTTTTTTTAAGAGACAAGCTCTTGCTCTGTCACGAAGGCTAGAATGCAAGTATGATCATCATAGCTCACTATAGCCTCAAACTCCTAAACTCAAGTGATCCCCCTGCCTCGGCCTCCTGAGTAGTTGAGAATATAGGAGTGTACCACCATGCCTGACTAATTTTTAATATTTGTTTTTGTAGAAATGGGGTCTCACTATGTTGCCCAGGCTGGTCTCACATTCCTGGAAAGTTCAGAACTTTTGAGCTCTAGTACCTGATTTCAAATTCTGGCTCTATGATGTATGAGCTTTGTATGTTGAATAAGTTACTTACATTTTTTTAACCCATTTTTTAAATTTATCTGAAAAATGTTCATAATCACAGCCTCTAACGGAAGCATGTTTATTAGGATTAATTAACATACAAAGCCCTTAGAACCATGCTTAGGGAAGGCAAACCCACACATATTTTTTAAAAGAAATAAGATTATTAGTAAAGTGAACCGATTGATGTAAAATTCTCATTTTAGAGTACTTTTCAAATTAGTTAATCATCACTAATTACAGCAATACAGAAAATCCAACAATTTTTTTTCTATTCCATTTTATCTTCTAAAAATGGCATAATGAATAGCTGAAAAGAACACATTGTATACAAAATAAGAACCTAAATAACCAAGAGTTGAATCGTAGGATATTGTCATATAAGAAAAAGGTTTATGGAGATTAAGTTGAAGCTGCCATTTTAGAGGTTGTTTATTTTGTATAGAAATATTTAAAACTATATTGCCAGCAAGAGCTCAAATTTAGAGTTTTTCATTCTTCATCTCTCTGTCTTTGTTGATGACATCATTAGATTAATTGAATGCCCAGATAAGAGAAAAGCATTAATGGTTCTTGCTATCCTAATTGTTTTCACATAGACACATGGCTACCATGACCAACATTGATTGATATCTTCTGCTAAAACAAAATAAGAATAACAACATTTTTTGGTAGAAAGAATGTGAGTAACATTGCCCTTCCTTCCTAAAAGAGCTATTTGTTGCCTGAATGAAGGGAAACAATTAAATACTGTCTTTAAAGATGACAAGTTAAATTCACAGCTAAACATCTGCTGTTAAGTCACAGTTTGCTAAAGCTTTTGAGGTAGTTTAAGGGACCCATATTTCCCTGTCATAGGGAGTTAATATGCCCATAATGACGATGCTATGTGATTCATTCCTGTTTTTTTTCTCCATCTTTTCTAAAGAGGAAGATTTTCAGCTGCTCTTTGTTAGTCTCCGAATAAAGTTTAAATAGGCCAGAAGATCCGTTTCTGAGAAAAGTTAAATCAGACTCGTATCTGTGCCCCACAGTAAGAAAAGTCATCGAGTCTTCATTCTTGGTGTCATTTCTGTGCCATCTCAATAGTGTAAATGCAAATACTTCAAATCACTTGTGAATTATCATCAACTTACAGAAGGCTCCTGAGTTTAGTAACTTTTCTCTTTATTTGGACCAAGTGTGAGAAAGAGGTCAGGGACGCTCCATTCTTACCAATGCACATAGACAAACCCCACATGTTTTTGTTTTAAATGAACTAACCGAATTTGAGTGCAAATTTGTTAGTTTTCATGGTGATGGTATTTTCAGTTCCTCTGGGAAATAGAAGCTGAGGAAGTCACATGCTGCACACAGCAATTTAGCGCCAATGTTCTTAATACTCGGCAAACACTGATGTTCAAACTCTTGGGTAATGTCATCTTTTGAGACTTGAATAAAATCGTGACCCTCTCCTCAGAAAAATGCACTTAGACAGGTACATACCAACTATGGCATGCTGTTTCAAGAGTTTCCTGAGTCTCCCATATATACTTGCGAATCTCTAGGAGTCTTGGATACTAAAATCTTCTGCAGAAAAATTTGATTACTTGTTTATATGGGAGGAAATAAACTACTGTGTACCGTAATAGAGTGTATAGTCAATTTGTCATGGGGTTTGATTCTTGGTGCTTCCTTTTTAATTCTCTATTTATCAAAATAATGTCCTTTTTTTTTTTTTTAAGACAGGGTCTTGCTCTGTAACCCAGTCTGAAGTCCAACGGTGCAATCACAGGTCACTGCAGCCTTGAACTCCTGGGCTCAAGTGATCCTCCCACCTCAGCCTTTCAAAGTTCTGGGATTAGAAGCATGAGCCATCACACCTGGACAACGTCATTATTATTATTATTTTCAGAGACAAGATCATACTCTGTCACCCAGGCTGTAGTGCAGTGGTGTGATCATGCCTCACTGTAGCCTCAACCTCCATCCTCCCACCTCAGCCTCCTTAGTAGCTGGGACTACGGGCATGCGCCACCACAGTTGGCTAATTTTTGTATTCGTTGTAGAGATAGGGTTTCCTCATGTTGTCCAGGCTGGTCTTGAACTCCTGGATTCAAGTGATGCAGCCGCCTGGCCCTCCTGAAGTGCTGGGATTACAGATGTGTGCCACTGCTCTTGGCCCCATGAAATTTTTTTTTTTTAAATTTGCAATCTAGTCCAAGAGACTTTCTTTTCCTAAAGAGAAAGGGCCTTACTAAGGCCTATGGATAGACACAGCTTAGCTTTGTTTTTCTTTTTGTTGAGACAGAGTCTTGCTCTGTTGCCCAGGATGGAGTGCAGTGGCATGATCTCACCTCCCAAGTTCAAGCGATTCTCCTGCCTCAGGCTCCTAAGTAGCTGGGATTACAGGCGTGTGCCACCACACCTGGCTAATTTTTTTGTATTTTTAGTAGAGACGGGTTTCACCATGTTGGTCAGGCTGCTCAAACTCGTGACCTCGTGATCCACCTGCCTTGGCCTCCCAAAGTGCTGGGATTACAGGTATGAGCCACGGTGCCCAGCCCGACACAACTTAGCTTTTTAAGCACCATTATACAGCCACAAGTGCACCTTCTCAAACTAACCATTGAAGTGAGCTTTCTTTGGGCATTGTAACACTTTCTTTCTAATAATTTTACCTGTGCTTCTTCCTCTATAGGCTACTTCTAAACATTTAACATAAACTTTTTTTTCTATTTAGAAACATTACAAAAAAAAGAATTGTTTGCAATTCATGGATTTTACAAATATTATTAATAGTACAATTACTTTTCCTCTCCCTCTCCCCCAAGAGATACAATTACACACAGAAGTGAGCTTGGCACTGATTGAACACAGGTTTTTTCAAGTTATCTCAGAAGCAGAGATCTCCATGGTAGGTTTTAGTTCCATGGAAGTGGAGGCTTGAAAACAAGTAAACAAAGTTGAAGTCTTGGTGGGAGCCTTGAATGGAGGCTACGTTGTTGCCAGCCCTCTGACAGTGGGGCACCCTGTGCCTGTGCCTAGTGCTAAATGATTTTTGGGTCCTTGACTTGAAATGATAATGTCAGGCTCTATGGAAGTCACTAAAAGTATCAATTTCTACCCCTCTTCACAAGAAAGCCATCAACAGTTCATCTAGCAGGTCAAAACATTCAGAAGTAATAGTGGCAGCTCCCCACCTAAATCTCTGCATCAAATAATGCTTTTTCACAAGGAAACACTGGACACCAGCTCCGATACATGAAAAAAATGACCTTTTGTCCTGTGCATTTCAGCAACTGTAGGTTGTCAACACTAAGGATCCTAAACATTAGAGAAAAGTAGAATAAATGAATAAAAAAGAATTTTAAGACCATTGTCAAGCATCTGAAATACTATCATCCTAGTGTTATTTAAATTTCTGAAAAGATGTGGGGCAATTCATTCAGAATCCAAATCTATTAAAAGTCTCATTTCTTTATAGATTATTTGATAGCTTACCAATCAGAGCTGAGGAAAAGTCTATCCTTCTGAAACTACTATAGAGTCAAAAATCAGAAACTTTCTGTAGACCAATGAGGTATCTCTCAAATAAGTCACTTGGATATTATGTAATCATCATTGTGGAATTCACTGATGCACATAGATTTCTAGGCATGCTTATATTTCAAACACAACTAAGTTGTAATGGAGAACCATGATTGTTAGCAAATTTATTTGGATTATTTTTTCTCTATCAGATCAGTAGACATAAATAAGCATGTTCTTTTTTATTTTATTTTATTTATTTATTTATTTTTTGATACAGGATTTTTGCTCAGTTGCTCGGGCTGGAATGCATTGGCAAGATCTCAGCTCACTGCAGCCTCAACTTCCCAGGGTGAAGCGATCCTCCCATCTCAGCCTCCTGAGTAGCTGGGACTACAGGTGTGTGCCACCACACCCTGCTAATTTTGTGGGTTTTTTTGTAGAGATAGGGTTTCACCATGTTGCCCAGGCTGGTCTCGAATTCCTGGGCTCAAGCAATCCACCCCCATCATCCTCCCAAAGTGTTGGGATTACAGGCGTGGGCCACTGTGCCTGGCCAGGATAATCTCTTAAAACTTTAAATGTAACAGAATAATGATACGCTTAGATGTACATTTGTGATACTAAATGTGAAATTTTAAGGGTGCTATCTTATTAACGCATCTCTAAACAAATTGCTCATAATATTGTAACACGTAAAGCCTACCACTGGAATAAAAAACACTACCTTAATTCAAAAAATAGAAATAGAAATGTTGCTTTACATATGCTGTATCCTCAAATGGATTTTCCTGAATTTTCTGAGTCATTTATCTAAAAATTCATAAGAATATGGCAGCTGGTCATCTTGATTCTTCCAACCAAATAACATGAAATAGTTTGCAGGGCCTTATGCCACCTTTTCCTGTTGTGTTTTTGTTTTTCAAGTAACTATGCCCTACTTTACTGACACTTAAACATACAAATCATATTGTAACTTTAGACTGCATAAAGATAATGTCTTGTCCTGTGAATTGTTACAGGGAACTTTACTGCTTTTCTTCACCAAAAGTTGAAGGATGTTAAATAAGAAAAATGTGACCAGGCGCAGTGGCTCACGCCTGTAATCCCAACACTTTGGGAGGCCGAGGCAGGGGGATCATGAGGTCAGGAGTTCAAGACCAGCCTGACCAGCATGGTGAAAACCCATCTCTACTAAAAATACAAAATATTAGCTGGGTGTGGTGGCGCACGCCTGTAGTCCCAGGTACTCAGGAGGCTGAGGCAGGAGAACTGCTTGAACCCGACAGGCAGAGGTTGCAGTGAGCTGAGATTGCGCCACTGCACTCCAGCCTGGGCGACAGAGTGAGACTCCATCTCAAAAAGAAAAAAAAAAAAGAATAAGAAAAATGTAACTTTATAGAAAGTGGTAGCTCCGACATGTCAGTAAAAATTCTGATGTTATATTTTATTTCATAGTAAAACGCAGTAATATCACACTGTATCTAATATGTTTCCAAATGCGAAGCCAAAACCTACACGAACTCTGTTTTGCCAAGAAATTTTCTGCCATGGTTCTTACTGTTGACATAGAGTCCAAGCAAAGGCTTCAGATGAGGAGGGAAGTACATCTTCACATCCAGCCTTCTTGGCAACAGAAGAAAGTGCTATATTGTTCTTCACACAAACCATCCCCATTAGAGCTCAAGATGTTCTTTTCCTTCTAATCCTCATTTGTACCCCTTAGCCATTTGTTTAGAATTAAATTAACTGCAATTTGGAAAATGTGGATGAAAGGTAGTGCATTGAGTAGATATCACATGTTTCCTGAATGGTGCCTGTTCGGCCTCTTTCACGGCCATTCATTGTGCTTGAAAGGGTGTAGTGTGTGAATTGTTGGACTGTCACTCTGCAGAGAAGTCTGGCTGCCAGTATTACCATGGAAACAGCAGGAAAAAGACAATTAACAAAATGGTTCTGATGTTTTTTTCCTATTTCTTTTTCTACTCGTTAGACTTAGGGAGACTATCCCCCACCCCCTTTAAAACACACACTCATACATGCACACATACATGCCTGCACCGATGGGAAAAAAACGATATTTGAACTGCTCACTAAATTGAATTCTTCTATTGACAGCATCCATGAATTAAAACAAAACTCTGCTTCTAATATAAAATATTTCTAAATGGCTCTCTCAACTTATTCCTCCCTCCCCCCCCTTCAGGTTCTGTTCTTTTCAGACATTGAAGGAATTCTTTGGAAATATCTTTAGGTAAACGACTGTTAATGAGCAGAGCCTGTGATTTTAACCCTGGCACATTCACTGGACTTTTAATTAGTCCCTCTTACCATCACTCCTGTGACAGAAACACAATGTGGCCCCAAGAGCTTAAACCAAAAGGGGACTCTTTTTAGATTCTCGGCCTTAGTGTGAGTTAGATCATCAGGAAAAACTAGTTATGCACAGCCACTAGTGCTAGGATTGGTGACTGAAGGGTTAACAGAGCATAATGAGTGCATGTTTGATGTCATCATTAATGCAAAAAATGCATGGAAATCCAAACTTTGTCAGACTTTGATTTCCTTTAAAAAGGCTATTTATAAATAAAGAAAATGATTGTACATTTTGGGCCTAATAATTAAAGTAAAATATGAGTGGGAGCCCTATTGAGCCTCTGTGTCAAATATTCCATTGAAATGAAACATTGTGCTTTGCAGATAAGCACTCTTAAGTGCAAAGAGATACTTGGGAGTGAGCAAATGAAGCCTTCTTTTGCATGTTGTATTTAAACTCTGTTCTCTTTCCCAAGTCTATGGAAAAATTCTATATGAGGCCTAAGCCCAGAAGTGACCTTGAGCTTGTTCGGACTTTAGTATAGATTTTTAAAAAGTTTTCTGCCAGAATGAAATGTAGTGCTTATTATTTTACAGATTGTTTATTGGCATTCCTGAAATCCTGGGCAAGCATCCAGAAATCACTCTTAAAATTTACCAAACCAAGAAAGGCTGAACCAATGCTGAATTTCGTGTCTTTTACTTTTCTCCAGCATTCTTTGACCCACTCAGAGCATTCTGTTCTCTTCTTCTTTTTGGCAATATTCATTGTAAAAAAAAGTCATTTAGAATAAAATTCCAGGAAAGACATTCAAGAAAGGAAGTAATCTGTTTTTCCAAATTTTAGAATAAGTGTGAATTAAAAGAACCTTTAAATATCTGCTAAAACATTTAGTTTATAATTTAATTATGCTGGACCAATAACTGTCTTTATGAAGTACTTTAAAACAGTTCCTTAGAAAATGAGAAGGTGTCCTTGACTTAGGCATTCCCATACTTTTGAAGAATATTAGACATTCATACTATGAAATAACTAAAAAACGCATTGGCATATTAGGTAGGCAGTATTTGTGAGAAATAAGTCATGTGAAATTCTTTTAAAAAGGGTATAGTTTTGAATCAAAGTCAAACAAAACTTGACATTTTTAACAAGTGAAAATCACAAACCTAGTAAAGATTTTCAAATTCTCTAATCCTCTGCAGCTCTCCATAGCTAACTTACTGTGAACTGTGTCTTTGAGATGGGCAGAAATCACTACAAAACCATCCACATGGCATGTGAGATCATTGTTTTTTATTCACAGTGCAGGATTCTGGAGTAAAAAAGTTTAAACTTGATATTCTAAAATAAAAAATTGAAATAACTTCCCTAGCTATATTTATGACATATATTTTATTAACAAATCCAGTTTTTTGTGCCAGATAGTTCTAGGATGGCAAATCTTCGTAATGGCTAACAAACGGTTGAGATTCATGAGACTCACTGTGTTATCAGCTACCTCAGTATGCTCAAAATCATCCCAAAGAATGTGCACTTAATGAGGACAGGGGCTTAGCTCTGCTCATTGCACTACTCTCAGTGCCTATAAACACAGAGTATGCATCTCAAGACATGTTTGCTTAGTGAATGTGTCCCCGTTTGTCATTATGACGAAGCAAGGAGTTCTGAGCCATTCATCTGTCCACACATCCTTTCTTCTGCACAAAAATGTTCTAGATTTCTCTTCACTAAGGTTCATACAAGGTTGTTTAGATTATGGATTTACACATCTCTACAACTGACCTAACAGATATTTTTAATTTTTGCTTATTTCCTTATGTTTTCTGTTTTTTAACATTATTTATAACCAGTATGATATAATGGCAAGTTATAACTAGTATAATTACTTATGTACAGAAAATATAACTAAAATTAAATATGTTAATCTCATTTCCTCTTGAACTTCACTTATTTTCAATTTTAAAGGAATTCTTATATTCTCACAATATTTTCACTAAATAAATAGGAAAAGATATCTATGGTTAATGACTACCATATTGAACAGTGCAGATAATAGAACTTTTCCATCACCACGGAAAGTTCCTTAGGCAGTTGCTGTTCTAGGTCCTGTTCACGCCAATAATGTCATATTATACATATTTGCTTTGTTACCAAAGTTTTCTACTTAAAAGTATATTTGGCCGGGTGCAGTGGCTCACGCCTGCAATCCCAGCACTTTGGGAGGCCGAGGTAGGTGGATCACCTGAGGTCAGGAATTTGAGAACAGCCTGGCAAACACTGTAAAACCCCATCTCTACTAAACGTAGAAAAAAATTAGCCCTGCGTGGTGGCAGGCGCCTGTAATCCCAGCTACTCGGGAGGCTGAGGCAGGAGAATCTCTTGAACCTGGGAGGCGGAGGTTGCAGCGAGCCGAGATTGCGCCATTGCACTCTAGCCTGGGCAGCAAGAGCGAGACTTCATCTCAAAAAAAAAACCAAACGAACAAAAGTATATTGAATGACCTATGACATCTAATAATATATTATTAATAATGGAGTTACCTTAATTGTTTCAATAAACAGAAGTTGCCAGACGTTGTAGTCACTTTCATTTTTTGTTTTTAAAAATATAATTTATCATAAATATATTCTTGAAATATTCCTGCATACAAGACTTTAATTCTGGGTTTTAGGAAAAACAATAGACAGCCATGCAAGTAATGAGCAGTTCCTTAATACCACACATTCAGTGGTAAAGCTTTTCTTTCCTTTTTTTTTTTTTTTTTTCAGACGGAGTCTTGCTCTGTCGCCAGGCTGGAGTGCAGTGGCGTGATCTCGGCTCATTGCAAGCTGCGCCTCCCGGGTTCACGCCATTCTTCTGCCTCAGCCTCCAGAGTAGCTGGGACTACAGGCGCCCGCTACCACGCCCGGCTACTTTTTTGTATTTTATAGTAGAGACGGGGTTTCACTGTGTTAGCCAGATGGTCTCGATCTGCTGACCTTGTGATCCGCCCCGCTCGGCCTCCCAAAGTGTTGGGATTACAGGCGTGAGCCACTGCGCCATGCCATTTTTTGTATTTTAATGGAGACGGGGTTTCACCATGTTGGCCAGGATGGTCTCGATTTCCTGACCTCGTGATCTGTCTGCCTCAGCCTCCCAAAGTGCTGGGATTACAGGCGTGAGCCACCGCAGCCGGCCAAACTTTTCTGGTGTTTTGTTTTGTTGTTGTTGTTTTTGAGACGGAGTCTCGCTCTGTCGCCCAGGCTGGAGTGCAGTGGCACGATCTGGGCTCACTGCAAGCTCCGCCTCCCGGGTTCATGCCATTCTCCTGCCTCAGCCTCCCGAGTAGCTGGGACTACAGGCGCCCGCCACTAGGCCCGGCTAATTTTTTGTATTTTTAGTAGAGACGGGGTTTCACCGTGTTAGCCAGGAAGGTCTCGATCTCCTGATCTTGTGATCTGCCCGCCTCGGCCTCCCAAAGTGCTGGATTACACGAGTGAGCCACCACGCCTGGCCGCTTTTCTGTTGTACGTTGCATTTTAAGCGTAGGCAGCTGGTGAAATAATATTTTTATATTATAATTTTTTTTTCTTTTTTGAGACGGAGTTGTGCTCTTGTTGCCCAGGCTGTAGTGCAGTGGCGCCATCTCAGCTCACGGCAACCTCTGCCTCCTGGGTTCAAGTGATTCTCCTGCCTCAGCCTCCCGAGTAGCTGGGAATACAGGCATGCGCCACCATGCCGGGCTAATTTTGTATTTTTAGTAGAGATGGGGTTTCTCTATGTTGGTCAGGCTGGTCTCAAACTCCCGACCTCAGGTGATTCACCCGTCTCAGCCTCCCAAAGTGCTGACATTACAGGCGTGAGCCACCGTACCCGGCCTAATATATAATATTTTTATATAAAATCAATATTTTATTTTTGCTAAAAATCCATAGAATTACATACTTCAAGTTTCTGAAATGACATCTATTTACCCCACCATTATCCAGTTCTTATTTCTCCTGAATATAGTGCATTATTTCTTATTTGGATGCTTTTAGTGAAAATAGAATTATCATTAAATACTACCCAGTCTAGGCCGGGCATGGTGGCTCACGCTTGTAATCCCAGCACTTTGGGAGGCCGAGGCAGGCGAATCATGAGGTCAGGAGTAGGGGACCAGCCCGGCCAACATAGTGAAACCCTATCTGTACTAAAAATACAAAAAATCAGTTGGGCATGGTGGTACATGCGTGTAATCCCAGCTACTCGGGAGGCTGAGGCAGGAGAATCACTTGAACCCAGGAGGCAGAGGTTACAGTGAGCCAAGATTGCGCCACTGCACTCCAGCCCGGACAACAGTGCAAGATTACGTCTCAAAAAATAAATACTATCCAGTCTAGCATTATATTTTACTTAGAGCTTAGCTGTTTAAGCTCTAAGTCATTTCCCTTAATTTTATTAGCATTTTAAACTATCTCAGCTGCATTCACTCTTTTGAACTATTTGACTCCCATTATTGATTAATTACAATTTTCACCAAACAATTTCACCAAAACAATTTCATTTTTCTTAGGTTGTATTCTTAGTCCAAATAATTTTGTATTCAAACATTCTTGTTTCCTATCTTAACATCTAAGTGTCTAGTTTCATTAAGAATTTAGAGTAGTTATGTATACAACTTTGTCAGTAAGGTTTATAATTTAAAATGTTAATCTCTAAGTTCTGAGGAATAAATATTAATAAAATCAATATATTTTAACACTGGAATAACAATATATATTCCAGAACCTTGGAAAATTAAATTTTTTTTGTCCTAGTAGAAACGATATCCTAAGATAGTAAACAGCATTCTCAAGAAAGTCATAGGATTACACAAATGGTTACAAGGACAGAAATTACTCCTTTAAAATTGAGTCCCAGAATTTAAAATTCCCAATTGTTACAAGTGTTTCTTAAGTACAAGAAGTGCAGTCCACTTCCTCCCAAACAATACAGATTTCAATGGGTATAGCTTGTTTTCTATGTTTAAATATTAGCGACAAATCCATATATTAACATGGTGTTATGTATATAAGCACTAAGCACATCAACAATAACGAAGTTTTGAATTTTCATGCATCCTGGCGCATGCTGGAGTACATCTAGTGTTCTTTTCAGATGTCAGGAATTCAAATTGAATCAGTACTTTTTAAATGGCTTTTTTTTTTTTTTTTTTTTTGCCCTATGGCTGCATTTGCCAGCTTCACAGTTGAGTCTTCCAGATTCAAAAAATGTGAGTTTGTGTGATTCAGCCTTTTACATTTAGTCCCCAGTCTATCCCTGCACCAAGAAACACTGGGTCTCCATACCTTCATTTTTTGTATTGTTTGTCTCCATTGATCACACTCCATGGTTTTCTGACATTTTCTTGGCTTCCTGGGCAACAATTTTCTTTTCTCATCTCAGGATAGTGGGAAGGCCTTGCTGATTCAAAGTCATTCCAGTAGGTTAGGGTGGAACCTATCCTCAGCCATTTCTACTCTTTTTTTTTTTTTTTTTTTTTGAGACCGAGTTTTTTGCTCTCGTTGGCCAGGCTGGAGTGCAGTGGTGTGATCTCGGCTCATGGCAACCTCCGCCACCCAGGTTCAAGCAATTCTCCTGCCTCAGCCTCTCGAGTAGCTGGGATTACAGGTGCCCGCCACCACGCTCCACTAATTTTTGTATTTTTAGTACAGACGGGATTTCACCATGTTGGCCAGGCTGATCTCGAGCTCCTGACCTCAGTCTATCTGCCCGCCTCTGCCTCCCAAAGTGTTGGGGATTACAGGTGTGAGCCATCATGCCTGGCCCCACTTCTACTCTTAATTACATACAATCTTAAGGTTCTAAAGAATGTCTTGATTCAAGTATGAGGAAATTCCTAATTAAGCCATTGTTTTGTGGCTGATGTATAATACATGCCCTAGGCTCTCCCTCTCCTGAGAACAATTTTATTTCAAAACTTAACTGTCTTTCTCTGACACTGTAACATTAATTTTACTTTGGGCTACCCTACAAGCTTGAATTTTAGGAGGTTGGAATTGGAGATTTAGCCTTTTACACAGAAAATTGTCCTAGTCTAAGTTGGGGGAGTAGGTGGCATGCATAATCCATCTCTTGTGGTTTCATTAAGGCTACCGCCCCTGGAAGCTACTGGAATGCAGAAATAGATGCAGGCTGAGGGAGGAGTTATATCAATTATAGAAGATTTATTCTATCTGCCTGATCATTGGAGTGCTTTTTTAAAATAAATAAATTAATTAAAAGCTCCTAATATCAATCCTCTATTGAAAGCTAACAGTGGTTTTCTAAGGCCAGTAAGATCAAATTTAAAGTTCTTTACATGTATATAAGACCAAACATAATTTAGCTCCTAACTACTTCTGCTGCTATATGTTGATTTAGTAAGAAAATTTTTGTAAAAAGAGAATAGGAAATTTGAAATAATACATCATTTAGTTTCATGTAATTAAGCCAATGATTTTTTTTTCCCCTCAGAAATATCTTATCTGTTGACTGAGAACCATCTTAATGTCTTGGAGGGTTTGCACTATGTTTATCATATTTCTATGGTGGATCCAAGATAAGAGCAGCATAGGGAAATGAAAAGGACCAGAGGGTTAGACATCCAAGAAATCTGAGATTTTCCCCCCACTTCAACTTTCAAGTAAAATTAGTGTTTGAAAAAGAAATAAATAGTGCTAGAACACTTTACAACTCAAACAACTACCGAAGTACTTTTTCTCTACACAACTACTTTAATTGGGTATCCAGCAATGCTTTATGCATACATCTTCCAAAGGGGTCTCTTTTGGTTCAGATATCACCGAATTCCACTGCACGATGGTGCTTTGGATGGTACATCATGAACAATCACAGGCGGGCCCTCTTGCAATATCTTCAAAGGGCTTGGAATTCTCCCTCCTTCAGTATCTTCAAGATTAAGACGTTGTCTCTTCAATAAATGAAGTACACAGAATGCCCTTGCTTGAAATCCCACACAAACTTTCCTCTGGTTGGGATCCACATGCTCTGCAGCTGCCCAAGGTCAAGGTCACCCTGAAAGAAAAGAGCCAGCTGCCACTCCCTGCCTATAGCCACCTCACTCAGGGTCACTCTTGTATCTAAACAACATTAGATACAAATTAAGGAAGTTATATGCTGAGCCTGCACAAACAACCTCACAATCTCTAACTGGTAATTTTCCCTGATCTTTAGCATAGCTAGCCAGCTTAGCATCTCATAAAGAGATGCTTAGAGAAAGGGAGCAACAGAAAACATAAAATATTTGGTTATCTTTTATAAGACAGTGCAATGCCACGGATAGTGCAATAGCTTTGGAATCAGACACATGTGCATTCCAAAGCTGTGAATATTGGCTATGTGATTTTGGACAGATTCCCTTTTTCTTATTCAGGACTTTGGTTACTCATGTAAAGTAACCAAAGTACTTTACTCATGTAAAGTAACCCTACTGAAGTAGGATTAATTTGGAAGGTTGTTGTAAAATAGGCAACATGAATAGTGCTGTACGTGGCTCATAAATAATCCCACATAAATTGAGTTGGTCATTGGTCATTTTTATTATAAATTAAGTATCTTAAATTTAATTTCTTTATCATCATTGTCAAGAATTCAGTGGCATGATTCTATTAAAGATCTAGACATTCTTTGCACTATTTGTGTGAGACTATAGACATTTCCTATTCTATGTTTCACTGGAGAAAGTAATAATCACTGATGTCATTATTCTAAGAAAGCTGCTGGATAAAGTGTCATTTTAATAGTTGCTTCAATAAAAGAAGAAACAGTGCATAATGAAATTGTTAGATGTATGATTTATCAGAGACTTACTGAAATTTGAGAGAAATGCAAAGCTAGAATTTGTAAGATTATATGTACATTTAAGACATTTTAAATACAAACAGTTATGCTTTGTATTTATATGTTTATACAGAGAAAAATAATTGTTAATATAAGCAAATTGATATTTTAAACTTAGGCATTACAAATGCCGACATGTTGATGGAATATTGGATTTGGGCATGTAAATGCAATATATATAAAATTTTACCGGCCAGGCACGGTGGCTCATGCCTGTAATCCCGGCACTTTGGGAGGCCGAGGCAGGCGGATCACCTGAGGTCAGGAGTTCGAGATCAGCCTGGCCAATGTGGTGAAACCTTGTCTCTACTAAAAATACAAAAATTAGCCAGGCGTGGTGGCAGGCGCCTGTAATCCCAGCTACTCAAGAGGCTGAGGCAGGAGAATCCCTTGAACCCAGGAGGCGGAGGTTGCAGTGAGCCGAGATCACACCATTGCACTACAGCCTGGGCAACAAGAGCGAGACGTCGTCTCACGAAAAAAGAAAAAAATTACTAATTATGTTTAATAGAGCCTGGAAGGAGAGAGAGGGGGGAAGATAGGCAGAGCTGGGTTAAGGGACACAAAATTATATCCAGATTGGAGGAATAAGTTCTAGTGTTCTACAGTCCTACAGGCTGAATACAGTTCACAATACTTTATTGTATTAATATATTTCCAGAAAGGTAGAAGAAAGGATTTTAAATGTTCTTAACACAAAAAAATGATGAATGAATGAGGCAATAAATATGCTAATTACCCTGATTTGATGATTTCACATTGTATCCATGTATCAAAATATCACTCTTCTACCCCATGAATATAAGCCATTATTTGGTGTCAACTAAAAATAAAATGAAAAATGTTAAAATAAAAAAATTCTACTGACCTGATCTGTTTAGCAGAATGATGAACCAGTCTATCACCAATACTCCAACTCCATTTCCTCGCCCTTCCTGATATATTTATGTTTATCTTATTAGCTAATAATCCTTTCTGTTCATCTGGAATTTATTTGCTCTTATTTCCATTTTTCTCACTGCCCACCAACGAACTTTTAAATTAAATAAAATACAGAAGTAGAATTGAAAGAGCATGAGAATGAAAGCTAAGAGTTTGCAGGTTCAACATCAGAGACTTGTCAATTTAAGTGTATGTCTTAGGCAAGTTACGTGATTAAATTTCTGTTTACTTATCTGCAAATAGCTGAAAACATCAGCATTTCCTAAAATGTTTTTCAAGGAGCACTAATTCTTGAAATTGTTTCAGGATTTGATATCTTAAATACTTTTAGAAGCACTATATCCTATAAATCCACTTAGAAATTTATAATTTCCCTTATCCATATTAAAGTTTCCTAGAAGACAGTTCAGTGGCTCACATGCATTCTTTTTTTTTTTTTTTGAGATGGAGTCTCACTGTCGCTTGGGCTAGAGTGCAATGGTGCGATCTCGGCTCACTGCAACCTCCCCTTTCCCGGTTCTAGTGATTCTTCCACCTCAGCCTCCCAAGTAGCTGGGATTACAGGTGTCTGCCACTATGCCCAGCTAATTTTTTGTATTTTTAGTAGTGACGGGGTTTCACCATGTTGGCCAGGCTGGTCTCGAACTTGTGAACTCGTGATTTGCCCGCCTTGGCCTTCCAAAGTTCTGGGATTACAGGCATGAGCCACCGCACCTGGCCTCACATGCATTCTTAATAATATCCTCAGGAACAACTAACCCATGATATTCTGAAAATAAATGAAATTTAAAAGCTGTTGGAACCCCTAATAACACATTAAGAGAGAAATGGCTGTGATCGGAGTCACATGCGGTTACTAAATGACATCAGGGACAAAAACCTCCTGCCTTCTTAATTAATGATCTTTGTTAGTGATTAACTTCCCCTCTGTTGTTTTGCTTAGACTAGAAGACAGAAAACCCACGACTACTACACTTTCTGTTAAAAAAAAATGTAAATATATCCTTCCTCAAGAGAAACACTGCATATAACCAATCATCGTTACCGTACAAAAGTGGTAACTATGTGCCACCCTTGTGTGAATGATGTGGTCCTGCTAAAAACTCCTGTCTGTTGGCCGGGCGCGGTGGCTCACGCCTGTAATCCTAGCACTTTGGGAGGCCGAGGCGGGCGGATCACGAGGTCAGGAGATCGAGACCATCCTGGCTAACACAGCGAAACCCCGTCTCTACTAAAAATACAAAAAATTAGCCAGGCGTGGTGGCCGGGCGCCTGTAGTCCCAGCTACTCAGGAGGCTGAGGCAGGACAATGGCGAGAACCCGGGAGGCGAAGCTTGCAGTGAGCTGAGATCTAGCCACTCACTGCACTCCAGCCTGGGCAACAGAGGGAGACTCCGTTTCAGAAAAAAAAAAAACAACAAACGAAAAACAAAAAAAAACCCCTCCTGTTTCTGTCTATATAAATGTACTCTTAACTTCCCTGCTTCAAAACACTGACTCCTTTCAAGCTGGAGTTTCCCAATGGTTCAAGTCACACTTGAATAAACTCTCTTTAAATTAGATTCTGACCCTTTTGATTATATTAGGTCAACAATGTATTTGGAGAAACAGTAGAACAAATTATCCCTAAATGCATTTTTTATCAAACTTTTTAAGAACAGTTTTCAATTTACATGAATATTATGAATATAATAACCCTTCCCCCTTACCCTGTTTCCTTTATTTTTAGTGTTGCTACATTTGTTACATTATCAATTTTTATACATTATTAACTAAAGCCCCTGCTTTAGTCAGACTTCCTTATCTTGTATCTAATCTTCTTCTGTTCCAGGGTTCCACCTAGGACACCACCACACTGCATTTAGTCAGTATCTTCTTAGGCTCCTCTTGATGACGAGAATTTCTCAGACTCCTTGTTTTTGATGACCTTGAGAATTTTGAGGAGTACTGGTCAGGAATTTTGTAAACTGACTTTTTTTTTTTTTTAATATGTTGGATTTTTTCCCCTTCATGTTTAAACTGGAGTTTGGGGTTTGAGGGAGAAAGACTGCAGAGATGAAGTGCCATTTTCACCATCTCACATCAAGGCTCAGACTCATCAACATGACTTACACCTGTTGATGTTGACCTTGATCACTTGTCTAAGGTAGTGCTCATCAGGTTTTTCTCCTGTAAAGCTACTGTTTTTGCCCCTTATTCATACTGTATTGTTTTTGGAAAGAACACTTAAGGAGGAAGAAATTATGTTCTACTTCCTTGAAAGCTAAGTGTCTACATAAATTATTTGGAATTCTTCTGCATGGGATATTTGTCCCGTCTCTCAATTATTTGTTTATTCAAAAATGTACTTATATGACTATTTGCTCACAGATATTTATTTTATATTTTGGATTATAATCCAATACTTCTTTATTTATTTTGTTGCTCAAATGTTCTAGCCTTGGCCACTGGGAGTGTTTACATTATGGGTTTTGGTGGTGGTGGTGTTTTTATACTTCCTTACTTTCTGGCCTAACTAGATGTTCCAGGCAGATCATGTATTATTTCCTGTTCTATTTCCATTTCTAGAATCAGTCATTTCTCCAAGGAGTCTGGTTTGCTTGATTGGAGTCATTAAAAACCAAGACTTAGGCTGGGCACAGTGGCTCATGCCTGTAATCCCAGCACTTTGGAAGGCCAAAGCGGGTGGATCACCTGAGGTCAGGAGTTTGAGACCAGCCTGGCCAACATAGTGAAACCCTGTCTCTACTGAAAATACAAAAATTAGCTTTGTGTGGTGGGGGGCGCCTGTAATCCCAGCTACTTGGGAGGCTGAGGCAGGAGAATTGCTTGAACTCGGGAGGCAGGGGTTGCAGTGAGCTAAGATCGTGCCATTGCACTCTAGCCAGGGCAACAAGAGCGAAACTGTTTCAAAACAAACAAAAACTCAAGAATTGAAGACTTAAGTGTTAGATATGCTCATTTCTGCTGGCATATCATTGGTTCTAGACCGTCTTAGCTTATAGAGCAAGGAAATAAATGTGTGTATACGAAGCTGTGTATATACACGTAACTCTAAATATTTTTACGTGTAATATGTGTAAGTGTTAGTAAGTTCATACTGATGTCTACGACTCAATTCCTTTATCACATGATCATTCTGGCCTCCTCCCCTTGCTTATATGTAATCTCCCACTTTATCAGTGAGAAACCTGGCTCCTATCTCTTATTTGCCATCCATTTGCTTAACTGTCTAGTTCCAATATACATTTATTCTCTATCAATATCAGAATCACTATCCCATTTCCTGTAGGAACCAACTATACCAACCAGAGCACGTGGGTTGTTTGCAGTTTCTCTTGCTTTCAGTCTTCATGCATTTTCTTTCTTTCTTTCTTTCCTTCTTTCCTTCCTTCCTTCTCCCTCCCTCCTTCCTTCCCCCTCCCTCCTTCCTTCCTTCTTTCCCTCCCTCCCCCTCCCTCTCCCCTCCCCTCCCCTTCCCGGCCCTTCCCTTCCCTTTCCTTCCCTTCCTTTCTCTAGATGGAGTTTTGCTCTTGTCGCCCATGCTGGAGTGCAGTGGCACGATCTTGCCTCACTGCAACCTCTGCCTCCCAGGTTTAAATAATTCTCCTGCATCAGCCTCCTGAGTAGCTGGGATTACAGGCACTAATTTTTGTACTTTTAGTAGAGACAGGATTTCACCATATTGGCCAGGCTGGTCTCCAGTTCCTAACCTCAGGTGATCCACCCATCTTGGCCTCCCAAAGTTCTGGGATTACAGGTGTGAGCCACCACAGAAGGCCCATGCATCTCCTCTCCTCTCCTCTCCTCCCCTCCCCTCCCCTCCCCTCCCCTCCCCTCCTCTCCCCTCCTCTCCCCTCTCCTCTCCTCTCCTCTCCTCTCCTTTCTTTTCTTTTTGACAGAATCTTGCTCTGTTGCCCAGGCTGGAGTGCAGTGGCACGATCTAGGCTCGCTGCAAGCTCTGCCTCCCAGGTTCACGCCATTCTCCTGCCTGAACCTTCCTAGTAGCTGGGACTACAGGCACCCGCCACCACATCCGGCTATTTTTTTTGTATTTTTAGTAAAGACGGGGTTTCACCGTGTTAGCCAGGATGGTCTTGAGCTCCTGACCTCGTGATCCGCCTGCCTCAGCCTCCCAAAGTGCTGAGATTACAGGCGTGAGCAACCACGCCCAGCCAGCTCATGCATTTTCTAAGATGCTTATGTCAGCGCGTTTTCTAAGATGCTTATTTCAGCACGTTTCCCCCTCCCTAGACTGAGGTGGCTTTATACATTTGTAGTAGTTTAAATTTTTTATCACATTCTGCATTCCATTCCAGGATCCCCAGAACACCTACATTTTTTGTTGTTGTTTTAAAATTTGCATATATTAAGTGACATTCTTTGTGCTGTGAGATTCTTTGTTTTTTAACAAATACATAGTATCATGTTTCCACAGTATGGTATCCTACAGACTAGTCTGACTGGTCCAAATAATGCCTATGTGCTTCACCTATTAAACCTCCTCACTTAATCTTTAGGCAGATCACTTACTTTTTTAGTTGAAATAATATTCCCTTACATGTCGTACCACTGTGGGGTGTGTGTGTGTGTGTGTGTGTGTGTGTGTGTGAATCCATTTATCAATCATAAGACTTCTAGGTTTCTTCCAGTTTGGGGAATTATGAGCAAAGCTGCTATATACACTCATGTGCCAGTTTGGGTGTGGACATAGTTTTCAAATAAGGTAGATAACCACCTAAAAACACAGTTGAGGCCGGGCGCAGTGGCTGAAACCTGTAATCCTAGCACTTTGGGAAGCCAAGGCGGGTGGATTGCCTGAGTTCAGGATTTCGAGACCAGTCTGGGCAACATGGTGAAACCCCATCTCTACTAAAATACAAAAAACAAAAACAAAAACAAAAAACATTAGCCTGGCAGGGCGGTGGGCACCTGTAGTCCCAGCTACTTGGGAAGCTGAGGCAGGAGAATTACTTGAACTCAGGAGGCGGAGGTGGCAGTGACCCAAGATCGCGCCACTGCACTCCAGCCTGGGAGACAGAGCGAGACTCCATCTCAACAAAACAAAAAACAAACAAACAAAAACACAATTGGTATACTATATGTAAGACTTTCGTTTTACATATAGTATAGCAACTATGGGCAGTAGGAAACGGCCCATCTGTCTTCCAGTGTGGTGGTTTCATTTTGCAAGTGGTGAAAGAAAAAAAAACTCTTCTTGCTTCTAACCTTTGGGGAAAAGCATTCCATTTCTCATCATTAAGTATGATAGTTTTAGAGGTTTTGTAGATGTTCTTTGTCAAGTTAAGAAAATTCACCTCAATTCCTGGTTTGCTGAGAGTTTCTCAAATTATGGATGCGTGATACATTTTGCCATAAGATCGTGAACCCTGGGGGCGGAGCCTGCTGTAAGCCGAGATCGCGCCACTGCACTCCAGCCTGGGCCACAGAGCAAGACTCCGTCTCAAAAAAAAAAAACAAAAAAAACCCCCAAAAACAGCAAAACAGATTTTGCCATAAGATTTTTCTACATCGGTTGATACAGTCACATTATTTTTCTTCCTTAACCTGTTGATTTGGGAAATTCTGCAGATAATTTTCTAATATTGAACCAGTCTTGCATACTTGCATACCTAGAATACATACATAGTTAGATTCAACTGGCTAGTATTTTGTGAAGAATTATCGAATCTTTGTTCATGAGAGATATTGATATATAGTTTTTTTTGTTTGTTTGTTTTTTTGAGAGGGAGTCTCACCCAGGCTGGAGTGCAGTGGCGTGATCTCGGCTCACTGCAAGCTCCGCCTCCTGGGCTCACACCATTCTCCTGCTTCAGCCTCCCGAGCAGCTGGGACTACAGGCGCCCCCACCACGCTCAGCTAATTTTTTTTTGTGCTTTTAGTAGAGACCGGGTTTCACCGTGTTAGCCAGGATAGTCTCAATCTCCTGACCTGGTGATCCGCCCGCTTTGGCCTCCCAAAGTGCTGGGATTACAGGCATGAGCCACCACACCCAGCCAATATATAGTTTTTAATTCTTGTTATGTCTATTGGATTTGGTCAAAGGGTAATATTTACCTTATAGAATGAATTAGGAAGTGTTCTCTGTACTTCTATTTTCTTGAAAAGTCTGTGGAAAATTGATACAATTTCTTCTTTAAATGCTTGATAAAACTCACCACTAAACCCATTTGGGCCTGGAACCATTGGCCGGGGGGGGGGGTGGTTATTACCTATTTATTCTATTCCTTTTATAGATGTAAGAGTGCTCATGTTATCTTCTTTTTTTTTTTTTTTTGAGACGGAGTCTCCCTCTGTCGCAGAGGCTTGAGTGAAGTTGTGCCATCTCGGCTCACTGCAATCTCCGTCTCCCGGGTTCAAGAGATTCTCCTGCCTCAGCCTCCTGAGTAGCTGAGACTGCAGGCGCTTGCCACCACTCCTGGCTAATTTTTTGTATATTTAGTAGAGACGGGGTTTCACTATGTTGGCCATGATGGTCTCAATCTCCTGACCTCGTGATCCACCCACCTCGGCCTCTCAAAGTGCTGGGATTACAGGCGTGAGCCACCACATCGGCCATCTATTTTTTCTTTTGTGAGTTTTAGTATACTGTGTCTTTCAAGGTATTTGTCCATTTTATATAGGTTATTAAATTTGTGCGTATACAGTTTTAAATATACTATATTTATTATCCATTTAATGTCCACAATTTTTTGTAGTCATAACCCATACACCTCTTTCATTTCCATTTCCAGTATTTGTAAGTTGTGCATTCTCTCTTTTTTTCTTTATTAGTTTGAGTAAATGTTAGTAAGTTTATGGATCTTTTCAAAGAAACAGCTTCCTGTTTCATGATTTTCTCTATTGTTTTACTGTTTTCTATTTTATTAATATCTGCTATACTTTATATATTTTTCCCTTGTTACATACTTTGGATTGTCTTTTTCTAGTTTCTTAAGGCAGAAGCTTAGGTTATTGATTTTACATCTTTTTTCCTAATACATTCATTTAATGCTATAAATTTATCTTTATGTACTGTTTCTACTGTATCTCATATATTTCAATAAGTTGTGATTCCATTTTCATTTAGCTCCAAATATTTTAATTACTCTTTAATCTTCTCTTGGGATGCATTTAGAAGTTTTGTTGAATCTTCAAATATTTGAAAAATTTTCAGCTCTTCCTGTTATTTATTTCTCCTTTAATTTTTATTGTGGTCTGATTTTATACTTTGTATAAACTTTATTCTTTGAAAAATTTTAAGATGTTTATGGCCCATAATGCAGTGTGTCTCATACAAACTAGAGAAGAATGTGTATTCTACTTTTGTTGAAGTATAATATAAATATCAATTATATTAACTTATTTTTATTTTATTTCATTTTGAGATGGAGCCTCACTCTGTCACCCAGGCTGGAGTGCAGTGATGCGAGCTTGGCTCACTGCAACCTCCACCTCCCAGGTTAAAGTGATCTTCCCACCTTAGCCTCCAGAGTAGCTGGGATTACAGTTGTGTGCCACCACACCCAGCTTATTTTTGTATTTTTTGTAGCAAAGGGGTTTCATCATGTTGGTCAGGCTCATCTCGAACTCTTGGTCTCAGGTGGTCCGCCTACCTTGGCATCCCAAAGTGCTGGGATTACTGGCATAAGCCGCCGTGCCTGACCTGCCTCCTATTTTAGTTAAGCGTCTTCTATGATTGCATTTTGTCTCAGCTCTTGGCATATCTCATCACCTCATAAGACATGATCTCATCACTTCTTTTAAAAACTTGTGGGGGTTTTCCTAGAATTGATTATATGCATTTTAGGTCTAATTTAAATAAATTAGAATTGATTATATGTATTTTAGGTCTATCTTCAAATAAAACTGTTACTTCACATGTGGTGTAAAAATACTACCAGATCATACCTCCTGTACCTTAAGACATTGCTATTGTTCATTTCACCTATCCACATTCTATAATTACCCAGTTTTTTTGTTACTAGTTATCTTATAGATCAATAAGAAAAATGTTTTTAACTTTGATTTATTCTTTTTCATTTATTGCTTCTTTACTGTGTATCCGAGTTTCTCACTTGTATCATTTTCTCTCCCCTTGAAGAACTTCCTTTAGTATTTCTTGCAAGACAGGTCAGCTGACAATGTATCACTTAAATTTGGTTTTTCTGAGAAAGTTTTCTATTTGCTTTGTTAAAAGAAATTTCAATATATAGAATGCTTTTATTTCCCTGAAGTCATATTGTGTGCAAAATTGGTGGGTTCTTGCTCTCACTGACTTCAAGAATGAAGCCGTGGACCCTCGCAGTGAGTGTTACAGTTCTTAAAGGTCGTGTGTCCGGAGTTTGTTCCTTCTGATGTTTGGACGTGTTCAGAGTTTCTTCCTTCTGGTGGGTTCGTGGTCTTCCTGGCTTCAGAAGTGAAGCTGCAGACCTGGTGGTGAAAGTTACAGCTCTTAAGGCGGCATGTCTGGAGTTGTTCATTCCCCCCCGGTCGGTTCGTGGTTTTGCTGGCCTCAGGAGTGAAACTGCAGACCTTCACGGTGACTGTAACAGCTCATAAAGGCAGTGCAGACTCAATAAGTGAGCAGCAACAAGATTTATTGCAAAGAGCAAAACAAGGTAGATTCCATAGCATGGAAGGGAACAGGAGCAGGTTGTGCACTGGGCTCTGGCAGCCTGCTTTTATTCCCTTATCTGGCCCCACCCACATCCTGCTGATTGGTCCATTTTAAAGAGCACTGATTGGTCCATTTTACAGAGAGCTGACTGGTCTGTTCTGACAGGGTGCTGATTAGTGTGTTTACAATCCCTGAGCTAGACACCGAGTGCTGATTGGTGCATTTATAATCCTCTAGCTAGACATAACAGTTTTCCAAGTCTCCACTAGGTTAGCTAGACACAGAGCACTGATTGGTGCATTTACAAACTTTTAGTTAGACACAGAGTGCTGATTGGTGTGTCCACAAACCCCGAGCTAGACACAGAGTGCTCATTGGTGCATTTGCAAACCTCCAGCTAGACATAAAAGTTCTCCAAGACCCCACTCCACTCAGGAGCCCAGCTGGCTTCGCCTAGTGGATCCCATGTCGGGGCCATGGGCAGAGCTGCCCGCCAGTCCCACGCAGTGCGCCCACACTCCTCAGCCCTTGGGCAGTCAATGGGACTGGGCGCCGCAGAGCAGCAGGTGGAACCTGTCAGGGAGGCTTGGGCTGCATGGGAGCCCATGGGGGGTGGGGTGGGTGGCTTGGGCATGGCAGGCTGCAGGTCCCAAGCCCTGCCCCATGGGGAGGTGGCTGAGGCTTGGTGAGAACTCGAGCGTGGTGTGGGAGGGCCAGCAGTGCTGGGGGACCTGGCGCACCCACTGCAGCTGCTGGCCCAAGTGCTAAGCCCCTCACTGCTCAGGGCCAGTGGCGCCAGTCGGCTGCTCTGAGTGCAGGGCCTGCCGAGCCACACCCACCCAGAACTCACACTGGCCTGCAAGTGCCGTGGGCAGCCCTGGTTCCTGCTGGCACCTCTCCCTCCACACCTCCCTGCAAGCAGAGGGAGCCGGCTCCGGCCTCGGCCAGCCCAGAGAGGGGCTCCCACAGTGCAGCAGCAGACTGAAGGGCTCCTCAAGCATGGCCAGAGTGGGCACCAAGGCTGAGGAGTCACCAGGAGCGAGTGAGGGCTGCCAGCACACTGTCACCTCTCAATATGTTGTTGAATATATTTTCAAATACTTAACTTGCCATTTTTATATTTTCTTCAGTGACTTGTTCATTTATATTTTCTCATTTTTTAATTGAATTATTTGCTTTCTTATGAAATTTGAAGGTTTTCTTGTGTATTTTGAATGATAGCCTTTATTACAGATTAGTGGATAAAGAAAATGTGGCATATACATGCAATGGAATATTATTCAGCCTTAAAAAAGAAGGAACTACTACTATTTGTGACAGTATTGATGGAACAGGAGAACATAATGCTAAGTGAAATAAGCCAGACACAGAAAAACAAATATGCTTCATAATCGAACTTATCTGTGAAATCTAAAAAATTTAAACTCATTAGTTTAAATTTATGCTTATGCTTTTATCTTATGCTTTTAGTTAAAAGATTAATACATTCCGGGGACCTAATATATAGCATAGTGTCTACAGCTGATAAGAATGTATTGTATACTTGAACTTTGCTAACAGGGTAGGTCTTACGTATTCCCATACAAACACACACAGACACACACAGAGAAAGTGCAACTTTGTAAGTTGATGAAAATGTTGACAGTGGCTATTACTTCACAATGTATACATACATCACATCATATTATATACCTTAAATATGTGCAATTTTTATTTATCAATCATACTTCAATGAAGCTAGAAAGAAAAATCAGGGAAAAACATTTGTACAGCGTAAGTAATTCATTATGAAAGGGATACATTTTCTAAAAATTATGATATCTTTTTCTATGCTTATTTTAGAATATTGTATTGTCATTGTGATTATTGCCACTATTTTCCTCTCTGCACCTGTATTCCTATCTTAGTCATAGTGACCAAATCTCCTCTGATAACACTTTGTATTTTTGCCCATCTGAAATTATATCTTAAATTCTAAAAAGTAAATATTTTCTGATTTTTAGGGAAAAAGAAGTATTTTTTAGATTTCCTAGGTGATGTCTAGAAAAATCATGACAATTTTTGACTTATAAAATGAGTGATGCTAAAAGAAACTAGGCTCTGGCCAGGCATGATGGCTCATGCCTGTAATCCCAGCACTTTGGGAGGCCTAGGTGGGCAGATCACCTGAGGTCGGGAATTTGAGACCAGCCTTACCAATGTGGAGAAACCCTGTCTGCACTAAAAATACAAAATTAGCTGGTTGTGGTAGCACATGCCTGTATTCCCAGCTACTCGGGAGACTGAGGCAGGAGAATCCCTTGAACCCAGGAGGCGGAGGCTGCAGTGAGCCGAGATGGCACCATTGCACTCTAGCCTGGGCAACAAAAGCAAAACTCTGTTACAACAACAACAACAACAAAAAAAAAGAATTAAGGCTCTTTTGGTGTGCCCCATATTTCTTCATTAGCTCTACACTTTAGTAAGTTTTAAATGTACAGTTCAGAGGGCGTTACATTCACCATATTAGGCAATCTTTACCACTGTCCATTTCCAGAACTCTTTAATCATGCCATACAGAAATTATGTTCAGGCATGGTGGCTCACGCTTGTAATCCCAGCACTTTGAGAGGCTGAGGCGGGTGGATAACCAGGTCAAGAGATCAAGACCATCCTGGCCAACAAGATGAAACCCAGTCTCTACTGAAAATACTAAAACTAGCTGGACATGGTGGCACGCACTTGTAATCCAAGCTACTTGGGAGGCTGAGGCAGGAGAATCTCTTGGGCCCAGGAGACAGAGGTTTCAGTGAGCTAGAATTGTGCCACTGCACTTTAGCCTGGTGACAGAGTGAGACTCTGCCTCAAAAAAAAAAAAAAAAAAAACTCTCTGTACCCATTAAACAATAACTTTTCACCCACACTAGTTCCTGGTAATGATTCTTCTTTCTGTCTCTATGATTTGCTTATTCTAAGTACTTCAGGCAATATTTATGCTTTTGCATCTGGCTTATTTTCACTAAACATAATATTTTCAAGGTTTATGCTATGCATGTTGTAGTGACTGACATTCTGTAGCATGTATCAAAATTTCATTCATTAATAAGGCTGAATAAGGTTTCATTATGTGAATATACTCTATTTCGTTTATACATTCATCTATTGATGAACATTTGAATTGCTTCCTGCTTTTGGCTACTGTAAATAATGCCACTGTGAACATTGGTGGTCAATATCTGTTGGAGTGTCTATTTTCAATTACTTTGGTCATGAACCTAGGCACAGAATTGCTGGATAACATAGTAGTTCTATGTTTAACCTTTGAGGAGCCACCAAACTGTTGTCCACAGCAGCTACACCATTTTACATTCCCACCAGCAATACACAAGGGTTCCCATTTACTCTAAATCCTCACTAACACTTGTTATTTTCTGGGTTTTTTTTTTTTATAGTCATCCTAATGGGTATGAAATGATATCTCATCTTGATTTTGATTTGCATTTTGCTAATGGCTAGTGATATTGAGCCTCTTTTCATGTGCTTGTTGGCCATTCAAATAGCTTTTTTAGATAATTATCTATTCAAGTCCTTTGCCTATTTAACAAATTGAACCCTTTATTATTTGTTGTTGAGTTGTAGGAGGTTTTTTGTTTTTGAGATGGAGTTTCTCTCTTTTTGCCCAGGCAGGGGTGCAATGGCACTATCCCAGTTCACTGCAACCTCCGCCTCCCAGGTTCAAGTGATTCTCCCGCCTCAGCCTCTCAAGTAGCTGGGATTACAGGCACATGCCACCACGCCCAGCTAATTTTGTATTTTTAGTAGAGACAGGGTTTCATCATGTTGGCCAGGCAGGTCTTGAACTCCTGACCTGCAGTAATCTACCCGCCTCAGCCTCCCAAAGGGCTGGGATTACAGGCCTGAGCCACCACACCCAACCAAGAGTTCTTTATATATTCTATTACACATATTGTATCCACATATATTGATGTCATATCACATATGTGATTTGCAGATATCTTCTCCCATTCTTTGAGTTGTTGTTCCACTGTCTTGACGGTGACTTTTAATGCACCAAACTTAATTTTGATGAAAAGTAATTTATTTGTTATTTTTTTCATTCTATGTACCTATGGTGTCATATCTAAGAAATCATTGCTAAATCTGACATAAAGAATATTTTCTCCTATGTTTTTTACTGAGAGTTTGAGAGGTGTAGCTCTTACTTTTAAGTATTTGATCCATTTTAGTTTATTTTTGTATATTATATAAGTTAAGGGCCTAAACTTCATATTTTGCCTGTGGGTATCCAGTTTTCCCAGTACCATTTGTTGTCATTAATCTGTATTGTTTCTAACATAGTTGTCTTATTCTAACATTTCTTGTTTTGGAGGAAAAATATCTGTAATTTTTTTTTCACTTGCTCTTGGAACCAGCTTTCCCACCTACTGATTTCCTCAGGAGTAAGTAAAATAAATTTTGACAGAGGTTTATTTTGTATTTGTATGAGAGTTGTATTATAAAGCTTATTATTAAGTTTTATTATTAAGCAGAGAAAATTATACTCTAGCCATGTAAATATCCACAGTGTATTACTTTTCGAATGTCCTGATTTCTTTTCTTGCTATAAAGAAAACTCAGGGAATTTATGGTAACATATCTGAATGGCTGAGTCAGGCAGCCATTGTCAATTGGTCGGTCAGGACTGTACATAGATTTTGAAACAAACAACAGCTACAATGACAATTTCTTAAAGACAGAGAATGTAAACCCATGCTTTCTTTGCTCTTCTCCCAAGGAACATAACCAGGCCCGTTTTTTATTCTGAGACTTCTCTACAGGGGTCTTTCATGTGTTCTATGACAGATAACTTGATGGATCTCAAGTGGGTTAAAACTAAAATAATACAGTGTGAGACACCCAGTTGTGTCCTTGTAAGCATTATATGCCGACATTTGCAGTAGGCGTTCATGAAATGATTTAAGGCTTTGAGATCCTGGAACAAACTTAGAACCACTGTATTAATAGTGGCTACACACTAGTATTAGCCAGAGGGTTTTTGAAAGATTATGTTGATTTCTTAGATATATTTGTGTCATACAGGCAACTGCAAGTTAATCTCTGCTCTCAATGAAAGGCTTAATGTGGACACCTATAAAACCCCAGCTGTCATAACTTGCAGGAATCTCCCTAAAGGGACAGCATCATGCCCAGTAGGGCAACATTAATTTCCTCAGGACAGATCAGCAATTAAAAAAAAATACAGGACTAGGCATGAGTCAACTTTTCCCTTAAAATTGTATTTCTCATCTAAATGAAAGCACATTTTTAAGAAAGAAATATGTGTAAGATAAAGAAATATTAATATAAGGGCTACAGTACACATAATACAAAGGAAATGAAGAGAGGAGGCTAAATATAAAAGTTGTGGGTGGTAAGTTATACTCAGCTACTTCATTTGACAGTTTAAGAAGTCTGATCTAAGGCAAAAGGAGTAACTTCTATCTCTTTGGAAAAGTGAATTGATAATATGCCATTGCCAATAACTGAAGATGGTATCAGTGTTCTCTAGATTTTTAAAATATTGTAAGCCATTTGTTCATGTAAAAATTGTTAATTATCTTGCTTGCTGTGGGCTTTTAAAAAAGAATTAAGGGCTATTCTTTTTAGTAAACATGTACAGTCTCTGTATTGAAAAAATCAGATTGTGAATTGACTTGCTATCCTTTCCTTCAATCCAAACTTTAGCCTGGAATGCAAAAGTGGCATGGGATTCAGAGTAAATTAAGTGAAGATAGAAATGACCATTAGCAACAGAAGAAAACTAATACTAATAACTCATTTTTAAAAAGCAACATATTGGCCGGGCATAGTGGCTCATGCCGGTAATCCCAGCGTTTTGGCAGGCGGAGGTGGGTGGATCACTTGAGGTTAGGAGTTCGAGACGAGCCTGGCCAACATGGTGAAACCCCATCTCTATTAAAAATACAAAAAACGAGCCAGAGTGGCAGGTGCCTGCCTGTGATCCCAGATACTTGGGAGGCTGAGGCAGGAGAATCGCTTGAATCTGGGGGATGGGGATTGAATGAGTTAAGATGGCACCACTGCACTCCAGCCTGGGGGACAGAAGGAGACTATGTCTAAAAAAAAAGAAAAAAGAAAAAAAGAAAAAGCAGCATATTATGCTTATGCTTAGGATTGAGGCTGAACTACCACTTAAATTGTCCTTACTGTATCCTTTCACTCTTCCTTTCCTAAGATTCCACATAGATTTTGTAGAGAAGTCCAAACTCAACATAATTTGTTTACATTACTAAGGTCTTTAAAATTTTAAATAAAGTATTTACCTTAACCAAAACTAAATGCCCAGAGACTTGTCTCCACAGAAAATGAGCTTAATGCATGCTTTTCTTAAACACTTGCCAAACCTTAAACTTAAGCCCATTTTACAGTGCAAGTAGTGGTTAACTTTTTTGCCTTTTTGCCTTTTTTTTTTCTCCATTTCCTTAGCCAGATATGACTTTCTTTCTTTCTTTCTTTCTTTTCTTTTCTTTTCTTTTCTTTTCTTCTTCTTCTTCTTCTTCTTCCTCTTCCTCTTCCTCTTCCTCTTCCTCTTCTTCTTCTTCTTCTTCTTCTTCTTCTTTTTTTTTTTTTTTTTTTTTTTTTTTTTTTTTTTTTTTTGAGATGCAGTCTTGCTCTGTTGCCCAGACTGGAGTGCAATGGCATGATCTCGGCTCACTGCAACCTCTGCCTCCCAGGTTCAAGTGATTCTCCTGCCCCAGCCTTCCGAGCCACTGGGATTACAGGCATCCACCACCATGCCCAGCTAATTTTTGTATTTTTAGTAGAGATGGAGTTTCACCATGTTGGCTAGGGTGGTCTCAATCTCTAGACCTTGTGATTTGCCCACCTCAGCCTCCCAAAGTGCTGGGATTACAGGCATGAGCCACCGCGCCTGGCCATGCCTATATTTTTAAAGGATCAAAGGTTTATCCAAAATAAAGAGAAGCTACAGGATTTTGTTCAGAGATTCAGTCAAAACTTGGTAAGACAGATAATTTAGAGAAAGCTTTGATCTTATCAATGTTTATATCAGCTGAAAGGAACACCTGCACACTCAGAGTCTTTCCTAGTGATTAAAGAATTTAATTTTCATTCAAAATTCACAGTAAGGAATTGTTGTAAGAAAATGCTGGATTTCAATATACCGTTTTCTCCTTCCTTTTGTTATTTTAACAGCCTAATACGCTATGTGTAAGGTCAACATGAGGAGAGACAAAAAGAACAAGTTTATAAATGCGGTTATACTCTCCCCTAACCTAGGAAACAATGACAATATTGACATTAAAATTGTGCATTGTATATAATTTCCTCTGCTTTTAGTCATACTATTATCTGAGATCTTTTTTTCACCTCTGGCTTTCATGGGAAATTTTTTTTTTACAATTGGTGTGCCATTTTGAATGTTGCCCATAACCACCATTAGAAGTGTATGGGAGTTTTTGTTTCTTTGTTTTGGAAGATATTGTTCTTAAAATGAAATTAATTTTTTTTAGAATATAAAATGTATCAAGGCAAGGACATTTCTTTCTTTCCTTTTTTTTTTTTTTTTGAGACGGAGTCTCACTCTGTCTCCCAGGCTGGAGTGCAGTGGCGCCATCTCGGTTTACTGCAAGCTCCGCCTGCTGGGTTCACACCATTCTCCTGCCTCAGCCTCCCGAGTAGTGGGACTAGAGGTGCCCGCCACCACGCCTAGCTAATTTTTTTGTATCTTTAGTAGAGAGGGGGTTTCACCGTGTTAGCCAGGATGGTCTCGATCTCCTGACCTCATGATCCGCCCACCTCGGCCTCCTAAAGTGCTGGGATTACAGGCGTGAGCCACCGCGCCCGGCCAAGGCAAGACATTTCTAAAAGAAATACTTGAACAGTTGATCGGTGAATTCACCAGTAAGTTTAAGTCAATTTAAAATTAACTTAGCAAATCATATGTTCATAGCACTCTGTGGACCGGCAGGGAATACAAAAATGAAAAAAATCCTGACACTGTTTCATCAGTGGAGAGAGGTCACTAACTTAGTAAAATGTAAGGCAGAGTAATGTATGTGCTAAATTATGGCATATACAATAAAGGCTGCTGGAACCAAAGGATATGTCAATGAGTTTCAATAAAGGTTCAGGGACATCTTCAGAGAGAACAGAATACTGGAATTTTTTAATTTAAATTTTATGGGGGATAGTAGGGAATTCCAGGTGGCCAGATGGTTTGAGTAAATGCATGGTAGTTAGAATGTGTTGGCTCTGTTCATGAAACAATGAATTCTGTATGCCTGGGACAGTGGGTACTGGTGTGAACATGGAAGAAAAGATGTGGGGGCAAAGGAGAAAAGAAGAAAAGGGAGAAATGAGAATTTCTATATCCATCATGCCAAACATTGCAATTTTACCTTCTAGACCAAGAAGAGATTTTACGGTTTTTTTGAGCAGACAAGTGACAAAATGAGATATTTATGCTTTAGAAAGGTTAACTGTAGCAAAATGTAGAAAATATTTTAAGAAATGAGAAATAAAGAGTATATGTTAAACTTCGAGGTATTTTAAAAATAGGCTAAATTAAGAGCCTAAACTAGGAAATTATTTTTTCTAGGAGAAATAATGTGTTGCTACTAATAAACATGATAGGAGAAAATTGATGGGAATCAGTGACTAATTAAACATGAGATGTTAAGGAAATAAAATAATTCGATAGAATTCCAAGGTTTTATGCCTGGGTAACTGGGAGGATAGTGATGCCTTTTGCAGAGGTAGGAAATGTTGAAGATACAACTGATTTTTGAGGGCTAGTAATTTTACAAAGTCATGTACTGTGTAAATTCATTTCAGTCAACGTGGACCACATATTGGTCCTATAGGATTGTAATGGAGCTGAAAAATTCCTGTTTCCTAGTGATGTCATTCTCAATATAACATCATCGCACTATGCATTACTCACATGTCTGTGCTGATGCTGGTGTAAACAGACTGTGCTGCCAAGGCTATAAAAGTCTAGCACATACAATTACTTACAGAACATAATAGATGATAATGATAAGAAGTGACTATATTAGTGGTTTATATATTTACTACTCTATTCTTTTTTTGTTTATTTATTTATTTATTTATTTATTTATTTATTTATTTATTTTCAGGTTGGAGTTGCAATGGTGTGATTTCGGCTCACTACAACCTCCACCTGCTGGGTTCAAGCAATTCTTCTGCCTCAGCTTCCCGAGTAGCTGGGATTACAGGTGCTCGCCACCATGCCTGGCTGATTTTTGTATTTTTAGTAGAGATGGGGTTTCACCATGTTGGCCAGGCTGGTCTTGAACTCCTGCCCTCAAGTGATCCACCCGCCTTGGCCTCCCGAAGTGCTGGGATTACAGGGGTGAGCCACCACGCCCAGCCCTGGTTATCACTTTTTGAGAATGTACTACTTATTAAAAAATAAATAAATAAACTGAACAGTAGAGCAACTTCAGGCATGTCCCTCAGGAGGTGTCCAGAAAGAAGGATTGTTATCATAGGAGATGACAGCTTCATGCGTGTTGTTGCTCCAAAGAGCTTCCAGCGGGACAGGATATGAAGGTGGAAGACAATGATGTTGATGATCCTGATCCTGTATAGGCCCAAACTAATATGTGTTTGTGTTAGTTTTTTATAAAAGAGTTAAAAAGTAACACAAAAATTAAAAATAGCAAAAAGCTTGTAGACTGGGATATAAAGAAAAAAAAATTTTCTTATAGCTGTACAATGTGTTTGTGTTTTAAGCTAAGAATTATGACAAAGGAGCCAAAAAGGTAAAAAAAAAGTGTGTAATGTCAGAAAGTTACAGTAAGCTAAAGCGAATTTATTATTGATAAAAGAAAACAATTTTAAAAATGTATTTGATATAGCCTAAGTGCACATCCAGTGTTGCTTAAGTCTACAGCAGGGCCCATAATGTCCTAGGCCTTCATATCCACTCACCACTCACTCACTCACTCACTTACCCAGAGCAACTTCCAGCTCTGCAAGCTGCATTCATGTTAAGTGCCCTCTACAAGTGTACCCTTTTTTTTTTTAACTGCACCTTTTCTATGATTAGACGCAAAAATACCTACCATTGTGTTACAATTGCGGTATTTAGTACAGTAACATGCTGTACAGGTTTGTAGCCTAGAAGCAATAGGCTATACCATATAATCTAGGAGTGTAGTAGGCTATCCCATCTAGGTTTGTGTACGTACACTCTTAAGATGTTTGCACAATGACAAATTTGCCTAATGACACATTTCTCCAAACATATCCCATCATCAAGTGATGCATGCCTGTATGCACACATATGCAGGGGCATGCAGAGAGGGCAATTCCTATGCCCTCTTTATGCTTTATGCTTGCTATACCTGTTACTCACCCTCACCACAATCTTATCCCAGAGACAGGCAACATTATTTTCCCCATTTCACAAATAAATAAACTGAACACAGGTAATTTATTTAACTTGCCTAAGATCACATAACTAGAAAAGAGAGAAAATAAATTTAAGCTGATTGTAGAGCTCTTTCTATTAATGACTATGCTATACTTTCTTATGTTCTTTCTAGCTTTGATCATGATTTTATGAAGGAAAACAAAATAGATTAACAAAATTCAAAAATCTTTAACTTTTTTTTTTTTTTTTTTTTTTTTTTTTTGAGACAGAGTTTCTTTTGTTGCCCAGGCTGGAGTGCGGTGGCACCATCTCGGTTCACTGCAACCTCTGTCCCCTGGCTTCAAGCGATTCTCCTGCCTCAGCCTCCTGAGTAGCTAGGAAAACAGGCAAATGTCACCAAGCCTGGCTAATTTTTGTATTTTTTATTAGAGACAGGGTTTCACCATATTGGCCAGGCTGGTCTCAAACTGGGATTACAGGCATGAGCCACCACGCCCGGCCATCTTTAACATAAAATTTAAAAACCTTGATTCAGGTTATAAAGTGAGGGATAAATGGGGCCAGGCGAGGTGGCCCACCCATGTAATCTCAGCATTTCGGGAGGCTGAGGTGGGCGGATTGCCTGAGGTCAGGAGTTCGAGACCAGCCTGGTCTTGAATAGAAAACTTTGTAAGCATGCATAGTAGGAAGTATTTCTTTTTTTTAAGACGTGTTCTTGTTCTGTCACCCAGGCTAGAGTGCAGTGGCACGATCTCGGCTCACTGCAACTTCTGCCTTTCAGGTTCAAGCAATTCTCCTGTCTCAACCAATGGAGTAGCTAGGATTACAGGTGCATACCACCATGCCCATCTAATTTTTGTATTTATAGTAGAGACGGGATTTAGCCGGGTTGGCCTGTCTGGTCTCGAACTCCTGAGCTCAGGTGACCCGCCCCTCGGCCTCTCAAAGTGCTGGGATTACAGACGTGAGCTACCTGCCTAGCTGGGAGTAATTATTACTAGTGTTCTTTCTCCTTTTAATTCTTTAGTTTGTTAAGTGCAACTGTGGAAAAGGTTTATTTGTTCCTGGAGATTACATGAAAAAATTAAGTTAATCTACCTAAACATAAATTACCCAGTTTTAGAATAGAGTCAGATTTTTATTAGGGATGTCATTCAGCTAACTTAATGTATTTTTCTGCCATAGTTCATATTTTCTGTGCTATCCCATCTAGGTTTGTGTAAGTACACTCTAAGATGTTTGCATTTCCTGTATGTTTGTATTTCCTATATGCCTGATTTATGTTGGAGAATAGTATCTCTTTTTTTTTTTTTTTTTTGAGATGGAGTCTTGCTCTGTCGCCCGGGCTGGAGTACAGTGGCGCAATCTCGGCTCACTGCAACCTCCGCCTCCCGGGTTCACGCCATTCTTCTGCCTCAGGCTCCCGAGTAGGTGGGACTACAGGCGCCCGCCGCTACGCCCGGCTAATTTTTTTTTTTTTTTTTTGCATTTTTAGTAGAGACGGGGTTTCACCGTGTTAGCCAGGATGGTCTCGATCTCCTGACCTCGTGATCCGCCTGCCTTGGCCTCCCAAAGTGCTGGGATTACAGGCTTGAGCCACGGCACCCTGCCAGAGAATAGTATCTTTAGATGTAGGAGCATACCGTGAGCATCTACATCATGGCAAACGGCTTTGCATTTTGCACTCTATACTCATTGCCAAAACAAGGTTTGATAATCCTACTAAAAACCAGACATGAATCAATAAACACCAAAAGCCAATAATTTTACAATCTCAAAATAGTGCAGTTTTTAGAATTGTGATATTTAGGGTTTATTTATTTTCTCCATCAATTGTCATTAGAAAACTAGTAAGAAAAGGGGTGGAATTAACAGTTAAAAAAAATCAGATGAACACCTTGCTTATTATAATAAAGAATTACAAAGTAATCCAATACCTGCAACCTAGAGAATGAGGTTCACATCAATTCATATGTTATATATAAAAGCAAAGATTGGTTCTGCTACATACATCAGGCTTATTAAGTCACACTAGACAACTGAGGTTGCCTAAGACATCATTGCCCTGGACTTGCAAGAGCCTCCAACTCCAGTTAAGGTGATAAGAAAAAATGAAAAAGAGCAACCTAGCAATTTTCACAGGCCTCAGAAAACTGGGGCCACATCAAACCCAATCACAGGTTATACCAATTTGATTTATAACAATAAAAGAACCATCTGCTTATACTTGAGTTACAAGCACATCCCTTTGTAGACATCCACATAATAGAAAGCCAGGGCAGGTGACTCACAGTAGAACAAAGAGTTCATGTCAAGCGAAGGAAATTCTGCACTTAGATGAAATTTTATCAGCTCATTTAATTAAAAGGTGGTAAGTAGGCATAAGTAAGAAAACCATAAGCAGACATAGTCAACATACTAGGTAAGTAAAACCAAATCCAGGAGGTTGTATTTAGTAATCTTCATTTCAGATTTCTTTGGAGAATTGTAGTTTGGCTTATGTCTTTTCACTATGACACAGAAATTTTATTCACTGTTTAAAATATCTCCTAAGATGTAGCTTGAGTCAAACAGGAAAACATATTGCAACATTCTCTCTTTTACCTCCCCAAAGCACTGTAATATGGATTTTGGAAATATTTCCTCATTGTCCTTTAGTTTTTGGAATGATGTCTGAGATAGTGCTGTATGTAAATACAATGATATTCCATATATCCTGTAAGTTTGTCTATTCGGAAAGTTTCACTTACATACATGTGTAAATCACAATCCCTGGTGATGTATCAACCAGAAATTTTATGTCTGAGCCTAAAAGGAAGTGTTGAGTCTTTCCATTTCTCGCTTAAATAATTAGAAATTAAAAGTGCCTCTTCCGCATTCTACAGTTTATGTAATATTGAAAGAAGGAATTTTGGCAAAGTAACTGAGGTTATATGTTCAGTTCAATTTATAAATTCAGTGACATCTAAAATAATCAGTAGATACTCCATATATTATACATAATCACCATTGTTTCTGTTTTCAAGTACAGAGAAAAAAATAATTGTATTACATGTTACAACCTTTGGTAAATTCTTTTCTAAATTGACGGGAAGAGCACAGCAAATCAAAGGTTGATGACATAAAATAGTGGACCAAACTTCAGCTCTAAAAAGTTAACAAATCTTGGCCGGGCGCGGCGGCTCACGCCTGTAATCCCAGCACTTTGGGAGGCCGAGACAGGCGGATCACGAGGTCAGGAGATGGAGACCATCCTGGCTAACACAGTGAAACCCTGTCTCTACTGAAAACACAAAAAAATTAACCGGGCATAGTGGTGGGTGCCTGCAGTCCCAGCTACTCCGGAGGCTGAGGCAGGAGAATGGCGTGAACCTGGGAGGCGGAGCTTGCAGTGAGCGGAGATCGCTCCACTGCACTCCAGCCTGGGCGACTGAGTGAGACTCTGTCTCAAAAAAAAAAAAAAAGTTAACAAATCTTGGACTCTGCTTGCTTAGTTGTGAAATAGGGATAACATTCCCACCTACGAGTCTCTCATGAAGTGGCTGTAGGATTGATTTGAGAAAAATATGCATAAAGGTACTTTGGAAATTTTAAAACTGCATCCTAATGACAGGTGACAGCGTGCTGGCAGTCCTCAGCCCTCGCTTGCTCTCGACACCTCCCCTGCCTGGGCTCCCACTTTGGTGGCATTTGAGGAGCCCTTCAGTCCCCCACTGCACTGTGGGAGCCCCTTTCTGGGCTGACCAAAGCCGGAGCCCACTCCCTCAGCTTGCAGGGAGGTGTGGAGGGAGAGACACGAGCAGGAACCGGGGCTGTGTGCGGCACTTGCGGGCCAGCTGGAGTTCCGGGTGGGCGTGGGCTTGGTGGGCCCCGCACTCGGAGCAGCCAGCCAGCCCTGCTGGCCCTGGGCAATGGGGCACTTAGCACCCGGGCCAGTGGCTGCGGAGGGTGTACTGGGTCCCCCAACAGTGCAGGCCCACCGGCACTGCGCTCCATTTCTCGCTGGGCCTTGGCTGCCTTCCCACGGGGCAGGGCTCGGGACCTGCAGCCCACCATGCTTGAGCCTCCCACCCCCTCCATGGGCTCCTGTGCGGCCCGAGCCTCCCTGACGAGCGCCAACCCCTGCTCCAAGGCGCCCAGTCCCCTCAACCACCCAAGGGCTGAGGAATGCGAGCGCATGGCACAGGACTGGCAGGCAGCTCCACCTGCAGCCCCAGTGCGGGATCCACTAGGTGAAGCCAGCTGGGCTCCTGAGTCTGGTGAGGACGTGGAGAACCTTTATATCTAGCTCAAGGATTGTAAATACACCAATCAGCACCCTGTGTTTAGCTCAAGGTTTGTGAGTGCACCAATCGACACTCTGTATCTAGCTGCTCTGGTGAGGACGTGGAGAACCTTTATGTCTAGCTCAAGGGTTGTAAATACACCAATCGGCACTCTGTATCTAGCTCAAGGTTTGTAAACACACCAATCAGCACCCTGTGTTTAGCTCAAGGTTTGTGAGTGCACCAATCGACACTCTGTATCTAGCTGCTCTGGTGGGGCCTTGGAGAACCTGTGTGTGGAAACTCTGTATCTAACTAATCTGATAGGGAGGTGGAGAACCTTTGTATCTAGCTCAGGGATTGTAAACGCACCAATCAGCGCCCTGACAAAACAGGCCACTGGGCTCTACCAATCAGCAGGATGTGGGTGGGGCCAGATAAGAGTATAAAAGCAGGCTGCCCCAGCCAGCAGTGGCAACCTGCTCAGATCCCCTTCCACACCGTGGAAGCTTTGTTCTTTCGCTCTTTGCAATAAATCTTGCTACTGCTCACGCTTTGGGTTCACGCTGCTTTTATGAGCTGTAACACTCACCGCGAAGATTTGCAGCTTTGTTCTTGAGCCCAGCGAGCCCACGAGCCCACCAGGAGGAACGAACAGCTCCAGACGCGCTGCCTTAAGAGCTGTAACACTCGCCGCGAAGGTTTGCAGCTTCACTCCTGAGCCAGCGAGACCACGAACCCAGCAGAAGGAAGAAACTCCGAACACATCTGAACATCAGAAAGGACAGACTCCAGACGCGCCACCTTAAAAGCTGTAACACTCACCGCGAGGGTCCGCGGCTTCATTCTTTAAGTCAGTGAGACCAAGAACCCACCAATTCCGGACCCACTAATTACAGTAAAATTATACAATTAGATTTGAATGATGCCAGTTCGTTGGGGGTGAAATAAGTTGCAGAAGAACTCCCTGAAAACGCAACACGTGTGTCATGTAATGTTTGTCATCAAGGATGACAAGGTTTCACTTTACTTAGGTCAGAAAGGCTTTGGTTTTTTTTTTTTGTTTTTTTTTTTTGAGACAGAGTCTTGCTCTGTTGCCTAGGCTCGAGTGCAGTGGTGCAATCTTGGCTCACTGAAACCTCCACCTCCCAGGTTCACGCCATTCTCCTCCCTCAGCCTCCCGAGTAGCTGGGACTACAGGTGCCCGCCACCCTGCCTGGCTAATTTTTTGTATTTTTGGTAGAGACGGGGTTTCACCGTGTTAGCCAGGATGGTCTCCATCTCCTGACCTCGTGATCTGCCTGCCTCGGCCTCCCAAAGTTCTGGGATTACAGGCCTGAGCTACGGTGCCCGGCCGAAAGGCTGTGGTTTTATTCCCTCAACACACTAGGTACTTCTGCTTTGAGTACATGTTTTCCAAAAGCTAGAACTCTCCAGTCAAAAGGCTACTTTCTGAACATAAAAAACAGGTTTACTTCAACACATGATGTCTGCAGGAAGAGTCAAATGAAACAAAACTATTGAATCATTTCCCAGAATAGTCATAGTATACAAAATTTGGAACAGAATTGGATCATAGTTGTAGTTTGAGTCCCTTTCCAGGTATAAATCCCGCCTTTAAAGTGGAAGAGTATACAAATTGTGTAATACAGGTGCAAATTATAGACTATACATGACTGGAATTTCAGAGGCATGTATGCAATATAAGTTTAGCATGTAGAGATAGCCAACTGGGTAAACATAATTGATCCATGCTGCTATGAAAGATAATCAAAGCTGAAGTTGATTGCTAGTTACACATTTCGATCTTTTGCAGTGAATTATGATAAGCAGATGCAGATTTCCTTGTTTCAGCCATTTCCCCTAAAATCCATCCTACATAAGGAAATTTCCTTTATGAATATGTCAGTTGTGTCTTTACAGGTGTTCCAAAACATACTATCGTAAGATTTGTGAATAAATATAATGGATGGAAGCAAATTAATTTTTTAGAATCTAATAATTTTAAAAGTCATCCTAACTGAGGTTTACTTGCAATACAATAAAATACATCCAAATTAAGTACAAACATATAAAGTTATGTGGCTACGACCACAATCAGCATATTGAAGCTATCACCTCAAAAGTTATTTTGTACTCATTACCCAAACCTCTGACCCCAAGCACCCATTGATCTGCAACCTGCCACTATAAATTCAGTTTCCAGAATTTCATAGTAATAAACTTGTATAATATGGCTACTGTTGTTTCATTCTCTCAGTATGTTTTAGGCTTACCTATGTTGCAAAAATCAGTGGTTCATTCTGTTTTATTCTATTGTATGGAAATACCAAAATATGTTTATCCTTTAGCTTGTTGGTGAACCATTTGCAAATGTTTCTATTCCTTGATTATTACAAGTAAAGCGGCTACCTTCATTTGTATGCACATGTTTTCATTTCTCTTGAGTAAGTATCTAAGAATGGAATATTCTGGGTCAAATGGTAAGTGTATGTTTGTTAAAAAACCTGCCAAACTGCAATCCAAATTGATTATCTACTTTATACACCCACCTAAATATGATAATTCAGGGTGTTGTATGTCCTCTCAAACGTTAAGAATTGACATTTTTTGGATCTATTACAGTTTCTGTGCAGTGTTATTACATTTTGATTTTAAATTCCATTCCCAGGTGGTTAATAATCCATTTTTTAGTGTTTATCGATCATTCATATATTTTTTGTTGTTGTCTACTGAAATCTCTTGCCCATTTTGTTATTGGGTTGTTTGACTTCTTACTATGGAGTCTGATATGTTTTTTATATATTCCCAATAAAGTCTTTTGTCAAATTCTTTTTCTTTCTCTTTTTTTCTTCCTCTCAAACCATATCTTTATCTATCCATCTATATCTATACAACTATAAAAACATAAACTCATACGACTCAACAACATAACACAAGCAAGCCACAGTATAAGTCAGGGAGATAGGAAGGCTGCAGGATTTGAAGAGTCCAGAGCAGGACAGGGCTCTACAGCAGGTCCAGGCTGCAGTGCGAGCAGCCTGCTGCTTGGGCCATGTGATCTGGCAGGACCTGTATTCTTGAAGGTGTCAGTGGTGGGAGCAGTGTGGCCCACATGGCAATTCTCAGTGAAAGGATTACAACACCAGCTCCTGGGATTCTGAAACAAAGCCACGCCCTCCATAGCAGAGAATTATGTGTTGGACCTGGGAGAGATGCTGTGCTCGATCATGCATCTGGCACTGTCTCTTGCAGGCTGAGTTCTATTGGAAACACCAAGTCATGACACGAGAAGGGGCAAGAAGTAGTTCATCGTGAGGTGGAAATCAGAAATATGAGACAAAGGCCAAGCAAGACAACAGCAAGTGAATAAATTGAATAGCAGGTAACCCAAATCCTTGTGTCACCTACCATGTTTGCACCAGCAACCTTCCTTCAGCTCACACCTGTGTCTGCATTTGTGTCCCTGTGGCCATCCAAAGGAGGGAGAAAGAGGAAATCTCTATTTAAAAGTGTAGTTACGGCCAGGCACGGTGGCTTACGCCTGTAATCCCAGCGCTTTGGGAGGCCGAGGCGGGCAGATCACGATGTCAGGAGATGGAGACCATCCTGGCTAACACGGTGAGACCCCGTCTCTACTAAAAAAAAATACAAAAAATTAGCCAGGCGTGGTGGCAGGCGCCCATAGTCCCAGCTATGCAGGAGGCTGAGGCAGGAGAATGGCGTGAACCCAGGAGGCGGAGCTTGCAGTGAGTGGAGATGCGCCACTGCACTCCAGCCTGGGCGACAGAGCGAGACTCCGTCTCAAAAAAAAAAAAAAAAAAAAAAGTGTAGTTGCATTACAGCCCAATGCAAGAGTGACTCTGGAAGACAGAAGGAAGTGAAAATCTTCCCAATTAGCAGCACTGGGAGCAGTAGCCCCAGCCATCTACTTTACATAGAAGGAAACGTGGCCTGAGGCAGGAATATAAACAGATTTCTTTGCCCTGGTCAGTGGGTGAATCATCTGGTTAGAGGCTTAGATAGAAAAGAACTGAAATATCTGAGACAAGGAAGCCGGGTTAGAAGCATCTGAGTGGACATGCAGGAGCAGGCATGGAGGGTAAAGAATCTTGTATCACTCATTAACACTCACAAGAAAGCACTCGGGGTTGGGCGGGGTGGCTCATGCCTGTAAACCCAGGACTTTGGGAGGCTGAGGCGGGCGGATCACCTGAGGTCACGAGTTCGAGACCAGCCTGGCCAACCCATCTCTACTAAAAATACAAAAATTAGCTGGCTGTGGTGGTGGGCACCTGTAATCCCAGCTACTTGGGAGGCTGAGGCAGGAGAATTGCTTCAACCCAGGAGGCGGAGGTTGCAGTGAGCCGAGATAGCGCCACTGCACTGCAGCCTGGGAGACAGACAGAGACTCCATCTCAAAAAAAAAAAAGAAAGAAAGCACTCACCACAGAAGAGGCACTCAATAACCAATTAGACAAAATGACTTGACAAGCTGCCAGCCTTGGAGATTGGCTTTCCCACAGTAAGCACAACAGTCACACATATGGAGTCACACATATGGAGTCACACATATGACCACATTGGCAGAGATGGACGATACATATGGGCCCCATAGCCTGGACTCCTATGTATCAAGGTTGATCTAACTACTGCTGCCTCTGACTGTCCTACTTTTCAGCAAGGTAAATCAATATTGAGACTCTGACATGACAAGTCTTTTGATTTTGAATGACCACCTGTTCATCCTCAGAGGGTTTGGCACTTCTGTTCACAGAGCCTGAGCCAGGACCACTTTTCTGAGGCTTCCGGGATTCCTGATCCACAGGCATAAAATCCCACATGATATAGCATCTGACCAGGGTTCCCTGTTCACAGTTAAGGATGTGCAGAAGTGGGTCCATGACCATGTAATCTACTATTTGTATTACATACACACTTCAAGAAGCAGCTGGACTCATGGAGCCCTGTAGAAACATTCTAAAGATGAAACTGAAGCACCATGCCAAAGGAGATATTCTGAATGCAGGGGGCACCATCTTTTATACATATTCCATCACAGATCTTTATATGGTATTCTTCCTTCATAGGAAGAATCTATAGGTTCAGAAAAGAAGAGGTAGAAACAGGAATGTCCCCAATTACAAGTGTTCCCAATAATCTTCTAAGGTTCTCCCATGCTTCTCATCAGTGCAGCTCTGGGATCTGGAAGGCAGGCAAGTCTTGCTCTCTAAAGAAGGTTATCTGTTGCATGCTTTAGATTCCTTAGGTCCAGCAACCAAAAGACAAGAAATACATCACCATCCAGCAGGATGAATACACCCTGATTAGCAGGAGGAGGTAGGGCTGCTTTTCCACAAAAGAAGCAGAGATAATCTTTCTCTCTCTCTCTCTCTCACACACACACACACACACACACACACATACACACACTGATACACACACACACTCTCCCCACTCCTATACTCTCTCTTTCTCTGTTCCCCTCTCACAACTGGGCATTCAAAGGCAGTTCTGAGACCAATCGCTATAGCATGGGCTCATTAACCTTCCTTTTCTAAGATTCCCCTTGGGAAAGAGAGGCTTATGGGAATTTTGGAAGCACTGGTATGAAGAACGTGTTTGGACAAATATGTCTGTGCAGTGTTGGGATTTGGAGGTGGGGATAATGGATTTTAATGACCATGGAAATTTGCAATGCAGATATCCTGACTTGGACAGCATAAGTCAATGACAGCCTTCCTTTAGCCCTGTCTGTCTCTGGACTCACTTCTACACTTGTGCAGCAGTCATGTTTCCACAGTCATAGAGCACAGTGAGGATTGTATGTGAGGACTTTGCCAGTAAGTTGTGAGATTCTCCAATGGCCAACTTTAATTTGAGGAGTCCCCACTGACCTGGCCAAAGCATTCTTGGAACCATGCTGCAGTCTCTTTCTACCCCAATCAGCCTTCCTTCCCTCTTTCCCTCTACAGGTATAAGATCTGAACCCTAGTCTGAAGATTCTTCCCACCTTCTCCCACTTCCTCCTCCTTCACTCTTGCAAATTTAATTCCATGGCGGTGTTTGCCCTCAGCAGATCTAGAGCTTAATTCAAGTCATATGATCAGATAAGATGAAAAATAACTTAAGATGTCGTTCATAACAGGTGAGTGAACAGCTATGCATGGCGGTAGGGAGGAGAGAATTCTGATCGAAATTAATTTGGAAAAAATGATGCTGTGCATCCCAGCAAATACCATCCCATCTTATCTCTGCTATGAATATTTTTTGTAACATGCACATAATTCACTTTTGCTTTATGAAGTAAATTTATATTTTAAGAATACAACAGCAATTTGAGTGCTGTTCACAGCTAGTGTGGACTGAAATTTGAGGTTGGCTATAGAATAAGGCCAATGACAGATGAGTTAGTAGAACAAGAAGGATAGAAATAGGAAAAGGTGAAAAATCAGTAAGACAATATATTGGAAAGGAGTACAGTAGTTGGAAGAATTAATGATTCACTATTTCTAGCAAGAGTCCCCATTTAGATGATTCAAAGAATATCCATGAAGAACTGACATTTTATTTTATTTTATTTTATTTGAGACAGTCTCGCTCTGTCACCCAGGCTGGAGTGCAGTGGCACAATCTTGGCTCACTGCAAGCTCGGCCTCCCGGGTTCACACCATTCTCCTGCCTCAGCCTCCCGAGTAGCTGGGACTACAGTTGCCCGCCACCATGCCCAGCTAATTTTTTTGTATTTTTAGTAGAGATGGGGTTTCTCTGTGTTAGCCAGGATGGTCTTGATCTCCTGACCTCGTGATCCGCCCACCTCGGCCTCCCAAAGTGCTGGGATTACAGGTGTGAGCCACCGCACACAGCCCATATTTTATTGACTATACGTAAGTGTGCTTAGTGGGGAAAGAGGGTGGATTCTGTTAGTTACATGACTAAGACATGTAGAGAACCTCCCATTCAAGGTGAGTGTGCAAAAATATTACAAAATGTGGAGAATTAACTATTAGAGAGATAATAAAATAATTACACAAAGAACCTTTCTAGAGATGAATTCACCATAGCAAATATGAGTAATATTATAGCAAACTAAATTTTCCTTTTAAGTGAGTATGCTAGGAATTCTCAATTGGCTTTTTAAGAATAATAAAATCTGGGGCCAGGCACGGTGGCTCATGCCTGTAATCCCAGCACCTTCAGAGGCCGAGGTGGCTGGATCGCCTGAGGTCAGGAGTTCAAGACCAGCATGGCCAACATGGTAAAACCCCATCTCTACTAAAAATATAAAAATTGCAGGGCATGGTGGTGGGTGCCTGTAATCCCAGCTACTCAGGAGGCTGAGGCAGGAGAATTGCTGCTTGACCCTGGGAGGTGGAGGTTGTAGTGAGCCGATATCACATCACTACACTCCAGCCTGGGCGACAGAGGGAGCCTCCATCTCAAAAAAAAAAAAAAAAATCATCGAAAAGAAGAGATGATTTTAAAATAAAAATAGGCAAAAGGCCAGGCATGGTGGCTCATGCCTGTAATCCTAGCATTTTTGGGAGGCCAAGACACAAGGCAGGTGGACCACCTGAGGTCAGGAGTTCAAGACCAACCTGGCCAATATGGTGAAACCCCGTTCCTACTTAAAATACAAAAAAAATTAGCCAGGCGTGGTGGCGGTTGCCCGTAATCCCAGGTACTCCAGAGGCTGAGGTAGGAGAATCGCTGGAACCCTGGGGATGGAGGTTGCAGTGAGCCGAGATCACACCATTGCACTCTGGCCTGGGCCACAGAGCGAGATTCTGTCTCAAAAAAAAAAAAAAAGTAAAGATTGATATCAAAAATTAAAAGCAGCCCAGCACGGTGGCTCATGCTCTTTGCTTCTTACTCTTGTAGTACTTTTCTAAATTTTTAAATAATAGAACTAGTGTGTCACAAATATCAACTAAAGTCTAGAAATCAGAAAAAGGCATGTTACCAAAGGAGGACTGAGTTAGTAGATTTGGGGCTCCATTAAGTTTTGTTTATGGTCAAAAAACAAACAAAAACCAGGCAACAGCAGCAAAAAATATCTCACTTTCTTCCTGGAAAAGTAAATGAAACTACAAAGGATTTCCAAACTTAAAAACTACACATTTCAAGTCCGCTCATAACTGGTGAAGTCACAGTTTCTAAAAACAATAGTAAAGTTTTAATCGATATGTAATTCATGTTTTTTATTTAAAAACCACTACCAATATCGAAAGACAAATTTCATGGGAAAAGCATTGAATCATTGTTTTGCGGTCACAAAGGTAAATATAATTTGCTTAATGCTGCCCTCAGTTTACAATGCTGTAGTATTTTCTAAGCTATAACATGAGTTTGCCAAAATATAGCATTGATTTGCTACATAGAATTTGCTCAGTGATAAAACACAAAGAATTACTTATGTGAAGATATAAATGATAAATTTATGCAAAATTTAGGAAAGCGTAAATTGTGAAGACAATAAATCTTTCCATTAAATTAGTGGGAAAGGAGCTCAAAACCCAGCCGGGTGATTCATTATTTTAATGACTTCCTGCTTTACTGCAAAACCTCTCTCTTCATTTGGTGTTTGGCAGTTTGAGCCCCTGTTAAGGATTTAGGCTCACAATGAAGCTTCTATAAATTTCTGGATCTCTGTCATGCTGGCATGTAGGTCATTCTCCTTTAGGAATGATGAGGAGGCTGGAAAGCAGTTGCCCCAAGGGAAGGGGGAATTTTTTAAACCTGAGCTGTCCAAGCTCAGCATGAAATGGAGTGGGGTGCTGACTCAGGGGCTGGCAGAGGCAGCCAAGAAACAACCAAATCTGCAATCTCTTCTGCCAGGTCTGTCCCAGCAGGTGTCACTAAAAGGCAGCCCTGTGTTCTTCTGTCACTGTGACAGCTGTGAGAAGGAAGGAGGAAGGGAAAAGAGACCCAGGGCTGAACTCCAAGCAGAGATGGGGCTTTTCTCTCTGCATCTTTTCTTTCCCCTCCCAGCCTGCATTTCCAATAACATATTGATTTGGATTTGTATTATGAGACAAAAATGGTTGTAAGCAGCTATTATTTCCTTTTACACACAATGTAAGCTCATATTTACATTTCTACGTGAACAATGTCTAAAAATGTACTTAAACTGACATAAAACGCGGATGATCTTAGTCTGACCAAATGTTTAGTGCAAGAAAAAACTTCAAATTGGAAGAGGAATCCCTCCAAATTTTAAAAGGACCACTATTTTAAGAGGTATGTTATCTAAAATGTGAAAATGTAACGAGCAGAGCAGGAAAAACCTTTAAGTCCGAAACATACAAGTCAATTTCATAGTCAATCAGTTTCCACGGTCCTTCCAAAACAGCCTCTGGCATCTGTTTTCTCTACAATGGAGGTAACAATAGTAGCTATTTCAGAGCATGAAAAGGCTTAGAGCTGTGCTAGAATATGGTCGTGGATATATAAAATTTAGCCATTTGTATATTGTAACAAACCTACAATGTATTTTTTTATTGGTAGTCAATAATAGATTTCCTTTGGAAAAGAAGCAGCCTCCGGTCCGGGGAACACCTGCAGTTCCCACTAAGTGAACATTGGTGCCTGCTAAATGCTGCCTCTATTTCTCTGTATAATAAAGTGTCAAGCTGTTCCTTGATTTAGCAATTTTATTTACTTTCTTTTTCTTTGTTTTTTTTAGACAGAGTCTCACTCTGTCGCCCAGGCTGGAGTGCAGCAGTGCCATCACAGCTCACTGCAACCTCGACTTCCTGGGCTCAAGGAATCCTCTTACCTCAGCCTTCAGAGTAGCTGGGACTACCTGCGCGGCTCACCATGCCTGGCTAATTTTCGGGGTTTTTGTTTTGTTTTTCTGTTAAGAAACCGGGTTTCACCATGCTGCCCAGGCGGGTCTGGAACTCCTAGGCTCAAACGATCTGCCCCGCTCTGCCTTCCAAAGTCCTGGGATTACAAGGGTGAGCCACCACGCCAGGCCAATTTATTCCTTTCTAATTAATAAATTGACTGGGCGCCAATTTATCATCAGAAAATATGGATTACCTCACTAAACCACCTCTGAAACCTCTCCTCTCGGTTTCCTACATGGTTACTTTGTAATCTTTTTTTTTTTTTTTTTGAGATGGAGTCTCTCTCTGTCACCCAGGCCGGAGTGCAGGGGTGCAATCTTGGCTCACTACAACCTCCGCCTCCCGGTTCCAATCCATTCTCCTGCTTCAACCTCCCGAGTAGCTGGGATTACAGGCATATGCCACCATGCCCGGCTAATTGTGTATTTATTTTTAGTAGAGACGGGGTTTTTCCATGTTGGTCAGGCCAATCTGGAACTCCTAGGCTCAAGCGATCTGCCCTGCTCTGCCTTCCAAAGTCCTGGAATTACAAGCGTGAGCCAGCACACCACGCCGATTTATTCATTTGTGATTAATAAATTGACCGTGTGCCAATTTATCATCAGACAATATGGGTTACCTCACTAAACCACCTCCCAAACTTCTCCCCTCGGTTTCCTGCATTGGTTACTTTGTAAATTTATTTATTTATTTATTTATTTTTTGAGAGGGAGTCTTGCTCTGTCACCCAGGCTGGTGTGCAGGGGCGCAATCTCTGCTCACTGCAACCTTCGCCTCCCGGGTCCAAGCCATTTTCCTGCCTCAGCCTCTCGAGTAGCTGGGACTGTAGTCATGTGCCACCACGCCCTGCTAATTTTGTATTTTTTTTTTTTCAGTAGAGACGGGGTTTCTCCATGTTGGTCAGGCCGGTCTGGAACTCCTAGGCTCAAGCGATCTGCCTCGCTCAGCCTTCCAAAGTCCTGGGATTACAAGCGTGAGCCACCACGCCAGGCCAATTTATTCCTTTCTGATTAATAAATTAACCGAGCGACAATTTATCATCAGAAAATGTGGATTACCTCACTAAACCACCTCCCAAACCTCTCCTCTCGGTTTCCTGAATTGGTTACTTTGTAATTTTTTATTTATTTATTTACTTTTGAGAGGGAGTCTTGCTCTGTCGCCCAGGCTGGAGTGCAATAGTGCAGTCTCGGCTCACTGCACCCTCCACCTCCGGGGTCCAAGCCATTTTCCTGCCTTAGCCTCCCGAGTAGCTGGGATTACTGGCGCGTGCCACCAAGCCCGGCTAACTTTCGTATTTTTAGTAGAGACGGGTTTTCACCATGTTGGTCAGGCTGGTCTGGATCCTGACCTCGTGATCTGCCCACTTCGGCCTCCCAAAGTGCTGGGATTACAGGCATAAGCCGCCGTGCCTGGCCGTAATTTTTTTTTCTTTTCCTTGAGACAGAGTTTCACTCTTGTTGCCAAGGCTAGGGTGTAATGGAGCGATCTCGGCTCACTGCAACCTCCGCCTCCCAGGTTCAAGTGATTCTCCTGCCTCAGCCTCCTGTGTAGCTGGGATTACAGTCATGTGCCATCGTGCCCTGCTAATTTTGTGTATTTTTTTTTTTTGTAGAGACAGGGTTGCTGCACGTTGGTTAGGCTGGTCTCAATCTCCCAACCTCGGGTGATCTGCCCGCCTCGGCCTCCCAAAGTGCTGAGATTACAGGCATGAGCCACCGTGCCCAGCCGCCCGGCCCCATGTTCTTAATTGTTATGTTTCTCTACATCTCTGGCAGGTGGGTTGCCCAGTTTCTTTCTGTTAGAATGTGTACCTCACAGCAGGAGTATGAAGTGAGCTCCAAGGTATCTCTTCTTCCACTTCAGGGATGGCAGTTGGCAAATCATGCATAGTTTATAATAACAGTGCAGAGCAGTTCAGATCTATCAGCCTTGAAGACAGTGAAACATACTCCTGACTCTAAAAATACTCTGACGTGTATCATTGGTTTTCAATGCTACTTGGGTTTTTATCTCTTTTAAGGCATTCGGTATTTTAGCAGAGTTGCATTTGGGTAAAGTAGGAACTTGTAATATTTCCAGGTTAAACATTTTAACCTGGCAATTAACACTGGATGCATATTTTACAAAAAGGAGAAAATGCTATTATTTTGGCTGCTGGCAAAATAATTTTCCTTTGAGACCTGATTTTGTTTGGAACAAGCTTTGATGAGACAGTTTGGGTTAGAAGCTGAGCCTCCAGGAGTTGGGTGTAGACAGGTGGTAGGCTACAGAAAGAGTGAGAAGGTTCTCTTAATCATAGAAGAAGGAGAATAGTTGTACAGAGAAATGTGTGCAGAGAATCCTGAATGTGGACAAAGTAAAAGACAGAAAGAGAGTGCTGGTGAAATTACATGCAGCCTCTTTTTATTAACACTCAAGTTAATCTAGTGTTTTTAAAAATCAGAGGGTATTTAGTATAACTGGATTATTGAAAAAAAATGGTGAAGGAACTACATTTTGCAACTCAGGGACTGGTTGAAACAGAGGGAAAATGGGGTGGAACAAAGCCAGCATGCTCTTCTTCAAGTGCTTCAGGACAGCACCGCAGTGGATCCAGAGACTGCAGCAGTTTATCTGGAGTAAGTCATCACTTTTTATCTCTTTGTCAGAGGCAGCAGCCTTGATTCTCCTGGAAATAGAAACAACTGACATGTTGGATTGCAGCATCACTTTTATTAGGTTACCAGTTAAGCACCAAGTCGAATACCATCCCCAGACTGCTCAAAGGACAGGGCAGTGACCAACACATGCTATGATCCTCCAGAGCTCATGCATGGGACTGGGGGTCCATTATAATGGAAAGAAGAGCTTGCCTTTTTCACAAAGCCAACCCTCATAGCTACACTCCACTGCCCTCACAGCCGAACTTCTTCACACTTGCTATGTTTATTTTTTCTACTTAGCTCACACTCACCAAGCGAGCGACACAGGACCAAGTCATGGAAGGCTTTGTAAACATGGAGACGTGTTTTTATTACACTCCTTAAGATACACTTTTTTTATTTTAAAAGACACCAAAATATACCATTTTCTTTTTTTCTGGACAGTAGTGCTACACTGTCTTTATCCCACCCACTCTACTTTAAAAACTGATGAGAGAGAACATAAGCAAATTTTTTAGAGTACATCACTTTTTATTGAAGTATATCATATTTATAAGTCTAGAAGGAATAAGTCATGTCTTGATAAATTATCAGAAATGGATCACACACATGTAATCAGCACCAAGATCAGAAATATCAGACTCCCAAAAGTTGCCCATATAGGTACATTTGTCTTTCTCACAGGTAACTAATATCCTCACTTTTATCAGCATAGATTTGTTTTCCTATCTCTGAATTGTATACAAATAGAATCACACCAGAATCCCTGTTTTCTGTCTGACATCTTTCAGTCAAAATTGCTTGTGAGATAAATGCCTGGTATGTGTAGCAATCGTTTGTTGACTTCATTACATAGAATTCCATTGTGTAAATACACTCCAATATTTTAATGTTGATAAATGTTGGATAGTTTCCAGTTTGGCAGTGTGGCTTCTATAAACATTCTTGCATGTCTTTTGAAAACTATATGTACATATTCATGAGAATATGCCTGAGAGAGAGGAACTGCTGGATCATAGGGGATGCCCATGTTTAGCTTTTAGTAGATACTGTTCAAGAGTTTTTCAAAATCATTATATTAATTAACACTCCCACCAGTTGTGTAGGAGAGAATTCCTGTTGCTCTTTATCTTTGTCAGCACTTTGTATTGTCTTTTTATTTTAGCCATTATAGGGAATGTCTTGTGCTATTACATTGTGACTTTACTTTGCATCTCCCTGAGGATTATTAAATATGGACATTTTTCAGCCGGGCACGGTGGCTCACACGTGTAATCCCAGCATTTTGGGAGGCTGAGGTGGACGGATCACGAGTCAGGAGGTCGAGACCATCCTGGCTAATATGGTGAAACTCCGTCTCTACGAAAAATACAAAAAGTTAGCCGGGCGTGGTGGTGGGCACCTGTAGTCCCAGCTACTGGGGAGGCTGAGGCAGGAGAAATGGCGTGAACCCAGGAGGTGGAGGTTGCAGTGAGCCGAGATGGCGCCCCTGCACTCCAACCTGGGCGACAGAGGGAGACTCTGTCTCAAAAAAAACAAAAGGACATTTTTCATATGTTTATAAAATAGTTGAAGTCATATTCTTTGAAGTACCTTTTCAAGTTGTTTGGCTATCTTCAAAATTACATTGTCTTTATCTTATTAATTTTTAGGTATTCTTTATTTTGGATATGAGTTTTTAGTTTGTATACAACACACTGTGGCCTATCTTTTCACTCTCTCATGTGGAATATTTTGATAAAAGTTTTTAATCCTAATATATTTTGAGTTATCATTTATTCTCCTGTGGCTAACACTTTATAGGTTCAGTTTATAAAGTCATATCCTATTATAAAGTTATAAAAATTTTTAATATTTTAAATATTTATTGTTTTGTGTTTCACACTAAGATCTGAAATTAATTCACTTGACTTTTTGTTCTTTTCAGTTTGCTTTAAGGTAGAAGTGAAGATATTTTATTTTTACATGTGGTTATCCAGTTGGTTCTAAATCATTTATTGAAAATGGTACCCTTTCCTGGCCTGGCATGGTGGCTCACGCCTGTAATCCCAGCATTTTGGGAGGCCGAGGTGGGCGGATCACGAGGTCAGGAGATCGAGACCATCCCGGCTAACACGGTGAAACCCCATCTCTACTAAAAATACAAAAAATTAGCTAGGTGTGGTGTCGGGCGCCTGTGGTCCCAGCTACTTGGGAGGCTGAGGCAGGAGAATGGCATGAACTCAGGAGGCAGAGCTTGCAGTGAGCAGAGATTGCCCCACTGCACTCCAGCCTGGGCGACAGAGTAAGACTCCATCTCAAAAAAAAAAAAAAAAAAGAAAGATAACGGTACCCTTTCCCTATTGCAGTACACAGTCACCTTTGCTATAAACCATGGTCATGTATATGTGGATTTGTTTTTGGACTATTATTTTTCATTGGCTTATTTCTTTCTTCCCTCTCTCCCTCCCTCCCTCCCTTCCTTCCTTCTTCCTTCCCACCCTCTTTCCCTCTCTCCCTCCCTTTCTTTTCCTTTCTGTTTTTTTTCCTTTTGCCAGCATTACTCCATCTTAACTACTTTAGCCTACTATACACCCTCATATCAGGTAATACAACTCCTCCATTCTTGTCTTTTTCCCCCAAGATTGCCTTAGCTATACTTGAACTATTGAGTTTCTTTTAAATTTTATAATCAGCTTCTTAATTTCCACTATGGAATCTCCTGTGATCTTGTTTGTAATCATACTAAATTTACAGGTTACTTTGGAACTGTATAACTTCTTCATAATATTGAATCTTCTGATACATGAACAGTTTTTCTTTTACTTCTTTCAGTAAGATGTGCATTTCTTTAGGGTAGATAGTGAGCCCGTTTGTCTTTGTTCATTTTCATTCTTGGTGATTGTTCAGTTCTGTGGTCTAAATGTGTTCCTTCTGGCCGCTCTACCAATGCTCCAGGTTTAACAAGTCTTGTTAGGGATTTATCTTTTACGATTTTTCTTAAAGAAACAACTTCTGGTTTTGTTGATTTTCTCTAATATGTTTGTTCACTGGATCATTGATTTCTGCTTTTATCTTTATTTTAACACCTTGAGTCTATGAATGAGGCTGTCTTCTGAGGGAAACGGGCCACCTTTTCCTCTTCTAGGCCAACAGAGTGTAGAGCTCGTTCCTTCACCCAGTCAGGAATAGGCGAGCAGACTGTGGGTTTGGTGAGACTCAACCTGTGAGTGATTTTTTCCTGTTGCTAGGATGTGGTCCTTCAGACTTTCTTCTGAGAACCCTGCTCTGTTGCCCAGGCTGGAGTGCAGTGGCACCATCAAGGCTCACTGTAACCTCAAACTCCTGGGTTCAAGGGATACTCCCAGTTCAGCCTCCTGAGTAGCTGGGACTACAGGTGTGCATCACCATGCCTGGCTAAATTTTAAAACTTTTTGTGGAGATGAGGTCTGGCTCTGTTGCCTGGGCTGGTCTGGAGCTACTTGCCTCAAGTTATGCTCCTGCCACAGCCTCTCATAGTGTTAGTAATTGCACGTGTGAGCCACTGCACCCAGCCTTGGGCCATTTCTCTTGATCATCAAGATGTTGTGCGAAATTCTACTGCACTTGTCAGAGTGTGTTATGACTCTTGCACTGTAGAGCTTCAGAATTAGACACACACACACACACACACACACACACACACACACATATATATATATATTTTTTTTTTTTTTGAGACGGAGTATCGTTCTGTTTCCCAGGCTGGAGTGCAGTGGCATGATCTCAGCTCACTGCAAGCTCCGCCTCCCGGGTTCGCACTATTCTCCTGCCTCAGCCTCCCGAGTAGCTGGGACTACAGGCACCCGCCACCACCCCCAGCTAATATTTTTGTATTTTTCGTAGAGACGGGGTTTCACCGTGTTAGCTGGGATGGTCTCGATCTCCTGACCTTGTGATCTGCCCACCTCTGCCTCCCAAAGTGCTGGGATTACAGGTGTGAGCCACCGTGCCCAGCCTAGACAAGTATATTTTTATATGACTGACACATAATAATTGTATATGTTTTGGGTAAAATGTGATGTTTTGATACATGTATACATGGTGTAATGATCAAATTAGGGTAATTAGAATATCCATCATCTTAACATTTATTTCTTTGTGATGAGAACATTCAGAAATCTCTCTGGTAGCTGCTTTGAAATATACATTGATATTAACTCATCATCCTGCTCTACAATAGAACAGCACAATTTATTCCTTCTATTTTAACTGTTAACTTTGTACCTGTTGACCAATCTCTCCCCATCTCCCTCTCCCACCTACCCTTTCCATCCTCTAGTAACCACTATTCAATTCTCTATTTCCATGAGAACAACATTTCCGATTTCAATGTATGAGAGAGACCTTGCAGTATGTGTCTTTCTGTGGCTGTCTTATTTCACTTAACCTGACCCTCCTCCAGGAGGAGCATTATTCACAATAGCCAGGATATGGAAACAACTTAAGTGTCTATTAATGGTTAAAAACCAAGGAAAATTGTGGTATATATTCACCATGGAATACTATACGGTCATAAAAAACCAATGAATTTGATAAACATCTTAAAGGAGAAACCATCATTGGATTGAGGTCCCTTAAATCTCCAACTTGTACACTGTGTGACTATTGCAATAGTTGGTGTTTTGTTCCTTTCTAGATAAGTCTCATCGTCTGGTGGTTACTCTGGGATTCTGAGTCACTAGGTATTTAAAATCAGGAAGTGCCCCCATAGCACACAACTTCAGATGACCACACAGGTCCACATCTCCTCTCTAGCCCTTTCAGCTGTGGCCTGGTGCATCCTTAGCTGGCTGTCTATTGGGTGAATTTTTGTTTCTCCCACATCCTGGGGCTCTGAGAAGTTACCTACTAATTTACAGAGGTTTTGGGTTAGCTCTTTATCTTCCAGCCCCTCATAGTTTCAGGCTACTGTAAGAGCTGCAAAGGGAAAGTCAGACGTATGTTGAGGACCTTGAGTCTCCAATTTTTTAATCACAATCCCCCACAAGAACCCACAGCTCTGCTGGTGCCTCAGTAGCACTCTCTGCCTGGACCAAGCCCAAAATCTCAGCCCAGAATTACAAGTGGGCCGATAGGAAAAGCAACAAATGACATCCAACTCACTTCTGAGGGGTTTTCCACAATCTGGAATTCACCTCCTCTATCTAGTCTTTGTGGACTCTGCACTTTTCTAAGGTGTCTCAACGTACAACATGGCATGCTGTCTGACTTTCCAAGTCATTAGTGGGACTTCGGCCTGCCTAAATTTATTTCCTCCTCCCCCGTTAGTCAAATTTTTCTCAGATAGATTGATAGCCAAACATTCCCCTACTGATTGCCTTGGGGATTCAAATATAAATAAATGACTGACTGCAATCAAATATAAATTATAAACCTTGCCATTTCACACACTATTTTGGAAATGTAAAATGCTAGTTCAATGCACTCTTGCCCCTACTTTGTATAATTTTAAAGTTGTCTCATTCTGCATGTATTTTAAATCTCACAAGGCATTGTCATGATTGTTGTACAGTCAATATTTATTTAGTTATGACCACACATTTATGGGTCCTTGTATTCTTCATTCTTTCCTGAATTTTCAGGTTTTTTCCGTTACTTTTTCTTCTGTTTAGGGAATCTTTCTATTTTTATTTTACACAGGCCCATCGGTGAAAATCCTCTTAGTCATTTTCTTTGTCTTTAGCATGTTTGTGTTTATTGCACTTTTTGGATTTATGGCTTGAGTTCTTTTTTAGTTTCGTAAAAATATGGGCCATTAACTCTTCCAATATTGCTACTAAAGAATTCTCTTTCTCTCTCTCCTGTCTTTATGGGACTTTGATTACAAGAATGTCACCATCTCCTCTATATTTCATATGCTCTTTTCTGTGTGTGCATATGCACAGGCACGTCTGTTTTTTTTTTTTTTTTTTTTTTTTTGAGACAGAGTCTCTCTCTGTCGCCCAGGCTGGAGTGCAGTGGCGCGATCATGGCTCACTGCGAGCTCCGCCTCCCGAGTTCACGCCATTCTCCTGCCTCAGCCTCATGAGTAGCTGGGACTACGGGCACCCGCCACCACGCCCAGCTAGTTTTTTTGTATTTTTAGTAGAGACCGGGTTTCACCGTGTTAGCCACAATGCTCCTGATCTCCTGACCTCGTGATCCGCCTGCCTCGGCCTCCGAAAGTGCTGGGATTACAGACGTGAGCCACTACGCCCAGCCGGTAAGTCTGTTTTTAAGTCTTTCTCAGCTATAAGCTTCTGCCTGTATACCTTCTTTATTTTGTTTATTTATTTATTTATTTCGAGATGGAGTTTCACTCTTGTCACCCAGGTTGAAGTGCAGTGGCAGAATTTCAGTTCACTGCAACCTCTGCCTCCCGGTTTCAAGTGATTCTCCTGGCTCAGCCTCCGGAATAGCTAGGATTACAGGCACCCGCCACCATGCCTGGCTAATTTTTGTATTTTCAGTAGAGACAAGGTTTCGCCATGTTGCCCAGGCTGGTCTCGAATTCCTGACCTTAGATTATCCGCCCACCTTGGCCTCCCAAAGTGCTGAGATTACAGGCATGAGGCCACTGCGCAGGGCCAGTATATCTTATACTGAAAATTTTTTTTTTTTTTTTTTCCGAGACGGAGTCTCTCTCTGTCACCCAGGCTGGAGTGCAGTGGCGCAATCTTGGATCTCGGCGCACAGCAACCTCTGCCTCCCAGGATCAAGTGATTCTCCTGCCTCAGCCTCCTGAATAGCTGGGATTACAGGCGCGTGCCACCACAGCCGGCTAACTTTTTTTATTTTTAGCAGAGACGGGGTTTCACCCTGCTATCCAGGATGGTCTTGATCTCCTGACCTCAGGATCCGTCCGCCTTAGCCTCCCAAAGTGCTGGGATTATAGGCGTGAGCCACCGCTCCTGGGTCTACTGATCTATTTTTTTCTACTGACCAGTAATCCTGTTTTCAGTTTGCCCAATTCCTGTATAACTCCTTCATTAAGTATCCATTTTAAAATATATAAATTCTTAGTTCTTCATTTTTCACTTTATTTTTTAAAGATCCCTGTTCATTGGTATAATTACACCTTTTGTCATCTTTTCGTTTCTTTTTAAAATTATTTTTATAGATTTAGAGGGTACAAGTGCAGTTTCAATACACGGATATGTCACATGGTGGTGAAGTCTGGGCTTTTCATAACGCCATCACTGAAAATAATGAACATTGTAGCCAGGAGGCAATTAGGTTGCAGTGAGCCGAGATCGCACCACTGCAGTCCAGCCTGGAGACAGAGCAAGACTCCATCTCCAAGAAAAAAAAAAAAAAAAAGAAGGGCCTCAAGTTTCATCCATGTTGCTGCAAAAGGCATGATTTTATTCCTTTTTATGGCTGAGTAGTAGTCGTTGATGTGTATATACATACACATTATATATATATGTAATTACATTATATATTTAATAGTATATATGAATTTATACAATTATACAATTATATATTATAAATAAAGTGTTTATGTAATGTATAATCACAAATACGAATATATATAGGTATATTGCCTTTTCCTTATCCGGTCCACCTTGATGGGTGTTTAGGTTTATTCTCTATCTTTGTTATTGTGAATAGTGCAGCAATAAACATACAAGTGCTGATGTCTTTTGATATAATTTTTTCTTTTCTTTTGGGTAGATATGCAGTAGTGGGATTATTATATCAAATGATGGATCTGTGTTTAGTTCTTTGACAAATCCATACTGTTTCTGTAGAGGTTGTACTCATTTACATCCCACCAACAGCATGCCAAGTGTTCCTTCTTCTCTGCACCCTCACCAGCATCTCTTATTTTTTGACTTTTTAATGATAGCCATTCTGACTGGTGTAAGATAGTATCTCATTGTGGTTTTAATTTGAGTTTCTCTGATTATCTGTGATGCTGAGCATGTTTTCATGTGCTTGTTGGCTCCTTGCATGTCTTCTTTTGAAAAAACGTCTGTTCATTTCCCGTGCTCACTTTTCAATCTACAGATTCAGTGCAATCCCAATCAAAATACAAACATAATTTTTCAAAGACTTAGAAAAGACAACCCTAAACAAAAAGAACAAAGCTGGGGCAGCACATTACCTGGCTTCAAATTGTATTACAAAGCTGTAGTAACCCAAACAGCCTGGTACTGGTATATAAATAAGAGACATAGATCAATGGAACAGAGGGAATCCAGAAATAGAGGCACGTGCGTACAGTGAACTGATCTTTGACGAAGTAGACAAAAACATACCCTGGGAAGCAACACCCTAATCAGTACGTTACACTGGGGAAGCTGGCTAGCCACCTGCAGAAGAATGAAACTGGACCCATATCCCTCACCATATACAAAAATTAACTCAAGATGGATTGAAGGCTTAAATGTAAGACCTGAAACTGTAAAAGTCCTAGAAGAAAACCTGGGAAAAATTCTTTTGGATATTATCCTAGGCAAAATAATTCATGACTATTACTTCAAAAGCAAATGCAACGGAAGCAAAAGTAGACAAATACATGGGACTTAATTAAACTAAAAAGCTTCTGAACAGAAAAAGATGTAATCAACAGAGTAAACAGTCTACAGATTGGGACAGGATATTTGCAACCTATGCATCCAACAAAAGTCTAATATCTGGAATCTACAAAGAACTCAAACAACTCTACAAGAAACAACCCCTTTTGTCATCTTTCTAATTGAACATGTTTAATGGTGTTTTTAAAGTATATGTCTGACAACTTCAATATTTCCTTCACTTGTGTTCCTATTTATATTTTTTTGCTTTTATCTCTAATTATTTATTAAATTCTAGAAATTGCTATGAAGATCTGTAGCCCCTCTGAATAATGTTTTCTTCTTCCACAAAGTCTTCACCCCATCTTCTGGTAAGCAGCTCAGCCAGGGGAGCCGATTACCATAATCCAGTCAAAGATGGAGCTCACTCAAGCCTGGTTTCCAGTTTTATAAGGTTTCATCTTCCTCTTTCCATCCCTTCTCCTGTTACTGGTGTCCTAACTTAAAGCTTTGGGTATTACCTATGGTCTTTAAGCCCTTGCTTACTCTCAAACTCCACTTTGTTTTTTTTCCACATCAGGACTATGGACAGCTGTATACTCTGATTGTCACTGACTCACTGCTTGTCATCTTAGTTTTTTGCCCCATGGAGCTTAAAAATGCAGCAAATGCTTTAACATCAGACAGGACTGCCTTCTTTTAACTCTTCCTCTCTCCAGGATCTTGACTTCACAAATTCTGAATTCCTTGACAGTCCTGCCATGTGATTTTTATTTCTTCAAAATGGTCAGATTGATGAATCTCTGATCATTATTTTTCTCTTAGCAGTAGCCCTCTATAACAATTCTCAGCTGCTTTGCCCTATACACAAATTTGGCAAGTGTTCTCAAAAGTTTGAAAAAGAAAGAAAAGCCATATTGAATATTGAATTTATTTCTCTGCAGTTCTCCTTTCCCTCCTTTCAGATACCGGCTGCCTCAGTAGCTCTCAGATGTTTTCAAACATCTGTATGTTTAAATTTTTTCTGCTATTCCAGCTGTTCTTGGTAGTGATGCTGCTTGCTACAAATTACTTCACTGTAGCCCAAGTGGAAAACTCCCATTGAATCCTTTTAAAAACAAGATATGTTTAGAAATGCCAGATTGGTAGCAGAGTTTACATTCTCTGACTGGCTTACTGGTTTATAAATGGTCTAAAGGCCAAAATTGTTAAAAAGGCATGTATAGATAGTACCTCCTCACGCTGCTTTCTCCTATGTTGCAGGGCAGTACAGTGCTCATTGGATGATATGCTTTGAGAGTGAATGTAGATTTCCATAGGGTCCATAGTACTCTGAGCTTCACTGGGATAACCAGTTGTGTGTTTGCAGGGTCCCCCAGAAAATGAAAATGCAAGTCCCTTGTTCAAAATTTATTTAGTATTTCTAGACACTCCCAGAAAGCTGATACCAAATGCAGAGGCCTTCTCAGTATGGAGTCCTTTGCAACTGCACAGGCCACACAACCTTGTCCCTGGCCCTGGTCTGTGGACCACTAGACTCAGGAAACATTGAGAAGCAGAAAAACTCACTCCAGCTCTTCTTTAACTTTTAAAAAATGATAACTCATTGATGAGGTCCAGGATATTGCAGATGGTTGTAAAAACATAATCACATATTTCTTTTTCCTTGCTGAATGCACACACTTGTAGTTGAACCTCACTTTTTGCAAGAATGGAGCTGTTGATACAATGAGCAAGGATAAGTTTTTAACGTAATATTTTTTAATAATTTATATCTGGGACTGCTGTCTCTAGCTGTTGACTGGGGGAGTGTTGAAAGTGTTATTCCCTAAAAGAGTGAGAATAAAATCTTCAAAATATCATACGGAACAGTCATGAAATTATACACATATGTGGAGACATTAGACATCTGTGTCCCATCAAATCTTTGTCTTTCTCTGTAAGGCTCTCCTTAGTAATTTCTCTAATTTATGGTTACAGTTGTCCACATTTTGTGGGCTGCTAATGTCAGCATTCTGCGTACAGATGCCTCACGCTTTTAACAACTCTGACAGAGGTTTTCACTGCTCATGTACTAAATGGTACTAATCTGTGAAATAATAAAAAGTGCTAAATGGTACACAGCATGATTCATTTGCATAATTATTTGAAATCCTTCATGTTTCCTAAAAATATTATTAGAAAACTTTTCATGTCCCCCTAGCAGGGTTTTCTCCATGTTTGTACTAAGCATGGGAACTGTAGCTTCCCTGTGATTTGCAGGAATTGTGTGCCATTGAAGAAAACAAAAGCCTTCATGAGCTTCTCAAACCAAGAATAGAGAGGGCTCAACCCTAATCCTCCTCCTATGATTGCAATTATGATGTTCAGTATTTCCTGAATGTTTGACAGGAACATAAAATAGACATGATTGAGATTTTGCATCTCTGATGCCTAGAAGCCACTGCTTGTTTATTATCACAATATGAAATTTCATGATCAGCTATTTTAAACACTCCAGGCTTCTCATGAAAATTCTAATTGAGTTGAGCTTGAAGAAAGCAATAACTGCCTCCTCTGTGGATCCTGGATGATGGTTGTTTCTCTGAAGTGTTGTTGAAATGAGAGAGTTCCCTGGATCCCCCTGGCTCAACAGAGAGGCACACTCCTGTTGCATGATGTGCAAATGGCAGGTGCAGGAGCCAAAGTGAGCCCTTGGGGCTCTGGCCCCACAGTAGTGTCTAGGGGTGTGTGTCTGTGACTCCATAAGCCCAAGTGGGTGTGTGTTACAGTTGTCTTTTCGCTCTGCTGTCTGCAGACAGCTTAAGTGTTTACCAGCTCAGTGCCCTCTTGGCACCCAGGTTCTTGTCTGGAGTCCACAAAGAATCAGGTCACACATGGACTTGAAGAGTGAATGTGGGGTTTTACTGAGTGGTGTAGATGGCTCTCAGTGGGATGGATGGAAAGCTGGAAGGGGGAATAGAGTAGGAAGATGATCGTCCCCTGGAATTTGGTGTCCAGTGGCAGACTCCTCTCCGATTGTCCCCAGCCGAACTCCTCTCGGCATTCAGATGCTCCTTCTCTTCTCTCCTTGGCTGCACCATTCTGTTGCTCATCTCCCTCTGGAGCCTGAGGTTCAAGGTATATATGGGTACAGCATAGGGGGATGTGGTGGGTCAAAAGGCAACTTTTTGGGCATGAAAACAGGAATGCCTGTTCTCATTTATGGCTGCTGGTGTCCAGGCTTGAGGGTGGGACCTTTGCCAGGGAACCACCCTCTTCTACCCAGTATTTCTCTGTCTCCCATCCCTATCATTGTGAATTGTCAAGACAGACAAGAGAACTGCTGTAATTTTTGAAATCCTTCATGTCTCCTAAAAATATTATTAGAAAACTTTTCATGTCACCAAACTTTTCTATCACCAAAAATCATAACATTACCCTACATGAAAATCTCCAATTGACCAAAGCCCAATCACCTTAGCACATGAGAGAGAAAAATGTTGCTGGAAAATAAAATAACATCTGCTATGCACTCCTATAGAATTGAACAAAGATTATTAATTATTTAATGTGTTTTTTTAGTTTCACTCAGTATTTTAAAACGTCTGTGGTGGGAGGATGAGAGGATGAGGGTATATATCTCTCCGGATATTGATGTTGATACACACAAAATGCATTTTATAAACTAAAGCACAATTATTTTTATGAAACCTATAACATTCTCCCTATATTTATTTTAGATAATAAGAGATGCACTATGTATAATTAATTAATTAACAAATCATTTCTATTCTTTGGATAATAATTTTAACAACAGCAGATGTAACAGTAGCAGCTATTTTGTCTCATGAGAAATAATTTTTCATTGTTGTCTCTAATCTATCATCAGTTTTTTTAAGAAAAGACACAAAATCTTTCCTTAGCCTCCTCCAGCCCCACAGATCTGCTTTGGGCGTTACTTGTTGACTTAGTTAAAACTGTGAGGTTAAAAGGCCATTCAGTATTCTGAGTGCTTAAATATAAATAGCAGAAAACACTGAAGCAGAGACAAACTATCAGGGCTAATATATGGAGGGTCTCCTATTGGTGAATAGAGTTGTATTTTTAAAATATTTGACTTTCTAATTGCTGATGATGAAATTTTTTTTTTTTTTTTTTAAAGCAGAGTCTCGCTCTGTCCCCCAGGCTGCAGTGCAGTGGCATGATCTCAGCTCACTGCAGCCTCTGCCTTCCAGGTTCAAGCCTTCTCCTGCCTCAGCCTCCCAAGTAGTTTGGGACTACAGGCGCCCGCCACCACGCCCAACTAATTTTTTGTATTTTTTTTTTTAGTAGAGACGGGATTTCGCCGTGTTAGCCAGGATGGTCTCGATCTCCTGAACTCGTGATCCACCCACCTCAGCCTCCCAAAGTGCTGGGATTACAGGCGTGAGCCACCGTGCCTGGCCTGAAATTTTAAATACTTGCTTTTTTTTTTTCCTGAAAGACATTTATATGTTTACTTCATGATGGGGTTTTTTAGTTTGGTATATTTTTGTGTTTTAATGTAGTTTTTTGGTTTGTGAGTAGCTTTTTTTTTTTTTTTTTGAGACGAAGTCTCACTGTCTTGTCGAGGCTGGAATGCAGTGGAGCGATCTCGGCTCATTGCAACCTCCGCCTCCTGGATTCAAGCTGTTCTCTTGCCTCAGCCTCCTGAGTAGCTGGGATTACAGGTGCATGCCACCACGCCCAGCTAATTTTTGTATTTTTAGTAGAGATGGAGTTTCACCATATTGGTTAGGCTGGTCTCAAACTTCTGACCTCGTGATCCACCCGCCTTGGCCTCCCAAAGTGCTGAGATTACAGACGTGACCCACTGTGCCCAGCTGAGTAGCTTACTTAATTGCTAAAAGGTTTTGGTAGAAATGCAAAGAACCATTTGAACTTTGAATAGTGTTTGATTTTATTGACTTGCAAATCAGTTCTCATGTTTCAAATATTAAAGACAGTCCCTCTAAATATTTACATATTACTAAAAAACCATGAATCTGAATGCATTTAAGAGGTTAAACATTTTGTTAACACATATATTTACTAAAAATGTAATTAAACACATTTAAATTTTTAATTAAAATCACAATTCCAACAGAACATATTCTTTAAAATGCTTAACATCATAAAAGCAGACCCATCATAAATATACTATGATTATAAAACTGATTGGAATGCATGTCATATCATAATCTAAAAATACTATTTATAAATACTTTCATAAGTACCATTGATTTAAATTCTTTTCATTATTGTTTTTATTTCTTTCCAAGTTTGTATTTCTATGGTCATCATAAATATACCAGGTTATAATGAAAAATAAATATTCTTATAGACAAGTCAAAATCTTAAGATCTGGAATCAATGATTTCTTATCAAGGCACAGGTCTAATTTATGGTTGAGCCTAAATTGTGCCAAATCAATAATGTTTAATGTCCACACCTTCACAGTAGCTTTTGTTTTATGCAACTCACTGTTCACCCTGAAATAATGTGCCATGTTGTTATCATTACCCATGTTCTTGTAAGTATATTGATCTGCTCCATTGTCACTACTAAAATTGTATATTTTTTATCTCATTATAATTTTTAGATGTAGCTAGAGAATTTTTCTCCTAGGAATAAGTCTACTCTGCATTAAAGACATGTGACTAATTTGTTTCCTTGGAGTGTGGTTAAATGCTTTTTCTACTTATTTTTTCTGTGTGATGACCAGTACCAATTAACACTGGGGCTGTCTTTCTCACAGGTTAATATGTGTGTCAACCACTGTATATGTTGTCCTTCATTTAGGGTAGGCACTGGTAAACTATCCTGGGCTTGCCACTGAATTTTTTTTTTTTTTTTTGAGGCGGAGTCTCGCTCTGTCACCCAGGCTGGAGTGCAGTGGCGCAATCTCGGCTCACTGCAAGATCCGCCTCCCGGCTTCACCCCATTCTCCTGCCTCAGCCTCCTGAGTAGCTGGGACTACAGGCACCCGACACCACGCCTGGCTAATTTTTGAATTTTTAGTAGAGACAGGGTTTCACCGTGTTAGCCAGGATGGTCTTGATTTTCTGACCTCATGATCCACCCACCTCGGCCTCCTGAAGTGCTGGGATTACAGGTGTGAGCCACCATGCCTGGCTTGTTGTTCATTTTGAGATGGAGTCTTGCTGTGTTGGCCAGGCTGGAGTATGGTGGCTTGATCTTGGCTCACTGCAACCTCCACCTCCTGGGTTCAAGCAGTTCTCCTGCCTCAGCTTCCCAAGTAGCTGGAATTACAGGTGCTCACCACCATGCCCGGCTGTTTTGTATTTTTAGTAGAGATGGGGTTTCACCATGTGGGCCAGGCTGGGTTTGAACTCCTGACCTGAAGTGATCCACCCACCTTGGCCTCCCAAGTGCTGGGATTACAGGCTTGAGCCACCACGCCCGGCCGCCACTGGTTTTTATAAATCAAGTTTTATTTAGACACTGCCGTATCTATTCATTTAGGTATTGATTATGACGGTTTTGTAAGACAATAGCTGAATTGAGTAGTTGTAACAGATACCATATGGTCTGTGAAGCCTAAAATGTTTACTATCTCACCTCTTACTGAAAAAATTTTGCCAAATCCTGCTTTAGGAGACAGTACTTATTTTTTTCTATATTGACTTTGGTTACTCAGAAGTCCTTGGTTTATTTTTTTCTTGCATACAGAGATGGGGTTTGACTAATTACTAGCAGGTGATTTCAATTTCCTTCTAGGACACAAAGTTAAGACATATTTCTCATCTTCCTTACAGTTAGTTGTGGTCATGTGACTGAATTCCAGCAAATAGAGTATGAGTGGAAGATTTGAACTGTGTCATGAAGAATAAAACATAATCCTTTATTAAATTTCTGAGTTCCAGTAGTTGCTTTATGTGTTCGTACTTTTAGAAATTGACTGGTAGAACAGTCTTTAAGTTGAAACTTTCCATACTTCCCCTTAAGTTTGGAAAGTATCTTTGATCCTTTGTAACAAAATGTTTCAGATTTATTGTAATTTTTTTTTTCACTTTCAGACATGGAACCAACTAGCCTGAGGAGCCTGGGTTCCTTTACCGAAGGCCAGCACTAGTATTGATCTGTGGGTGTTAGGATTATACTAAGAAGTAGCTTTGGTTAAAAGTTGCTGCTGCTGCCGCTGACAGAGATGGAAAATACATTTTGAGTTCACATTTATTTTTCCAGTTTATTATATACTCTTGTATTCCCACAGCTTCCAGTGTATAGAGATGCACTGCACTGGTGTTCTATTATAATGACCCTGCTGTTCAGTAATCAACACTATAGTGCCATTTAAGAGACAATCAAATAACTTGTTAAATTTAGGTTTTTTTCCTTCTTCTTACTGGCTAATAATGGCATCTGTAATTTGTTTGCAAATAAATGTTGCAACAGTATCCAGTGACTTAATTTTTTTGTCAATGACAGATATAACTTTTTGATTTTGAAAGTTGTACAGATAGGTACAAAGCAACATAATGTTTGAACAATGTCCAATGTGAGCCCTGTACTCACTGACACAATAGCTTGCTGTGTAGATGACATGAAGGGTGCTGGGAGTCCGTGCCCAAATGTGCAGAAATGGGCAGTGTTCTATTTTCATTCCTCCTTTGGACTGTCTTTCTTTCTGATCACATGACTTTTGAGGACAACAGATATCAAGCACACAGAACTACTATTTGTGATCTCTGGCTACCAAAGCACATACAAACAAACCTCCCACCACCAGATTGTACAGCAAGGATATGGTCAACATCTGGATGTGCGGGTGACCTTCCGCAATTTGAGCCAAACCAGTTACAAAATAAACTTCCTCATTTAGTAAAACAAAGGGAAGATTGAAGTTTTTTTTTTTTTTCTGAAAATTTGTAAACATGAATGTGTCTCTTCATCACAATTTTGGAATACCTTGAAATGCCAGGGTAAATAAGGAATATAAATGTCTGCTTTCAGTAATTACAGTTCTCCAACTCAAAGAGGAAAAACAATACCAATGCTCTTCCTGCATCCTGAATGCATGCAGCACAGATACAGAAATGAAGAATCAAAACCGTGTAGAGTGCAGAAATTGCACTGTGTAGTGAGAAACTATCTTTACAAAAATTGTGATGATCCTGTTGCACAAGATGGCTCAAAATGATAGGAAGCTTCTCAAATAACCATTTGAAATCTAGACTGGTGCTGAATCATTACTTCTGTTTCACACACATCCACTTTTAATCATTTAATTCAGACTACAATAGTGCCTCTAAATGATTATTCTTTTTTTTTTTTTTTTTTTTTTTTTTTTTTTTGAGACGGAGTCTTGCTCTGTCGCCCAGGCTGGAGTGCAGTGGCACGATCTCGGCTCACTGCAAGCTCTGCCTCCCGGGTTCACGCCATTCTCCTGCCTCAGCCTCCAGAGTAGCTGGGACTACAGGCGCTCGCCACCACGCCCGGCTAATTTTTTGTATTTTTTTTAGTAGAGATGGGGTTTCACCATGTTGGCCAGGATGGTCTCCATCTCCTGACCTCGAGATCCGCCCGCCGCAGCCTCCCAAAGTGCTGGGATTACGGGCGTGAGCCACTGCGCCCGGCCATGATTATTCTTAATATACATATTGGACATAATTTCAGATTGTGTTCAGATTATTACATTCTAGAGTTTCAAAAAGTAAAACAAAATGTCTTCATTTGAATTGAGATTGATATAATCTAAATTGTATCCCTTCATTTTCCTCTTAACTGAAAATAAGAATACTTTGAAAATCAACTTCCTGGAAGAATGTTTGAAGAACCCTAGGCTTTTAAAATATTTATGAATCTGAATGGAAATATAGTTTTATTAAATTTTGAAACAGTGTTCTTCATCTTATTTTTTTCCTCTTTTCAATTTTTATTTTCTACCTAAATTTACTCTTTGTTTCCTTCTATTTACATGAATTACCTTTCAGTTAACAGACCGTTAACAGGTGATCAAACAAAATGTTATTTTTTAGGAAAGTTTAAGGAAGATAAAAGAGGAAAATAAGCTGTATTCTAGAGCACATCATATATTGAGAAAAACAGAAAATTATTGGACCAATTCTATAATAGAAAATGAGATACAATTTCTAAGACTTTATTATTATAAACAACTGAAATAATGTTTTTAAAAACAAAATTTGCAGAGGTAAGCAATATGGAAAATTGCTTTCATCTCTTCTAATCCCCTTTTCACATACACTCACACACATTTGCAAACACACATACACACACAACACGAAGACTATAATTTTGTAAAAGCACTGC